>NC_000016.10:26668304-26971334 GCF_000001405.40 Homo sapiens
TGCAAAATTGGCCCCTGGAATTTCTAAGCAAGCACATAATTAGATAAGTGAGCACTGTTCACGGAAGTGCCTGGTGGGAAAGGCAGAAACAAAGAGTTTCAAAGTATGTTTCGAGGCTGCAAGCAAAAAAGAAAAACAAAAAAGTTTTAAAATGCATTTTGAGGCTGGGATACTCGGTGACAACCATGCACAGCTAATTTTTTTACTCTTTTATAGAGACAAGTAGAATCCAGTTTTCTCGGGGTCTTGGGAAGTCCTAAACACAGCCTCCAGTTGGTCATGCAGAGTAGATGTGGGGACATTGCAGGCAGGCATCCCAGCTTAGTTCTTCCAACCCACTCAGTCTGCCAAGGACAGATATGGAGGGGTGACCTGCCAGCCTAGCTGTCCAAGACCATGGGGAAGCATCTACATTGGAGTCAAGTCTTTAAACCCATTGTGGAGCATTCACCAGGAGTCACTGCTGTCTGGAGAGTGAAATTCCTGTTTGTAGACAGCAGCCTCCTTGGGCAGAATCAGGGTTCAAGTCTAGATCTCAACCAGGTCCTCTGTTTTGCAGTGTATTAGTTTGCCATGGCTGCCATAACAAAATACCACGTCTAGACTGGTTGACTTAACCAAGAGAAATTTACTTTCTCACATTCCTGGATGCAAGAAGTCCAAGGTCAAGGTGCCAGCATGTTTAGTTGCTTCTGAAGCCTGTCTCATTGGCTAGAAGATGCCCACCATTTCAATGTCTTCACATGGTCTTTGCTCTGTGTGCACACATTATGGATGTCTCTGTGTGTGTCCAAATTGCATCTTCTTAAAAAGACACTAGTTAGGTTGGATTAAAGCCCACCCTAGGCCAGGTGCAGTGGCTCACACCTGTAATCCCAGCACTTTGGGAGGCCAAGGCGGGCAGATCACGAGATCAGGAGATCGAGGCCATCCTGGCCAACATGGTGAAATCCCATCTCTACTAAAAATACAAAAATTAGCTGGGTGTGGTGGTGTACGCCTGTAATCCCAGCTACTCTGGAGGCTGAGCCAGGAGAATGGCTTGAAACCGGGAGGCAGAGATTGCAGTGAGCCGAGATCGTGCCACTGCACTCCAGCCTGATGACAGAGCGAGACTCCATCTAAAAAAAAAAAAAAAAGACTTCATCTCCAAATACAGTCACATTCTGAGGTACTGGAGTTAGGGCTTAAACATATACATTTTGGGGAAATGCAATTCAACCCATAACACTCTGCCCTCTGGACTCCCGAAATTCACATCCTTCTCACTTGCAAAATACATTCACCCTCATCCCCACACCCTACAAGTCTTGACCCGTGCTGGCATGAACTCTAAGTTCCAAATCTTATCTAAATCTCATCTAAATCAGATGTGGCTGAGACTCAAGGTGTGATTCATTCTGAGGCAGAACTCCTCTCCAGCTGTGAACCTATTCTTTTTCATTTTTATTTTAGATTTGGTGGGTACATGTGCAGGTGTGTCACAAGGGTATGTTGCATGATGCTAAGGTTTGGGCTTCCATTGATCCCGTCACCCAGAGAGTGAGAATAGTATCCAATAGTTATTTTTGTTTTGTTATTTTGTTTGTTTGTTGTTGTTGTTGTTTTTGAGACAGAGTCTCGCTCTGTCCTCCAGGCTGGAGTACAGTGGCACGATCTCGGCTCACTGCAACCTCCACCCCCCCAGGGTCAAGTGATTTTTGTGCCTCAGCCTCCTGAGTAGCTGGGATTACAAGTGTGAGCCACCATGTCCAGCCCCAATAGGTAGTTTTTCAGCCCTTTCCCCACTTCCTCCTTCCATTTTTGGGGGGTCCCTAATGTCTATTGTTCCCTAGCTTTATGTCCATGTGTACCCAAGGTATAGCTCCCACTCATAAGTGAAAACATGTGGTATTCAATTTTCTGTTTCTGCATTAATTCGCTTAGAATAATGACCTCCAGTTGCATTCATGTTGCTGAAAAAGACATGATTTTGTTCTTTTTATGGCTGTATATTACTCCATGGTGTATATGTACCACATTTTATTTATCCAACCCACCACTGATGTGAACTTAGGTTGAGTCCATGTCTTTCTATTGTGAACGGCCCAGCTGTGAACCTATTAAACAAAAAAGTGATCTGCTTCCAAAATACAATGGTGGCACAGGCATAGTATAGACATTCTGGTTCCAAAGGGAAAAAAGAAGAAAGGTTCATGGGTCCCAAGCAAGCCTGGCCCAATAAAACCAAAGAGGTATCCCCCAGGTACTGACGAGGAGACAGCCTTGCCTTTGTGGTCATTCTTTCCTTTTCTTGAAGGGTAAGAACGTTCTCATCTGGATAGCTCTAATGTCCTGTCCTGTAGAATCCCAGAAGTCTGACAGCCTTTCTCTCATCTCTGAGCCTCAGTCCAAGCTGGTAGCATTTCTGTTTCTGCATTAATTCACTTAGAATAATGGCCTCTAGCTGCATTCATGTTGATGAAAAATACACGATTTTGTTTTTTATGGTTGTATAGTATTCCATAGAATATACGTACCACATTTTATGTGTTCAATCCACCATTGATGGGTGCATAGGCTGAGATGGTTGTGAGATCCTTGAGTGACACCCACAGTATCTTTTTCCTGTGATTGTCCAGTCACGCCCTTGGGATTCTCCCCAGAACAAGCTTTCTCACTTGCTGCCATATGGATAGGCTGAGAAATTTCCCAATTTTTACGTTTTGGTTCTGTGTTGCTTAACACTTTCTTCTTCAATGTCTCTCTCTCCTTTTGCATTTTGCCGTAAGCAATCAGGAGAAAGCTGGCTGCACCTTCAATATTGTGCTTCAACAGTTTCGATTTCTGAAATCTCCTCTGCCAAATATCCAAGTGCTTCACTCACAGGATCCACCTTCTGCAAAACACTAGAACACAATTCAGCCAACCTCTTTGCCACTTATAATAAGGATCTCCTTCTCTCTAGTGTCCAATAGCACGTTCTTTATTTCCATCTGCGACCTCGTAGAAGCAGCTTTAACACCTGTATTTCTATCATGAGTCTCTTCAACACAATCTGGGCTTTTTTCTATAACACGTGCTTCACAACTCTTCCAGCCTCTAGCTAATACTCAACGCCAAAGGCATTTCCACAGTTTTAGGTACTTGTTACATCAGCACCCCACTTCTCTGTACCAAAATCTGCATTCATTTTCTAGGGCTGCCCTAACAAAATACCACAGGCTGGATGGCTTCAACAGCGGGCATTTGTTTCCTCACAGTTCTGGAATGTAGAAGTCCATGATCAAAGTATTGACTGGTTTCATTTCTCCGGAGGCCTCTCTCCTTGGCTTGCAGATGGACACCTTCTTGCTGTGTCCCCATGTGGCCTCTCCTCTGTGTCTACATTCATGGTGTCTCTGTGTGTCTGAATTTCCCCTTTTTAGAAGGACACCAGTCAGATGGAACAAGGGCCCACCTCAAGCAGCTCACTTTCATTTAATCCCCTCTTTAAAGGCCCTGTCACCAAATACAGTCACATTCTGAGGTACTGGGAGTTAGGACTTCAACATATTAATTTCGGGTTTGGAGAGAGGGGACACAGTTAAGACCATAATAATCAGAAAGAGCTATTTTCTCTCTCTCCCCTGCCCCCCCCCACCACCTTTCTCAGGCTCTCTGTCTCTTTCAACATCATCTGTAAAAT
Source organism: Homo sapiens (assembly GCF_000001405.40). Taxonomy (NCBI): domain Eukaryota; kingdom Metazoa; phylum Chordata; class Mammalia; order Primates; family Hominidae; genus Homo; species Homo sapiens. Next base: position 26,671,972 of record NC_000016.10, read on the forward strand.
AAGGGGATGTACAGTCGTATACTAAAGACTCTCCATGTCTCTGTGATGCAGTAAGGATACCTGTTTATCCCTACATTAAGGCCAGAGTTGCAGCTCAGAACAGCCAAGGAGGAAGGCGTAGAATGGAACGAGAAAGCTGTGAAATTATCTTTAGTTCTCTGACCACATAATTCTTTCCTCCCTGGACGCATTATTCTTTCTGTCATTTAATAAAGTGGCTCCAAGATTATGAGAGAAGGAAAATCACCACCTCATGTCCTTTGGGCTCCCTGAGGGATTATGGGATTTTGCATAATTAAATATGAGCCATGTAATTTCCCACCTGCTCACCTCCATTGTATATTGTATTTTGCCCCCTCACAATGTCTCAGCTCCTATTTCAAGTGGAAAATGTGATTCACGGTGACAAAAATGCTTCCTCCTTCACCTCCCCCTGTGGCTTCCCCCACCCCCGTTCTCTGCGTGGCTCCTACCGCTTCCTCAGCCCACATCTTGCTGCCAGTCTCTGCTTCTCAGCCCACATATTCCAAAACCTGCCTCGGAATGCAAACTGGGGTACCAGAAGCCTTCCACACTGCTCAGAATGAGGCCTGGGCAGTAGGAGAGCAGGCTGCTCAGGATCCATGTCCGGCTCCGCAAAATATCTCACTCTTCCAGGCCTCTGTTCATTCATCTGCAGAAAGAGCTAAGCTTAAATTATTTTCTTGACTGGTTCTCATGGAGGTATAAAGAGTCCTGTTACTGCCCAGGCTATTAAGTGCTTTACAAACTATAAAGTGCGGTACAAATATCGTTCTTGTCAGTTTATAAAGTGCCTTACAAACTATAAAGTGATATACAAATATTGTTCTTATCAATGTGCTTTGGAAGAAGCTGGATCCACAGTCACAGGCAGCAGTTCTAAGGGGCAACAGGGACACACAGGAACTCAGCTGATGCCAGGGGTGCCGGGCCTCTGTACTTTCAAAGACATTCTGTTCTATTCCTAGGTATCACTACCAGAACATTCCTAAACAATAACCATCCTGCTGCAGGTGGTGCGAGAAGGGACATCACAGAGCATTTTACATAGGGTCCTACAGGCTGATGCCTTTGGGGTCCAGGAAAGAGGAGAAAATGGATGAAGCAGGCCAGATGTTTGCAAGAAAATAGGAAGTTGGAGCAATGTAGGAATTTGAGATTTTCTTTCATATTCTTTGTCTTAAAAAAAATTGAGCATGCTAAGGAATGTACCCTACAGGCAGAATCCAGCCCAGGGGAATTCAGTTAACACTCTGAATTCTGCTCCTATAGCAGACGCCTGTACTCTGTTCACAGTCCCTCAGGCCTATTTGGGGGTTGCGGCAGATGGTTCCCATAAGGGGAATGGTTTCCTATGTCTCTCTGCCTAAGAAATGTCTCTGTGATATGGTTTGGATGTGTGTCCCCTCCAAACCTCCAGTGTTGCAGGTGGGGCCTGGTGGGATCCCTCATGAATGGCTTGGTGTCCTCCCTATCCATAGTAATGACTGAGGTCTCACTCTATTAATTCACACGAGAGCTGCTTGTTTAAAAGAGCCTGGCATCTCCTCCCCTCTCTCTTGCTCCCTCTCTTAATATGTGACATGTCTGCTCCCCCTCTGCCTTTCACCATGACTAAAAGCTTCCTGAGGCCTCACCAGAAGCTAAGCAGATGCTGGTGCCATGCTTGTACAGTCTGCATAACAGTGAGCCAAATAAATCTCTTTTCCTTATAAATTACCCAGCCTTGGGTATTCTTCGATAATACCTTGGGTAATTGTTTTTACGCTCAATGCAAAACAAACCAACACACTCTGGCAAGTCAAAATGCTCATCTCATACTTGGAGTAGGCTGGATGTGACTGAGTGTTAACGTCCCTGGAGTGAACCCCAACAAATGAGGATCAAGGCTTAGTGGATAAACACTCCAGCTCCCTCAGCCTGAAAGGGGGCCGTCCTCTCAGAGGGTCCACTGCAGTAGTGGGCTCACAAATGCACCCTTGACTGGCTTCCTGTCCTTTCCTGTCTCGCTTCCCTACTTCCCATGGTGTTTCCTGAGATCAGTCAAATGAACTACAGGTGATCCTGGAACAACATGGGGGCTACAGGTGGTGAGCCCCTGCAATGTCAAAGATTCACATATAACTTTTGACTCCCCCAAAACTTAACTACTAATAGCCTACAGTTGACCGGAAGCCTTACCAATAACATAAGCAGTTGATTAACAGATATTCTGTGTTATATGTGTATTTTAGGTATTCTGTACTTTATTCTTACAATAAAGTAAGCTAGGGAAAAAAAGGTATTAAGAAAATCATAAGGGTCCAGGCATGGTGGCTCATGCCTATAATCCCAGAGCTTTGGGAGGCTGAGGCAGAAGGATTGCTTGAGGCCAGGAGTTTGAGACCAGCCTGGGCAACACGGTGAGATCCCATCTCTACAATAAATTTAAAAATTAGCCAGGCATGGTGGCACGTGCCTATAGTCCCAGCTGTGGGGGATGCTGAGGCAGGAAGACTGCTTGAGCCTAGAGTTCAAGGCTGCACTGAGCTATGATCCTGCCATTGAATTCCAGCCTGGGCAACAGAGTGAGACCCTGTCTCTAAAAAACATAAAAACAGTAAAATAAAGAAAATCCTAAGGAAGACAAAAATATATTTCCTATTCATTAAGTGGAAGTGGATCATCATAAAAGTTTTCATCCTTGTTGTCTTCACGTTGAGTAGGCTGATGGGGAAGAGAAAGAGGGGTGGTTTTGCTGTCTCAGGAATGACAGTGGTAAAAGAGTAGCAGAGGTGGAAGAGGGGACAGGAAAGGCAGACACACTCGGTATAACTTTTATGGAAAAAGAATCTCCGTATAAGTAGACCCGTGCAGTTCAAATCTATGTTGTTTCAGGGTCAACTGTACTTGCATACAAATCCTTGATCAGAATTTGCTTCTGGGGTGACCCGAACTAAGACAGCCCCTATTCAGTGTTCTGAAAATAGTCTCTTCAATACCCATGACAGCCAATTAGCCTGTTTCAACATCCATACCTTCAGTGTTGAGAAGTCTACTACCTTGTGAGTTAGTTCACTCCATCCCTAGACAACTTTGATCATGACAACTTAAATTTTAAAACTCTTCATTCTTACACAGAAGTAAGCTATCTTTTCTCTCTCTGGAGCCATTCATCTGTTCTCAAATGGCATTATGTGAAATCCTTTTACCATTTCAGTCCCTCTTGCTCGTCAACAGCTGTTTTTCAGGATAATATTCAGAGCCAAATACAAAACGCAGTATGGCTTGCTAGGAGCAGAGTTGCAATAGTAGTCTGGTGTCCTCCCTATTCCTGGGTTCATACCTCTGTTTAATGTAACCTGAGGTTTTTTTCCAGTCCTGGTTCACTCTGAGAATATGGAAGATCTTATCCCTTAACAGAGAAAGCCTGGCCACAATGTGGGAGTCTTTGAATGTGGAGGTGGAGCCCATCATAGGTTGACAGAACCAGACTAGCTCTGCATGCCCAACATACATGATGCTCTCAGTGAAGAGAAAAAAAGGAAGTGATGATCGTGGATGAAGACAGGATGTAATACCAGGACATAGAATTTGGCCTTGGGGAAGATCAGTGAGCCAAGGTGAGATGTATTCATCAAATTATTTCAATTGCATTTGAAGCCCAAACTCAAGGAGGCTTGAGCAATATATAGGGCAAAGTAGCTCAGGACTGTGAAAAGTTCATGATTAGATCAAGTTGCAGGTGCTACAGGACCCAGGTGCTCCAATTATGTCATGGGGAATACACGTGTTCTCATCACACCATCTGATTCCCCATGTAGCTTTTATTCTCAGACAAGCTCTCATCTGCTGATTGCATAGATGGTCTCCAGAAGATGCAGGCTTACATCCTCCCAGTTTAGCAATGCCAGGGTAAGTAAGAAGCCTCCTTCCCAAGCAAACCAGCAAATGTTGTTGGTTTCATTCTTATTTCACAAGTCTGGGTCACTTACACAGCTAGGAGCTCCCAACTTGGAGCACTCATTCTGAGATGCTCCAAGTTAAGAGCTCCCAACTGTAAGTGACCTTAACTGCCCTAGGGAGGATGGGTTCAGTTGAACCTGCCTTCAACATCAGAAACTAAAAACACAGATGCTTACGTTCCCAATCTCTCTTGCAGCTACAATCTGGCCATGTGATTCCATTCTGTCCAGTGGGAGACAACAGGAAATCAGCCAAACATGTGGACTAAGAGTAGAGGAAAGATGGTTTCCCCAAAGGGAGACTGGAATTCTGTTACCAACGGGAGGGAGAAAACACCCAATGTGTCTACTCTGGAAAGCCTAGAATTCTTTTACACAGCAGACAATCACAAGTGTCCAACATTGCTGGTTTCCCAAGGTAGATCGGGGCAGCAGGGATTTCAGGAGTAGCTGAGACAATGGGTTATCCATGGTTGCAGAGTCCAGCCCCCTTGGTAAGTGTTAGCAGGATGACGACTTCAGTGATGCTGATGGTAAAGTATTATTTTGCATTTACTATGGGAAAGGCATGGTGCTTTATATGAATTATCCCAGGTGCCTTCATAATACTCCCATAATTGCCATTAGCTCCATTTTACATATGAGGAAATATAGGCTTAAAAGTTTAATGAACTCGTGCCCAAGATTGCACAACCAGTGACAAAATCAGGATTTGAAGGCAGGCAGTAACCTAGAGCTGCAGTGCTCAACATTCTCTGTGCTTTAGAATTATCTGGAGAAACCACTAAAAATAGCCGTGGCAGGGCTGGGTGTGGTGGTTCATGCCTATAATCCCAGAACCTTGGAAGGCCAAGGTGGGCAGATCACTTGAGGCCACTTGAGTTCAAGACCACCCTGGCCAACATGGCGAAACCCCATATTTACTAAAAATACAAAAATTGGCCAGGCATGGTGGCATATGCCTGTAATCCCAGCTACTCAAGAGGCTGAGGCAGGAGAATCGCCCGAACCATAGAGTCAGAGGTTGCAGTGAGCCGAGATTACAACACTGCACTCCAGCCTGGGTGACAGAATGAGACTCTGTCTCAAAAAAAAAAAAAAAAGAAAAAAGAAAAATAGCCATGGCAGGTTGCAACCTAGATTAGAATCTCTGGGAGTGGAACTCAGGCATCAATATTTTTTAAAGCCCACCAACTCACTACCACTCAACCACCAACAATGATTTCAATGTGCAACCACAACCAAGAACTGCTGGTCTAGAAGCTGCACTTCTAATCACCCTGCAGGGGAGGGATTCTCACTGGGAAAAGATGGCAGGCTAGGAAGGCGGGTGAATCTAGGCCCGAACCAAGAATTGGAGTAATTTATTGCCCTGTGTAATAGACTTCTGGGTAGATTTCCATAACCAGCGCAATAAATTTCTGTACTTTTTAAGCCAGTTCAAGTCAATGTTTCTGTTACCTACTAACAAAAGCATCCTGATATGGATGGTCTCTGACATGGTGCTGCCTCCATATCCAACCTCTGGACCTGCTTCAGATATGGAATCACAGAATCATAGAACAATAGAAGTCAGAGTGGCAATCTTGTCCCGATAACATAAAGCAAAGATGCAGGCCCAGAGGTGGGAAGCAACTTGCTCCAGGACACACTGCTAGTAGGGTGCAAAGCCATAAGGCACATCCATGTTTTGTTTGACTCTTAAAACCTTTTGTTTGACTCTTAAAACCTTCTTTCCTTGAACCCCACTCTCAACATCCAGGCATAAGTCAACCTTCCATTTCTCTCTGTTAAACCATCTAGTTGCCAGTCTAATCTCTTCTTCCAGGGAAAACTTCTGCCTGCACTCCCCAGCAGTCTTTAGTAGAACTGCTTTCATCTGCTCTGACATCTCACAGCAAGTGCTCCAAGTTGGGAGTGCCCTGCATGACTGGGTCCAAGTCACACTGTTCTGAGTGTCCCTAAACCCAGAATTAGGGACAAACACTGGAGCTTTATAACAGACAAGCTGTATTTCATTCTCACCCATTTCACACAGAAGGAAACTGAGGCTCCTTTGCTTCCCTGCCTACTTGCATTTTCTCACTGCACAGCTCACTGGCCAGAAGTCAAAATGATTAACAGGCAAAAGCAAGGATGTCAGGGAAAAGACCATTAGATGATCCATAATTTCATCTTTCCATCCACAGTCGCTTTTCCAAAATCTTCCAGAAAATCCTAAACTTTCTAAATTATCCTATTATTCGAATAGCATCTATTGAAAACTTGTGTGCTCCATCAGGCTATAAGAATACAAAGAATTGAGCTATAGACCATATCTTGGAACACCTTGGGAGTTTGTGATTGACACTGTGGGTTGTCATTCTAAGGGCTATTTCTCTTCCCACTTCTAAACTGCCTGAACCTGCCATCAACTGCAGAAACTCAAAACACACACACTTACCTTCTCAACCCCTCTTGCAGCTAGGATCTGGCCACATGATTCTACTGTGGCCAATGGGATATAAGGGGAATCAGCTACTGAACATCAGGGAACATTTTTCTTCCTGATAAAAAGAGAGAAGTGCACTAGAAGAGCTTTGTTCACTGACCTGTCCTTGCCCCTTCCTGCTTTAGAACAAGTTTGAATGAAGACCAGGAGGCTGGGACACCATGAGAAGAGACATTAACACACTGCAGATGGTGCCACAGAAATAGGGAAAGACCTTGGGTCTGCAATTTCATTGTTGAGCTATTGAACCACTTCTGAAGTGGTTCACTTCCCTTCTGGTTCTAATAGAAAATAAAATCCCCTATTGTTTAGGCTAATTTTCATTGGATGTTCTGTTCCTTACAGATAAAAGTATTCTTTTTCTGAAACAGAGTCATATCATATGGACTTAGGTCTCTGCCTCTTGCTGGTTATGAAATTCTTGGCAAGTCAAATACCCTCACTGAGACTTAATTTCACAAAATATAAATCAGAAAGAATGACTGCATAGTTGGTGTTTTGTGAGGATGAAATTAGATAGCAAATGTATGTGTACATGAGCCGTAGTTGATGTTTTACAGATGCCCCACCTTTTTCTTTCTCTCTCTAAATACAGGAGAGCATAGGAATTAAAACCTTTGGCTTTAGAATCACCCAGACATAGGCTGAAATCTGCGCTTTGCCACTTACCTTGTGACCTTGAGCAAGTCATCTTACTGGAACCTCATCTTCCTTATCTGTAGAATGGACATGCTATTGGTATCTGCACTCCCAGGCTGTTGTAGAGACTAAAGGAGAAATTTCTTGTAAAGATCTTATAAAGATTTTGACACAGAGACCATACGTAGTAAACACTTGATATACGTCAACAACTATTGCTTTTGAGGTTGAATTAATAATCTAAAAAGAAAATGACGAAGTCACTGAGGTGTGGATGCTATGGTTCTACCATCCCCAGTCTCCCTTCCCCCTTTCAATCAGAACCCTAATTGTGTTTCAGATACTCCTTGGACATACCCCATCCCCAGAGGAGCTCATGTCAGACTCTGTGGACGGACCTGTTGCTCTAAGGTAATCTCAGCCCTTGCCAGTGACTGCAACGTCAAGGAATGGGCGTGTGATCTACCTCTTGCCAACAGGAGGATAATGGGCAGCTTTGGGTCAAGTTGTCTGTCTCTCAGGACAGCCTCACTGGAAGCAATGTTCTCTATTCCTGGTCTGGATGTTTTCATGGCTAATTGATAGTGGAAGATATCAATTTCATGGCTAATTGATATCTTCCTACAGCTTGAGGAGGAAGCCAACCTCAAGGATTATCCGGAGAAGAGAAGAAGAAACCTGTGTCTTTGACAACTTGTTTGAGCCGTTAGTCAACAAATCGTAAAACCCACCTTGCTTAGAAGTCTATTACATAGCGCAATAAATTTCTGTTTTTTTTTTGAGTTGGGGTCTCGCTCTGTTGCCCAGGCTGGAGTGCAGTGGCGTGATCTTGGCTCACTGCAACCTCCATCTCCCAGGTTCAAGTGATTCTCCTGCCCCAGCCTCCCGAGTAGCTGGGACTATGGGCGCCTGCCACGACGCCCGGCTAATTTTTGTATTTTTAGTAGAGACTGGGTTTCACCATATTGGTCAGGCTGGTCTCAAACTCCTGGCCTTGTGATCGGCGCACCTCAGTCACCCAAAGTGCTGGGATTACAGGCATGAGCCACCGCGCCCAGCCAAATTTCTGTACTTTTAAAGCCAGTTCAAGTTGATATTTCCATTGCCTATTAACAAAAGTATCTTATCTGATATAGATGGTCTCTAACATGGTTGGTGTTCCTTCAATATCCAAGCTCTGGGTCTGGTTCAGAATTCTGTAAGTCGCAGAATCATAGAACGATAGAAGTCAGAGAGCCAATCTTGTTCCCATTACATAAAGGCTAAGATGCAGGCCCAGAGATGGGAAGCAACTTGTGCCAGGACACACAGCTAATAGGGTGCAAAGTCATAAGGTGCATCCATGTTTTGCTTGACTCTTAAAAAACTTTCTTTCCTTGAACCCCACTGTCAGCATCTGAGAAAAAAAAAAAAGCTGATATTATATGAGAATACAGAAAAAGGAATGAAAACCAAGAAGCAAAACTTCTCTGCAGATTCTTCAGGAGATCTAACTCCCAGAAGCCCTCCAGCTTTCACCCAGCCTCTAGTTCTCCAAGGCTCAGATCTGTTTAGTGTTTTCCACGCCATGATATATGTGGCACTAACGGCCAGAGCAGGGCCTGATAAACTCTTCTGGGACTGATGGCCCTCAGGACACATTGTAGATCAAGGCGATGAGAGGGCACTGATGAGATGCTACAGTGTGGCCAGCCCAAGCTTTTGCTTAAATGCACCCTTCACAGTACTGAGCAACAAGGAAGTGACTCTCAGACACAGAGACAGAACTGGCATCAAACAACTTTGGGAACCTCAGCTTCAGGCAGGCCCAGGAGACGTCAGTGCATCTTAAATGGGCTGCCTTTTCTTCCTTTCACCAGGCCAGAGGCTGAGGACTTATAACACGTACACATGCTGGGGCTGATCTTGAGTCCAAGCCCACTCACTTCCAAGAGAGTAAGCAATCTTATACAGATTGAGCATCCCTTATCCAAAAATCCGAACTTCTAAATACTCCAAAATCTGAAATATTCTGAGCGCCAACATGAGATAGTGACTCCTTTCCTTTGATTCAATGGAAACAAACTTTGTTTCATGCACAAATTATTTAAAATATTGTATATATGTGTATAAGGTGTATAGGAAACATAAATGAATTTTGTGTTTAGACTTGAGTCCTTTTTCCAAGATATCTTGCATATATGGAAATATTCCAAAATCTGAAAAAAAAAAGAGAAAAGAAAAAAGAAAACACCAAATCTGAGATGCTTCTGGTTCCAAGCATTTTGGATAAGGTATATGCAACCTATTAGGTTGGCTCAAAAGTAATTGCGATTTTGCCATTACTTTCAATAGCAAAACCATAATTACTTTTGCACCAACCTAGTGGAATAGATTATACCATGGTAGAGACTCCTAGCGCTCATCTGTATTTGGGTCTCTTCTTTTGAGTGCATGGGAGGGTTACATTTTTTCACACACACACCCTTTGAAGGTGGGATCATACAATTAGCTCTAGTCCATTGGCAGTGAGCAGAATGGATCATATTTATTCTGAATCAATGCATTTCATTGCCAGTGAGATATCATCCAGTTTCTCTTCCTCTGCCTTGGCAATCATGGACACATGTGTAATCGAAGTGCTGCAAGACGGAAAGTACCTGGAGCTCTAAATTGCATGGTGATTGAGAAGAGAACTGCCCAAGAGAGTGGTTTCAATCTGCAGTAAAGAACAGACTTTTGTTAAGTCACAAGATTTCAGTGCTGTTTGTTATTGAAGCATAACCTAGCCTAACTGACACAGTAGTCTAATCAATATCAGTAATAGCTACTATCATTATATAAGCACTGTTTCAGGAACTGTGTTCAAAGTTTTATGGACCTTAAGTCATTTACATTCCACACTAAACCTACAGGAGAAGATCTGGGATTTTCTCAGGGACAAATATGTAAGACATAGCAGCTGCAAATTCTCATATGTAGGCTGATTTAACTCCAAAATCTCATATGCTTTATTGTTAAACATTAAAAAAGAAACCCAGAGGGAGAAAAACTTATAATTTAAAAATCAGATGGAAAAATATGTATGTAAGATGATCCCAATTATTTTTACATAGGCAGAGAGAACAGAAGTGGACCATGCTATATAATATATACAGTTGATATCTTTCATGGTTTTATGGAAGATTTTTGTTTTATTTTTATATGGATCTACAATCTTTTAGGTCTTCCACAATGAGTAAACATTATTAAGTCTTCTACAAGAACCACACATTATTCAATAATCAGAAAGCTATACATCTTTAGACATAAGATAGTATCCAAAATAGAATGTGAGTTTCTGATATCTGAAACCTTCCACCACTCAAGGAAACTTGGGGAGTGATGGAGAACAAATGTTCATTAAGCCCCTACTATGTGCCTATCATTTTTAATATGTTTTCGCATTTATTCCTCCCACCTATCCTGGAGAAACAAGGATTTATCTTCCCAATATTCAGGTAAGGATTCTGAGAGGTTAAGTGACTTGCCTAAGGTCATACAGCTATGACAAATCAGAACAAGGCTTTTGGACCCCAAACTCATGTTCTTTCCACTACATGGTGCTTGCTTTGATTAACCCCACTGGGTAGTAATTTACAGTTGGCCTTAATCCTATACTTCTTCATACCTACAAATGTATGAATGCCTGAATTTTACTGCAAACCATAGTCAATACCCCTCCATGAGATGAACCACAAAAAAACATGGAAATGAGAATCAACGTGTTAATTTATCACTTATGTGCATTTCTAATCTTATTCCCCAGAGAATAACTCCCTGAGCTGGTGCACATGACAATAATTTATTGTATATTTCAAAATAGCTATGTATTAGGATTCTCTTAGAGAGATAGAACTAATAGGGTGTATATACATATATATAAAGGGGAGTTTATTAAGTGTTAACTTACATGATCACAAAGTCCCACAATAGGCTGTCTGCAAGCTGAGGAGCAAGGAGAGCCAGTCCGAGTCCCAAAACTGAACAACTTGCTGTCCGATGTTCAAGGGCAGGAAGCATCCAGCACGGGAGAAAGATGTAGACTGGGAGGCTAGGCCCATCTCGCCTTTTTTGTTTGTCTGCCTGCTTTATACTCGCTGGCGGCTGATTAGATGCTGTCCACCCAGATTAAGGGTGGGTCTGCCTTCCCCAGCCCACTGACTCAAATGTTGATCTCCTTTGGTAACTCCCTCACAGACACACCCAGGATCAATATTGCATCCTTCAATCCAATCAAGTTGACACTCAATATTAACCATCACAAGCTAGAAGGAAAGATTTGGAATGTTCCTAACACAAAGAAATGATAAATGTTTGAGGTGGTGAATCTCCTAATTACCCTGATTTGATCATTACACATTGTATACTGGTATCAAAATATCACGTGCACCACGTTAGATATCACCCCATGATACATAATAGCTATTATGTATCAATAAAAAATTTAAAAAATAAAATTTTTTAATCAATCAAATCAGTTTTTATTTTATTTTTTAAAATCAATAAAAAATTTAAAGGAGGTAATTTATGGCGAAATTACCTCCTTCATGTCCCAATCTGACCTCTAGCCAGACATGTGAGACCAGTCCAATATGAGAAGAGGAGGAAAAAAAAAAGCTAAGTGTCCGGATCATCCCTGAATTACCAAAGCTGTATGCCAGACACTGTTTTCAAACTTCTTACCATGACAATTGTCAAATATATATAAAGGAAGAAAATATATATAACAAACCCCAGCATATCCATCACCCAGCTTCAACAACCATCAACATTTTACTGTAAACTCTTTCATCTATATCCTATTTTTTGCTGAATTATCTTAAAGTAAATCCCAGAGATCTGGCTATTGCACCCAATACTTTAGTAAGATCTTATAAAAAATGATATTTTTTTAACTATGTTGCTATTTTCACACCTCACAAAATTATAATTTCATCTAATAACCAGTTCATATTCAAATTACCCAGCTGTCTAAAAACATATATATTTTAGAGTTTGTTTTCCCAAATAAGATCTCATACACGGTTCATCCACTGTGTTTGGTTATTGGGTCTCTCAAGCTTACTGTAAAGGGAGGACAATATAACTTGTTATTTAAACTTGAATGTTTTCAAGAGTGAAAATGAGTACCATTAATAATGTATCAGGGCCGGGGGCAGTAGCTCATGCCTGTAATCCCAGCACTTTGGGAGGCGAGGCAGGTGGATCATTTGAGGTCAGGAGTTCAAGACCATCCTGGCCAACATAGTGAAATGCTATCTCTACTAAAAATACAAAAATTAGCCAGGTGTGGTCGTGGGCACCTGTAATCCCAGCTACTCAGGAGGCTGAGGCAGGAGGATCTCTTGAGCCTGGGAGGCAGAGGTTGCAGTGAGCTGAGATCACACCACTGCACTCCAGCCTGCGCAACAGAGTGAGACTCTGTCTCAAAATAAATAAATAAACAAACAAATTTATTAAAATAATAATAATATATATTAGGACAAAAGGCATAAACCAAGATACCAAGATTGCCCAGGGAAAACCATATGGTGACCCCACCTTTAAACTCTCTCCCACTTTCTTTTTTTTTTTTTTTTTTTTAGATGGAGTCTCGCTCTGTTGCCCAGGCTGCAGTGCAGTGGCAGGATCTTGGCTCACTTGCAACTTCCGCCTCCCAGGTTCCAGTGATTCTCCTGTCTCAGCCTTCCAAATAGCTGGGATTACGGGCACCCGCCACCACACTCAGCTAATTTTTGTATTTTTAGTAGAGACAGAGTTTCACCATGTTGGCCAGGCTGGTCTCAAATTCCTGACCTCAGATGATCCACCTGCCTTGGCCTCCTAAAGTGCTGGGATTACAGGGTAAGCAAATGTGCCCGGCCTCTCCCACCCTCTTTATATCTTAATAAAATGCTGCTCCAGCTCTCCTGCAGAAATATCTCCTTTCTGTTTTTTTTTTTATTTTATTGAATTATTATTTGTTTTGTTTTGTTTTTATTACACTTTAAGTTTTAGGGTACATGTGCACAATGTGCAGGTTTGTTACATATGTATACATGTGCCATGTTGGTGTGCTGCACCCATTAACTCATCATTTAACATTAGGTATATCTCCTAATGCTATCCCTCCCCCCCCCCCCCCCACCCTACAACAGGCCTTGGTGTGTGATGTTCCCCTTCCTGTGTCCATGTGTTCTCATTGTTCAATTCCTACCTATGAGTGAGAACGTGCGGTGTTTGGTTTTTTGTCCTTGTGATAGTTTTCTCAGAATGATGGTTTCCAGCTTCATCCACGTCCCTACAAAGGACATGAACTCATCATTTTTTATGGCTACATAGTATTCCATGGTGTATATCTGCCACATTTTCTTAATCCAGTCTATCATTGTTGGACATTTGGGTTGGTTCCAAGTCTTGGCTACTGTGAATAATGCCGCAATAAACATACATGTGCATGTGTCTTTATAGTAGCATGATTTATAATCCTTTGGGTATATACCCAGTAATGGGATGGCTGGGTTAAATGGTATTTCTAGTTCTAGATCCCTGAGGAATCGCCACACTGACTTCCACAATGGTTGAACTAGTTTACAGTTCCACCAACACTGTAAAAGCATTCCTATTTCTCCACATCCTCTCCAGCACCTGTTGTTTCCTGACTTTTTAACGATTGCCATTCTAACTGGTGTGAGATGGTATCTCATTGTGGTTTTGATTTGCATTTCTCTGATGGCCAGTGATGATGAGCATTTTTTCATGTGTCTTTTGGCTGCATAAATGTCTTCTTTTGAGAAGTGTCTGTTCATATCCTTTGCCCACTTGTTGATGGGATTGTTTGTTTTTTTCTTGTAAATTTTGTAAATTTGTTGGAGTTCATTGTAGATTCTGGATATTAGCCCTTTGTCAGATGAGTAGATTGCAAAAATTTTCTCCCATTCTGTGTGTTGCCTGTTCACTCTGATGGTAGTTTCTTTTGCTGTGCAGAAGCTCTTTAGTTTAATTAGATCCTATTTGTCAATTTTGGTTTTTGTTGCCATTGCTTTTGGTGTTTTAGACATGAAGTCCTTGCCCATGCCTATGTCCTGAATGGTATTGCCTAGGTTTTCTTCTAGGGTTTTTACGGTTTTAGGTTAAGTCTTTAATCCATCTTGAATTAACTTTTGTATAAGGTGTAAGGAAGGGATCCAGTTTCAGCTTTCTACATATGGCTAGCCAGTTTTCCCAGCACCATTTATTAAATAGGGAATCCTTTCCCCATTTCTTGTTTTTGTCAGGTTTGTCAAAGATCAGATAGTTGTAGATATGCGGCATTATTTCTGAGGGCTTTGTTCTGTTCCATTGGTCTATATCTCTGTTTTGGTACCAGTACCATGCTGTCTTGGTTACTGTAGCCTTGTAGTATAGTTTGAAGTCAGGTAGCCTAATGCCTCCAGCTTTATTTCTGTTTTGGTTCATTGCTTCCTTGTGAAGTTGTTTCATATGTTCCTCTCTCCCTTATTCTTCTTGTAGATAAGAAGTCTGCAACTCGAAGGTTTGAGTAGATTCAGTATGTACATGATTTTCAAATGTACCTGCTGTATTAGTTTTCCATTGCTGCTAAAACAAATTACCACAAAATTTGTGTGTAGCTGAGAACACAAATTCTTACTCTAACAGTTATGAATGTCAGAAGTCTGAAATGGGTGTCACGGGGCTAAAATAAACATGCCATCAGAGCTTCGTTCCTTTCTGGAGGCTCTGAGGGACACTGTGTTGTCTGCCTTTTCTGGCTTCCAGAGTCTATTACATCACTTGGTTCATAAACCTCTTCCTTTATCTTTAAAAGCAGCAATGGCAGATTGAGTGTCTTGATGCCATCTCACTTGTTCTCATTCTCTGTCTCGTCTGCCATTTAAGAACCCTTGTGATGACACTGGGTCCACCAGGATAATTTGGAATCATCTCCATTTATTTATTTATTTATTTATTTATTTATTTATTTATTTATTTTTGAGACAGATTCTTGCTCTTGTCGTCCAGGCTGGAGTGCAATGGCATGATCTCAGCTCACTGCAACTTCCACCTCCTGGGTTCAAGTGATTCTTCTGCCTCAGCCTCCTGAGTAACTTGAATTAGAGGTACGCACCATCACGACCAGCTAATTTTTGTATTTTGAGTACAGACAGGGTTTCACCATGTTGGCCAGGCCTCATCTTCTTATTTTAAAGTCATCTGTTTAGCAATTGAAGTTCCACCTGGAATCCTAATGCCCTCTTCCACGCAAGCTAACATATCCACAGTTTCCAGGATTAGGACATGGCCATCATTCTGCCTATGAGTACGTGTGGCTGACTTGCATCCTGAAATCAGTTGAGCCTTCCTTCCTGTTTGGTAGAAGTGAGAAGTGGGTAATAATTACACTGGCCACAAGAAAAAGCCATGGGTCTCAGCCTCCTCATCCTTCTTCCCACTTTCTCGGTCTCTGGCCATGTCCTGCGTGACCCCCAGCCTTCCCTTGGGCAACATGAAAGGGAGACAGCAGAGTGTCAGCACAGTTAAGGGCACACACTTTGCATTCACACTTGCTGGCTGCATGGCTTGGGGATGGCATTTAACCTCACCAGCCCTTGAGGTCCTTATGAGTGAAGTGAAGAGAATAACCAATCAGGACAGGTCAGATGATGCATGACACTGCTTAAAACAGTGTCTGGCACCTAGAACATACTCAGTCACTGATAGCTGTTATTAACAAATGATAACAGTGCTTCTCACCTGCCCGCTGCTCTGGTCTCACCTCGCACCTGCTGCCCTTGCTCTATTTGGAGCCTGACCTTGTTATTACCATGAGGTTTGGCTTCCCCCAGCCCCCTATAGCTGCTAGTGTGGAGTTTGTTGTTTTAGTAGCTGTTGGTGTTGGTCTCATCTTTCCCGTCTCAGTAAAAGCAGTTTGGACTAAGGCAAGAGAGACTCCTCCCCCTAGTATATGTAACCCCTTAATTAGGGTTCTTAAAAAGATCAGGTGTTTCTCTCTGTAAGCCTCCAGATCCACAGAGTGGCATTCAGAGTATGAACCCAAACCAAAGCCTCCCGCTGCAGAGAACTTAAGCATAAAAGGGGCCCAGGGGTCAGTACTGGGACAGTGACCCTGTTAGGGGGTGGTGGTGCTGCCAGGAAGGGAGACTCAGGGGCTGCCTTTGCAGTCCAGGGGCCCTCAGTAGGTCACCCTCTCTGGGCCCCATGATCTGGCTAACTTCTAGCCCCTTAGCCAACTAGGAAGTATAACAATCCCATTCTTTCAGTTTCACCAAACAGCACAGAGCAGGAAGAATGTAGAACAGGAGGCCATTGTCTCCCATATTCCAAGACAAAGGGTCTGGGTTTGAATAGAGAGATCTGAATGGGATGGTAAAATATCAGAGCCGTGTGCAATTGTTTTCTTACTTCAAGTTGTTCTGAAAGCTCAAGACCTTTGAGCCAGAGTTGAAAGCCCTGCATCAACTTCCATAAACTTCAGGAAGAAGTTTAGAAGACAAGAAGGTGAAGATATCAATGTAGTCATAGACACATACATATATATACAGACAAACACACACTCACACACACACACATATATTCAATGCAGAACTGGGAGATGCATCTAGGGTTAGATTAGGAAGCAACTTCTAATAGGTCACAAATGTTTTTTTCAACATATACTAAGCACCGTGCTGGTTATTTCACTCACATTATCTCATGGAAACCCCCAGCAGTGTTGAAAGTAGGTGTTCATATTCCCATTTCACGGATGGGGCAACTGACATGCATTGTAGTGCCAGGAGGTTGGTCAAGGACACGCTTGTGTTGTGCTGACACTGCAAATTACAGATTCGAGAACGAAATCACTCACTTCCTGACAAGAAAGTCAATGAGCTTGCCACTATACCAACGGAGCAGCTGAATGTCCTGAAGAAGCTGTTGAATATTTGCATATCTTTAAATCTTGCTCTAAATGGTATCATTTCTTTTAAATAGACTAAGCGGCTATGAATAATTAGCAGTTAATAATTATTATGCCTCATTAACTTAATAAAGGATTATGTCTTGATAGAAAATGCAGAGATAATTGGAAAATAAAGTTAACCCATGCTTCCTCGGCTTCCGAGGGAAAGAGCTGTCCAGTTGGAGGAGTAGCCCAGAGTCTGGAAGACTCTACTCCCCTGGGGCCAGTTCCCAAGCTGCTAACCTATGACCAAGTGGGACCTAGAGAGCCGGCTTCGAAAGAGCACAGTCACTCACCAAACAGAAATCCCAGAAAACAAAACATAGTGAGCACGGTTAGCAGCAGCTTACCAGGGTCGCACACCTGTGACCCAGAACACAGCGAGCCTGGGAAGGTGGGTAGTGCTGAAATCTCACTCAGAGAGCTACAATTTACGGAACCGCTACTCTGGAAAGATAAGTATAGGTTAGATAGCCCTTTTGGCTGGGGAGAAGAAGGATGGGATAAAATGTTACCGGAGTACTAATCCAGGGTCACAAGTTCAGGGAGTGCAGATCCACCCCCAGCTCTCCACCCTGGGCCCCCTGTGACCTTTCCTCAGCATGATTGCCACAGCCTCCTAAATGCTTTTCCTGACCCCAGTCTTGCTTCCCTTCCATCTTAATGGCAGCCAGAGTGAATTTTTCAAAAGAAAAAAATCTGATCCTATTGCTCCCCTGTGTGAAGCCCTTTCTTAGGTTTCCTACTGCCCTTGGGATGAAGCCCGAAGGGAGGGAACCTCCACTGCTTAATACCCCAGGACTTGTTCTTTCTGCCTTCTGCTCCCCAAGGGATGCTCCAGTCCACAAACACCCCTGTGCTCTTCCAGATTAATGCACATGCTTCTTCTTCTTCCTGAAGATACCTTCTGCCTCCCCTTCCTTCATCAGGGTCCTTCCTCCATGGCCACTATGTTCCCAGCATGATGTCACCTTGAAGGGTAAGTAAAGTCCTTTGGGCCAATATAACCACTGAGTTTCTTCTTAAGAGCTGATACAGCACCAGCTTAGGTGTCTCTTCTGCAAGACACTCAAATCTGAAGGCCAGTGGATGGCACGTTCAGGGTCTCAATGCAGACTGTATTTGCCACTGTATACAGAGCATCAAACGTAGAGCCTACCCCTAAACAGAAACCCAGTATATGTCAGCAGTAAGAAACCCAGAAAGATGCCCACTACCTCACTGGCCAGCTACATTTCGGGATTTACCCTACCAATTTCTCCCCTACCTGACTCTCTGACAAGGAGGAGCCCAACCCCTCTTCATTTTATGCCAGGTCAGGAGTTTTAGCAAAGCCTCTTGGAGTGGCGCCACTGAACATGGCGGAAATGGCATGAACATTTTAGGTATATAAGCACAGAAGCAGAAGATGGTATCACAATTACGAGCATGGACACTGAAGTGAGACCCCTGTGTCTGAATTCTACCTCTACCACTTTGCGGCTGGGTGGCTTTGGAGGAGTCATGGACAGTCTGAGATCCCATTTTCTCCTTAGTGAAATGGGTATAATGGTGACATTGACTTGCTATGGATGTGCAACACATGCGAAGTGCTTAGGGTCAGGTGCATGCTAAACACCACACATGTGTTAGCTATTATTGTTAGCATATTAGTGTTTGGCAGAGGCCATGACAAAACTGGGCCCAGTGGCCCAGTGCATCTGCAATTACATCTAATAACAGCACCACTTAAATGAGCACATAAAAGCAGACACCAGGCACAGGCAGTGTAGGGGCTGTCTTGCTTATCGTGCAATGAGGAATCTGATACCAAAAGAAAAAAA
Source organism: Homo sapiens (assembly GCF_000001405.40). Classification (NCBI taxonomy): domain Eukaryota; kingdom Metazoa; phylum Chordata; class Mammalia; order Primates; family Hominidae; genus Homo; species Homo sapiens. The sequence continues at coordinate 26,690,851 of NC_000016.10, forward strand.
AGTCAGCAGCTTCTTCCCAAGCTTAGGTATGTAGAAAGCAGCAGAGCCAGGAGTCAAATCCACACTTGCGTAACCCGCAAAGCCCATGCTCTTAACTACATTTTAACTACATTGTCTTCAGCTTCACTTGGGGTTCCCTCTTTGTGTTGATGACTTGAGAGAGATTTCACTTTCTCCTGATCTCCAAAACACCTGCTGTCTGCCCTTTGTTGGGTAATTCCCAGCTGCCCAAAGATGGTGCCTCTTTCAGAAGCTTTCCTGGCTTCCTCAGGCTGAGTCGCATGTTCCATTTCTGTGCTTATCCCTGACATCGTCACGTAAGCCAGGATAGGCTACACTATGCTTAGGAAACAAACAATCCCAAGACTTCAGAGGCTTAAACTATGAGATTTTATCTCTCTCTCCATCACTTTTTCATTCAGGGTCGCTATCCTCATTCAAGGCCCAGAGAGACACAGCAGCCTCAATCTTGAACACTCCCAGACGTTGTGGTGGATGGTAGCATGGCAAGGGTCACTGTAGCAGGGGTTGCAGCAAACACTAGTTCCTCAGACGTAACATGTCCTCTCAGCTCACATTTTATTGTCCAAAGCTAGCCACATGGCCAAACTGGACCCTGAGGGATCATGGAAGCATAGCCTTCTTGTATGACCCTTTTATTACAACGTCAACTGTCACTGTCCTGGCCTTAAATATCTGATGAAATATCTAAATAACATGATGAATTGTTGGCCTATCTGTCTTCTGCACTGTGAATTCCTCTGGGCTTTGGTCTTTACTTCAAAATATTTGCCGTGCATTATACCTGTATCATATAGGTGTCTATCATCTGCACATTGAACAGATGAATAAAGACATGCCTGAATGAAATTCCGACCAGAGCTCTTTCTCCATCCCCATCCCTCATTTTGCACACAGACAGCTCACGTGCATGACACCCCAGCCACACAGGCCTTCTTCCCTTCCACAAACATGCCAGGCTCATTCTCTCCCACAGGGTCTTTGCACATGCTGTTCCTTTTCCCCAAAACACTTTCCCTGAAATCCATGTATACCAGAGACGCCTTCCTTAGCTGCCTCATTCAAAAGAGCTCTCCAGCCACAGTCCTCTCTATCCTCATTTCCTGCCTCATTTTCTCCATAGACACAATCACTACAGTTGAGTCCTCACTTAACATCCGCAATAGATTCTTGGAAACTGCAACTTTAAGTGAGATGATGTATGGCAGGTCCTCAAATGATGTCATTTCCTTCAATGTCATTTCGTTATAATGTTAATGAGAAAAAAATGGTTTCATTATATATTGTTTTGCTTAAAGTCACAGTTTCCAAGAACCTACCGACGGTGAGTGAGGATTTGCTGTACATTAAACTGTATTGTTGATTTTCTTACTTATTCTGTGTTTGTCTTCCTTTGCCCCTCAGTGTTTACCACTGTATCCCTAAAACTGGAAGAGTGTTTGGAATTAGTAGACATTAAACATATACGTGTTGGATGAATGAATGAAAACGTGAATGAATAAACATAAATAAACAATGTAGCGCCCCAGCAGGAAGAGTAAACTACCAAAAAATACCCTCTGCTTACTATAGAAAATTGTATCTAGAGGAAAATTAGATGTATTATTTCAAACTTCCTTGGATTTTTTTAAGATCATCAACCCATCAAAATCAGCCCCTGATGCCCTTTTAAAATATATTATGGCAAGCAAAATCATGGTGAAATAAATGTTTAATCAATGTTTATTATTGCTAGCATATTAGTTTGCAGTCAAATTTATGACCCCATAAATTTGCCATCTTTATGAGGGACAGGCTGATGTCATGGTACCAAGGTCTTTTGCATAGCAGGGAGTTCAGTGCATTTCTGCCATCCTCTAGCTCTTCAGGAGGGGGGCAGTGCTGCATGATGAGAGATGTATGAGAACACACACTCATTCACTCAATGAGCCCTGATTGACAACCTGCTGCACACTAGGCTATGCCAGGCTCCACAGTGAGCATGCTGGGAGTGAGTGAATGCAGGAATGCATGCACTTGCATATGTACATTCACTCCACAAACATTTACTTTTATCTCTATCGTATGCAAAATAGTGTGTTTGGTGGTAAATATAACAGAAACAGAAAAAGAAAACTTGGGTCTGGTTCAGACACTGGAATCACATAAGCTTCCCCACTGGAAAGCAATGACAGCAGTTGGAACCCCATGCCAACCTAAGTACAAGTTGACCACTCTTGCTCATATGGAGACTGCTCATCTCCTTGGCTTTCATCTGCTGGTTCCTCACTTCCACATTTAATCTCTTAGCAAGTCCTGGTGGACTTGCCTCTAAAATACACCCTGAATCCATCCACTAGTCTCGTCTCTACCTCCCCTGCCATCATCTCTCATCTAAATATCTGCAACTGTCTCATAATGGTCATCTTGGTTTCTACTTTTATCCACCACCAAATAATGTTTAAAATGGTAAATTAGACCCTGTCACTCCCTTCATTAAGCTCTCCAGAAATTTCTTGCTGCTCTCAGAAAAGAATACACTTTCTTTCCACAACCCACAGACTCTTGCCAAGCTCACCAACTTCGTCCGCCTCTCTCTGCAGTCCTGGGTTAGGTAACCTCTTCCTCCCCACTAGAAAGCCTGCTTTTGTTTTACTCATTAAGAGGTGCACCAGTGAGAATATTTTAAGCTGCAAATAGCAGAAAATATCCTCAAAGAAAGTTGGCTATCTCACATAAAGTTCAGTCTGGTCATAAGGTCATTCTAGAAGCAACAAGAATCCAAGTTTTTCTGCATATATAGTTTTCCAGTCTCAAATATTGCTTTCTTCAGGCTGGCTACCTCAGAGCATAAGATAGCTGCCCTGGTTCCAGGCATCACACTTTTCTCCATGTATCTCCATCTAGACATATCCGAGACTGGATAATTTATTTAAAAAAAGAAGTTTAATGATCTCACAGTTCCACGTGTGGCTGGGGGAGCCTCACAATCATGGCGGAAGGTGAAAGGCACATCTTGTGTGGTGGCAGGCAAAGAGAGAATGAGAATCAAGTGAAAAGGGGAAACTCCTGATAAAACCAGCAGATCTTGTGAGACTTATTCACTACCATGAGAATAGAAAGGTGGAAACTGCCCCCATGATTCAATTATCTCCCACTGGATCCCTCCACAGCACGTGGGAATTATGGAAGCCACAATTAAAGATGAGATTTGAGTGGGGACAGAGCCAAACCATATTATTTTGCCCACAGCCCCTCCAAAATCTCATGTCCTCACATTTCAAAACCAGTCATGCCTTCCCAACAGTCCCCCAAAGTCTTAACTCATTTCAGCATTAACTCAAAAGTCCATAATCCAAAGGTCTCACCTGAGACAAGGCAAGTCCCTTCTGCCTATGAGCCTGTAAAATCAAAAGCAAGTTAGTTACTTCCTAGATACAACTGGGGAATCTTCCTAGATAAAATTGGCATTGGATAAATAACCTCATTCCAAATTACAGAAATTGGTCAAAACGAAGGGGCTAAAGGCCCCATGCAATTCCAAACTCCAGCGAGGCAGTCAAATCTTAAAGCTCCAAAATAATCTCCTTTGACTCCATGTCTCACATCCAGGTCATGCTGATGCAAGAGGTGGATTCCCATGGTCATTAGGCAGCTCAGCCCCTGTGGCTTTGCAAGGTACAGCCTCCCTCCTGGCTGCTTTCATGGGCTGGCATTGAGTGTCTGTGGCTTTTCCAAGCACACAGTGCAAAGTGTTGGTGGATCTACAATTCTGGAGTCTGGAGGATGGTGACCCTCTTATCACACCTCCACTGGGCAGTGCCCCAGTGGGGACTCTGTGTAGGGGCTTCATCCCCACAGTTCCCTTCTGGACTGCCCTAGCAGAGGTTCTCCATGAGGGCCCTGACCCTACAGCAAACTTTGCCTGAACATCCAGGCATATGTCTTCTGAAATCTAGGCGGAGCTTCCCAAATCTCAATTCTTGACTTTTGTGCACGTGCTGGCTAGACACCACATGGAAGCTGCCAAGGCTAGGAGCTTGCACCCTCTGAAGCCATGGTCTGAGCTGCACCTTGGCCCCTTTCAGCCATGGCCAGATCAGCTGGGATGCAATGGGCACTGAGTCCCTAGGCTGCACAGAGCAGGGAGACCCTGGGCCCAGCCCGTGAAACCATCTTTTCCTCCTATGACTCCTGGCCTGTGATGGGAAGGGCTACCGCAAAGGTCTCTGACATGCCCTGGAGACTTTTTCCCCATTGTCTTGAAGATTATAATTTGGCTCCTTATTACTTATGCAAATTTCTGCTTCCAGCTTGAATTTCTCCTCAGAAAATGGGTTTTTCTTTTCTATTGCATTGTCAGTCTGCAAATTTTCCAAACTTTTATGCTCTGTTTCTCTTTTACAACTGAATGCTTTTAACACATCGAAGTCACCTCTTAAATGCTTTGCTGTTTAGAAATTTCTTTTACCAAATACCCTACCTAAGTCATCTCCCTCAAGTTCGAAGTTGCACAAATCTCTAGGGCAGGGGCAAAATGCCACCAGTCTCTTTGCTAAAATATAGCAAGAGTCACCTTTACTCCAGTTCCCAATAAGTTCCTCATTTCCATCTGAGACCACCTCAACCTAGGCTTTATTGACCATATTACTATCAGCATTTTTGGCAAAGCCATTCAGAAACTCTCTAGGAAGTTCCAAACTTTCCCACATTTTCCTGTCTTCTTCTCAGCCCTCCAAACTATTCCAACCCCTGCCTGTTACCCAGTTCTAAGGTCATTTCCACATTTTCGGGTATCTTTACAGCAGCACCCCACTCTACTGGTACCAATTTACTGTATTAGTCTGTCCTCATGCTGCTAATAAAGACATACCTGAGACTGGGTAATTTATAAAGAAAAAGAGGTTTAATGGACTCACAGTTCCACCTGGCTGGGGAAGCCTCACAGTCATGGCGGAAGGTAAAAGGTACATCTTATATGGTGGCAGACAAGAAAAGAATGAGAATCAAGAGAAAAGGGGAACCCCTTATTAAACCATCAGATCTCATGTGACGTATTCACTACCATGAGAACAGTAAGGAGGAAACCCATGATTCAATTATCTCTCACCATTTCCCTCCCACAACACATGGGAATTATAGGGGCTACAATTCAAGATAAGATTTGAGTGGGGACACAGCCAAACCACATCAATCTTGATTACCTTAGACACTAAAATTTAACATTAAGTCATGGTGAGAAGGGATTGATACTTAAACAAAACCAGGTTTCTGCCGAAATAGAAGATGAGGGGATGGCTGTTTTGGGAGGCAACCAACCCACCTACCCCAACCAAGCAGCTGGGCTGTAGAGAATGATGGGTGTCAGACCCAGCTCTGCCACTTACAAGCCTTGCAATATTTGATAGGTCACTTTGCCTCCCTATGTCTGTTTTCTTATAGTGAAAGGAGGTTCACTATAGCACCTACTTTCGGGGTTGCTGTTAAGATTAATTAAAAAAGGCCAGGCGCAGTGGCTCAGACCTGTAATCCCAGCATTTTGGGAGGCCGAGGTGGGTGGATCACAAGGTCAGGAGATCGAGACCATCCTGGCTAACACGGTGAAACCCCATCTCTACTAAAAATACAAAAAATTAGCCGGGGGTGTTGGCAGACGCCTGTAGTCCCAGCTACTCAGGAGGCTGAGGCAGGAGAATGGCGGGAACCCGGGAGGCGGAGCTTGCAGTGAGCAGAGATTGCACCACTGCACTCCAGCCTGGGAGACAGAGCGAGACTCCGTCTTAAAAAAAAAAAGATTAATTAAAAATTAATTAATGTAAATTTGAATTGTGTCTGGCATATGGTAAATGTCAGTCGCTATTCTGTATGGGTGCCCATTCTGCTAAAAGGAAAATACCTCACCAGGCATGGTGGCTCACACCTGTAATCCCAGCACTATAGGAAGCCAAGGTGGGAGGATCACTTGAGGCCAGGAGTTCAAGACCAGCCTGGGCAACATAGCAAGAACCCCATCTCAACAACAAGTAAAAACATTAGCTGAGTGTGGTGGTGTGCGCCTGTAGACACAGCTACTCAAGAGGCTGAGGCAGGAGTGGGAGGATCACTGGAGCCCAGAAATTCAAGACTGCAGTGAGCTATGATCCCACCACTGCACTCTAGCCTACATGAAAGAGCAAGACCTTGGCAAAAAAAAAAAAAAAAAAAAAAAAAGCCTGGTCTTAGTTTCATCATTGGAAATAAGAAATTTGTTTTAAACTAGTTTTAGGGAAGTATACCGTCATAACAGTTCTATGAATTAGGGAAAGGTAACTGCTGTTAAAAATGGAAAAACAGAAGCCCGGAGAGTTATAAAAGTAGAAATGCTGACCTCTAGCCTTTTTCTTAATTTTTCAGACAGGGTCTTGCTCTGTTGCCCAAGCTGGAGTGCAGTGGTATGATTATGGCTCACTGCAGCCTCAACCTCGCAGGAAGTGAGCCTTCCATCTCAGCCTCTTAAGTAACAGGGACTAAAGGCATGCACCACCACACCCAGCTAATTTTGTTTATTTTTTGTAGAGATGGGGTTTCACTATGTTGCCCAGGCTGGTCTTGAACTCCTGGGCTCAAGTGATCCTCCCACCTCAGCCTCCCAGAGTGCTAGGATTACAAGTGTGAGGCATCGTGCCTGGCCTGACCTCTAGTCTTGTGCTTGCTCTGAATGATGCTTCTAACTCAAGAGAAGTGAGATGTGCATCCTAGGAGGGCTGAGAAGGAGGAGACATCCCTGACCAGATCTGGCCAGGCGATGGGAGCCAGAAACTATCCATTAGAGCTGGAACCTCCAAAGCCAGAGAAGTGAAGAAACTCTCCCAGTGGGGCAAAGAGTTGAAGAAGCAGGAAGCCATGGGCAGGCTAAGGGTGCATGAAGGACAGGCAGGCTGGAGAAGAAAATTCTCTTTGCAGACTAGAAGGAGATAAGGCTGGACAGGCCTGTTGAGGGTTTAATGCTGGGCAGAGGGGTATAGATAGGAAAAGCAACCATCACCTACTGAGAGAGCCTCTCACTGCCAGGCACCCAGCCAAGTGTCTCCCCTGTATTATTTGATCCTATTCTCCTAATGGCTCTGGCCACCAGGAATTGTCATTCCAATCACACAGAGGACATGGCTGAGTGACATCACCAAGGCACCCAGCTCAAATTCCAACTCAGAGCCACCTGATTCCATGCCTGCTTTCAAAGTAATCAGGAAGCCTGGAGAGCCTCCAGCCCTCCACAATCTGCAGCAACAGCATGAAATTCCCGGCTGACCTGTAGACACATCAGTCATCTCCCTGAGTCATTTTAGGGGCTCTCAAATTAACTTTCGGTCAGAAGCACACAGTGGGACTCCTTGAATGATGGCATAAAATGATCAGCAGTTGCCCTTCCTAGTAAAATGGGTGGAAATGATGTTTCAGCGTATCATTCAAAGTCTCTAGAAACTATCCCAAGGATATTTGGCAAATGGAGAAACGGGTTCACTCAAGAGAATCCACTAAATCTCCCTAAGAACAGTGAGAGTCGGTGGCATTTAAGGCATGGCCTACTCCACTACTCCCTCATCCCCAGCTCTGCATTACTCCACCTCTGGGGTGTACAACCAAGAAGACGAAAAGTGCCACTCCTCCAAACCCCCAGTTTAGGCTGTGGCTCCACACCAGGAGGAGAAGTTTGCTGGCATTTATCATCTTCCCCAGCCCCATGCTGAAGAAGCTCCAGGCATAGTAGTAGTTCCAGAATACTAGGGCCCCAATGCCCCCTGCCTCAGCTAGCTCATAAGGCAGAGGTTCACCCTAGAAGGGACGAGCCACAAAGGCCAGGCACTGCCATGTCTCCCTAGTTTCCACTCATAACATAAGGATGTCACTCTGGAAAAGCAGGAAAAACAGGTCTCCACCTCCAGCTTCAGTGCACTGGTACATGGGTTAGGCCTGGGAGAAATTCAGGCCATAAGAAAAAAGGGCTGCATAGCTCTGTCTGACTGAATTGACTTTATTTGAAATAGTGAATGGAGAATGCCATGCTTAAGGGCATTGCCAAAAACAATGGAGATTTTGGTGGAGAGCAACTAGGAGGAAGCTGGTAGATCTGATACAAGAAAAATGGCATTGCAGCCAGAAGCTTAATACAGGGAAGCAGGAAAGAGACAGACAACAACAGCCATCTGAGGTCACACACAACTCTGGGGGTAAAGAATGCTGTGTGCATGCACCAGGCTGTCCCTGTTCAAGAGCAAGCAGAGTAGATGCGGCCAGACCTGGAAGCATTCTCCAAGCTGCACAGAGACCATCAACACAGAGCAGAAGTCTTACTTAAGAAAGAAATTTAAGCACAACCTCTGACTGAACACAGAGTGAACAATAAGCTACTCTGATCCAGGAGTCACTCCTAGGAAGCCAGACTTTATGAAAGTTAGTTACCACTGGCAGTCAGGAAGCCTGAGTGCATGCCCAAGGCTGTATCCTCTCAAGAGTAACCAGAGAGGGAACCTCTAAGCTACCAGACTCTGGCTAAATGTAGGGCAAAAACAGTAAAGTCCTTGAATTGTGATGGAAGCTCCAAGTCACACACATATACGTTGGTAAAGGTAAAAATTTAGCTGGCTGAGGGGATGGTACCAGAACCACTGACTAATTAGTGTCTATGCCAACCCAGAGGCAAGCCCTAGGTAGCCAGGCTAAAACAAGAATAAGGAAGATCTGAGCAGGGACATCAAAGCTACACATTGTGAGGAAAATAGACTTTGCACAATCAGTTCAACCGAGCCACTATACAAATATGCAAATGGCCAAGCAAGGAACATCAGTATCCAAGGCTGCTACAATACATTAATTAAGACCCCCAGTTTTAAACAAAAAGTATGAAGCATGCAAAGAAAGAAGGAAGTGTGCTCTACACATGGGTATAGAAGTAGGCAATAGAAAATGCCTTTGAAGTGTCACAGATGGTGGAATTAGTAGATACCAAAGTAGCTGTTAGGAATATGCTCAAAGAATTAAAGGAAACTATAACTAAAGAATTAAAAATATGATAAAAATGTCTCACCCAGCAGAAATAAAAATATTTAAAGGAACCAAATAGAAATTCTAGAGTTAAAAAAATACAGTAAGTGAAATTTTAAAAAATTCACTAGAGGGCTAAACAACAGATTTGAGCAGGTCTAGAGTCAGTAAACTTGAAGATAGATCAATGGAGATTGTGCATACTGTAGGACCGAGGAAAAAAGAATGAAGAAAAAAATGAATAAAGCTTCAAAGTAGTGTAGTATATCATAAGTACACCAACATATGCAAGATAAGTGTAGACGAAGGAGAGGACAGAGAATAAGGGAAAGAAATATTTGAAAAACAATGTCAAATAATTTTCCAATTTTGATTTAAAAAAATTAATCTGCACTGGCAAGAAGCTTAATGAACTCTAAATAGAATAAATGCAAAGAAATCTACAACCATATACATCATAGTTAAAATATTGAGACACATCCTGAAAAAAGAAATGCAAAGAAAATTGTGAAAGCAACAAGAGAAAAATAAACATGTACAAAGAAACCACAATAAGACTGGCAGCTGACTTCTTATCTGAACACTAAAGACAAGAAAGCAGTGGGACAACATATTCGAAGTGCTGAAAATTATACACACACACACACACACACACACACACACACTAACCAAGATTCCTATATCCAGCAAAACAGTCTTTCAAAAATGAAGGTGAAATAACAATATTCTTGGATAAACAAAAACTGAGAGAATTTGTTGTTAGCAGATTTGCCTTACAAGAAATACTAAAGTCCTTCAGACTGAGAGCAAGTTACATCAGAGAGTAACTTAAATCCACATAATAAGAAAAAGAATGCACATAAAGGTAATTATGTAGATAATCACAAAAAACATATACTTGCATTTTTATTCTTCTTCACTGATTTAAATAGCAATTATGTAAGATTATACATATTATATAGATAGATTATACACAGATTTTATATAGATCTATATATAGATTATATGCATTTTTGTGTGTGTGTGTGCATGTGTGTATACATACATACAGTATACATATGTATGTGTGTATACATACATACAGTCATTCCTTATTTTCCATGGAAGATTTGTTCCAGGACTTCTCAGGGATGCAAAAATTCACAGATGCTCAAGTTACTGATATAAAATGGTATAGTATTTGCAGATAACCTGTGCACATCATCCTGTATACTTTAAATCATCTATAAATTACTTGCAATACCTAATACAATGTAAATGCTGTGTAAATAGTTGTCATATTATACTATATAGGAAATAATAACCAAAAAGTCTGTACATCTTCAGTACAGATGCAATTTTTTTTCAAATATTTTTAATCCACAGTTGGTTGAATTCACAGATACAAAGTCCACACAATATAGAGAGGGTTAACTGTGTGTGTGTGTGTGTGTGTGTGTGTGTGTGTAGAAATGCATTATATATATGTATTTTATGTAGATATACTTAATGTATAGCTATGCTGAAACATACAGAAAGGAATATATTTCACAATAACAGCACAAAGGAGGCAGGTAGAAATAAGATGTGTCAGGATAAGGAAGTGATACCAGATGGTACCACAAAACCGCAAGAGAAATGAAGAGAACCAGAAATTGCAAATAAAAAGGCTAATATAACAATCTCTATAAATATATGATTGCTCTCTTTTCTTCTCTCAGTTCCTTTAAAAGGCAGATGATATAAAATAATCATAATTACATGTTATTGGGTTTGTAACACACAGAGGTATAAAATGTGTAATAAGGATAGCAGCAGGAGGCAGCCAAATGCCTTGACAGATGGGGCGGATCCCCAGTGAAACCCCACCTCCAAGCAGAAGACAGTTTAAAACCTGAAAGCCCAACTGCAAGTTAAATCCTTGGACTGGATTGAGAGCTTGTCCTCCTGTTTGGTGTGCTTTCCTCTGATTGATCCCCAACCTTCACCTATTTTACATATACCTACTCTTTCCTAATTGGTTTTCTACACCGTCACGCCCACCTTTGAGGGGTGCTTTGCTTTAACCTTTTGCATACTCACGAACCAATCAGCATGCACTCCCCATCCAGTGCCTATAAAGACCCCAGAGTCAGTGAGTGGAGGGAGAGATGGCCTGATTTCACGAAGAGACAACCTGACTTCAGGGAAGACAACCTGCCCATCCCATCCCCTCTCCAATTCCCCTCTCCAGCTCCCCTCTCTGCTGAGAGCTGTTGTCATGGCTCAGTGAAATTATCTGCCTTCACCATCCTTCAATCGTCGCATGACCTCATTCTTCCTGGATGCTGGACAAGAGCTCAGGACCTATGGAGTGTGGGTACCCAGAAAAGGTTGTCACACTGGCCCTTGGCCCTTGCTGGCAGAGGATAGCTGCCCCATGTGATGAGGCAAAAGGCCACCTGAGGTGCTAACACACCACCATCCATTGGACTGTGGATGGCGGAACTAAAAGAACACTGTAACTCCCCTTCTGGGGCTTTGGGGTTACAGGCACCCTCACCTGGGTGCTGCCATGTTCCCCTCAAGGTGACACACATGGTCTGGACATGGGTTCTGCACTCTCTCACTCACATGCTCCATCCTGCAAAGGGGTGAGTGTGGTGGGCCGAGTAGATGGGGCAATGAAGAAGAAATAGGGAAACAAGCAAGCAAACAAGCAAAAAAAGAAACAAAATAAAAAACAAAATGACAGATATAAATCCAACCATATCAATAAAAACATTATGTAAATATATTACACAATATAATCAAAAGCCAAAGAATGTCATCCCAGATCAGTGGTATGTGGCCTACTGGAGACTCATCTTAGATTCAAAAACACAAATAGATTAAAGGTAAAATAGGCCAGGCGCAGTGGCTCACGCCTGTAATCCCAGCACTTTGTCAGGCCGAAGCAGGCAGATCACAAGGTCAGGAGATCGAGACCATCCTGGCTAAACGGTGAAACCCCATCTCTACTAAAACTACAAAAACTTAGCTGGGTGTGGTGGCACGTGCCTGTGGTACCAGCTACTTGGGAGGCTGAGGCAGGAGAATCGCTTGAACCTGTAAGGCGGAGGTTGCAGTGAGCTGAGATTGCACCACTGCACTTCAGCGTTGGCAACAGAGCGAGACTCTGTCTCAAAAAAAAAAAAAAAAAAAAAAAAGAAAGGTAAAATAATGGAAAAGATACACCATGCAAGCAGTAACCACCAAAGAGCTGGAGTGGCTAGACCAGTGCTGCACAAAAAAGACTTCAAGACAAGAATTGTTACTAGAGACAGAGGGATTACTTAATAATACTAAAAAAAAATCAACCTACCAAGAAGATAGCACATTTACAAACATATATACATCTTAATGAAAGCCCCAAAATACATGAAGCAAAAACTGACAGAATCAGAGGAAGAAACAGACAATTCAAAAATAAAAGTTGAAGGCTTCAATAGCTCACTTGCCTTAATGGATAATTCAAATACCTGTAGCATGAAAAAATATTTAAAAAGAGATGGATATCCCAGTTACCCTGATTTGATTATATGAATGTAGCAAATCACCACATGTACTCTGAAAAGATACACATTGAATATCCATTAATTTTAAACATTGAAAGTGATGAATTTTAAAAAATAAATATATATGTTTTAAAAGAACAGCTAAGCAAAAGATCAACCAGGACATATACAATCTGAATGAAGCTGTAAGCCCACTAAACCTAACAAACGTAATTAGACTTAACAGACCTGCATCTAAATAGAACATTCCCAACCACCAACAGCAACAACACATTCTTCTCAAAATCACAGAAAATATTCTCTAAGAGAGACAATATTCAAGGTCATAAAAAGAAAGCCTCAATAAATCTAAAAGGGTTGAAGTCATACAAAGTATTTTTCTCAAACACAATGAATGAAATTAGAAATCAGTAACAAGGAAATTTTGAAAAATCATAAACGTGGAAATGTAATAACATACTCCTAAACAATAAATGGATCAAATAAGAAACCACAGGGGCATTAGAACATACTTTGAGATAAATGAAATCAAAGGTACAGCATCCTAAAGTTCATGGGATACAGCTAACACAGTGCTCAGAGGAAATTTATAATTGTAAACACCTGTATTGAAAATGACGTAAACGCTAAAATCTAACCTGACCTCTTACCTTAAGAAGCTGGAAGGCCGGACGCAGTGGCTCACGCCTGTAATCCCAGCACTTTGGGAGGCCGAAGCGGGTGGATCACAAGGTCGGGAGATCGAGACCATCCTAGCTAACATGGTGAAACCCCGCCTCTACTAAAAATACAAAAAATTAGCCGGGCGTGGTGGCGGGCACCTGTAGTCCCAGCTACTAGGGAGGCTGAGGCAGGAGAATGGCGTGAACCCGGGAGGCAGAGCTTGCAGTGAGCCGAGATTGCGCCATTGCACTCCAGCCTGGGTGACAGAGCGAGACTCCGTCTCAAAAAAAAAAAAAAAAAAAAAAAGAAGCTGGAAAAAAAAAAAACTAAAAAGTAAGCAGAAAAAAGAAAATAATAAAGATTGGACTGTGTGTAAAGTAGAGAGTAGAAAAACAATAGAGGATATCAATATAAAAAAGTTTGTTCTCTGAAAAGATTAACAGATTTATAAAAGTTGGATTTTTTATTGGGACACAATACTTGTATACTTTTTTATGGGGCACATGTGACATTTTGTTGTATGCATAGGATATTTAATGATCATGGTATTTGTGTTATTCTAAAACATTTTTAGATAGACTAACCTAGAAAAAAGTGAAGACTCAAATAACTAACGTCAGAAATAAAAGAGGATCTATCACTACTCAGCTTACAGAAACACAAAAGATCATAAGAAAATACTACAAACACATACTATATCAAAAAATAGATTTCTTAGGTGAAATGGACAAGTTCTTAGAAAGACACAAATTATTCATAATAGCCAAAAGATGGAGACAACCAAAATGTCCATTAACTGATGAATGGATAAATAAAAAGAGAGGTTAATGCATGCTACAACATTGATGACCCTTGAAAATGTTATGCTAAGTGAAGGAAGCCATTCATAAAAGACCAACACAGTGTATGATTCCATTTACATGAATGTGCAGAAGAGGCAAATTTAGAGACACAGAAACCAGATTAATGGTTGCTTAGGGCCAGAGGAAAGGTGGGGTAGGAGTGGCATGGGGATTGACTGCTAATGGGCATGGGGTATCATTTAGGGGAGATGAAAACCTTCTAAACTGAGATTATCATGATGATTACACAAACCTGTGAATATGCTAATAAACATTGAATCATTCACTTAGGTAGGTGAATTAGATATGAATCATATCTTAATAAATGTTTTTTTAATTAAAAAATATATCAGAAGGCTTAATTGTTACCAAAACACCAGGGGTTTGGTCTAGGTCCTGCTGCTCACTGCACAGAAAGCCAGTCACTGAAACAACGAATATTGTCCCAGAGGAAGGTACTGCAGCCAAGGAGATGGGAGATCAGTGTCAAACCCATCTCCCTGACCCACTAAAACTAGGCATTCATATAGCAGGGAAGAAATGCAACTGTGTGTGGGAAAACAGGAATTAGGGAGGGTTAAGGAAGACAAACTGGTCAACAGGAAGCAGGTGGTCACTTAGACAATCATGATGGGTGAGGGGTCTGACATCTCATTGTGAGATGCAGTGGTCTCATGAGTTTCAGTTCCTCTATTCCAACTGGGAGGCCTGATAGTTTCCTGAGAAAGGAACTCAGACAAGACAAATGCAACTTTCTAAAATTCCAAGACTGGGAGGATCACTTACTATGTTCATTCATCAGAAACCATGAGCCTGGGCATGGTGGCTCGTGCCTGTAATCCCAGCACTTTGGGAGGCTGAGGCCGGTGGATCACCTGAGGTCAGGAGTTCGAGACCAGCCAGGTCAACGTGGTGAAACCCCATTTCTACTAAACACGCAAAAATTAGCCAGCATGGTGCCGGGCGCCTGTAATCCCAGCTACTCGGGAGGCTGAGATGGGAGAATTGCTTGAACCTGGGAGGTGGAGGCTGCAGTGAGCCAAGATTGTGTCACTGCACTCCAGCCTTGGCAACAGAGTGAGACCTCGTCTCAAAAAAAAAAAAAAAAAAAAAGAAAGAAAAAGAAAAAAAGAAACCATGAATAACAGTTCTATGGAACAATCGGGTAGGTTTCATAATCCCAGGCCCAATAAAGTCCCTGGTGGCTTGAAGGTAGGAATCTTGGTCCTCTGTCCTCTGTAACAAAGTCCTTCCTGATCAAAATAAAAAGATGAAGTGGAAAGAGCAAGAATCTTGTATTTAGACTACAGAAACATGAGTCCTCCTTTCCTGATTGAGCAATCTCACACTAGCCTCAGTTTCCTCACCTGTAAAAGGGAATGATGGCATCTACATTGCTAGATTGTTGGAACAATTCCTGGCTGCATATAAAATGCTTTCTGCCTTGTATAGCACAGAGCACACCCTTAATAGATAATCAGTGTTGTAATGACCAATGCAGTCAAAGTATTGTGAAGATTAAAGGAAGGTGCTAAGGATTTGTTTTCAGCTCCTGAAAACCAATACAGTGCTTAAGATACGTTTTCTAAATGAATGAACAAATGACTACCATACCATTCTGTGTGGCATGATTGCTCCTGAAAACAGATCTGATGTGTCGAAATGTTGAACAGCATGACGAATAACTCCTGAAATAGAAAACCTAGAGAAATGGACATTTTAAGTTTTTTTCTTACAAAAATGAACTATGAAGAAGACAGATGGGAAAAAAAAATGTCCAGCCTCAACTTCAAACATAAATTAGGTGTGACAATAAAGGCAATGTGCAGCCATGAATATTTAGGGGAATAATGCCAGAGGAACAGATAGACATAAGCTGATAAGCCCTGCCCTGGGGCCTTGGCACTGGGAGAGTGGGATGGTGGGAAGGTAATCTTGGGGCTGTCATGCCCCAAGGCAAACTGATGCCTAAATTTCTGTTTTGTAAATGTGAAACACCAAAGCCAAATGGGATCAACGGTACTGTTTTGGAGGAAGAAGTTATATTTAATTGGCATCTACCCTGTGAAGCCCTGGAAATAGGTTATCTTATTTAATTCACACAACAAGCCTGAGAAACTGATATTATTACTCCCATTTTCCAGATGAGATAACTGTGTTTACAAGGGGAATGTGCCATACCTTAGAATATGTATCCAGTTGTGCCAGGATTAACTCTTGTACTGCTTTACAACTCATTTGTTCCTCACAATGACACTGTGAAGTGGGGATCACTATTTTGTTCCGCGAACAGATGAAGAAACACAGGGAGGTGACGTTATTTGCCCAAGGTCACTCTGATACTCACCTGAACCCAGATGTCTGGCTCTATAGTCCCTATTCTTAAGCACAATACTATGTAGACTCTAGTTAGCAGCAAATCAGGATTCCAACTCGTGTCTATTTCCTTTGCTCTGCTCCACCACGCTTCCTTCCCATAGGAAACAATGTAGCTATTAGAAGTGTTGGGTGGTGGCTCATGCCTGCAATCTCAGCACTTTGGGAGGCAGAGGCAGGAGAATCGCTTGAGCTCAGGAGTTCAAGACCAGCCTGGGAAATATAGTGATATATCATCTCTAATAAAGAAAAAGAAGTAGAAGAAATGTCACCTCTGGGGAAAAAAAAATTGACCAGAATTGGAAAATCTTAAATTCCTACAGGGGTGGATCTAAGGGAAGCCAGTCAGGTGAGCCAGAGAAGTCAGAAATTCGGGCCAGCTGGACCAGTTGTGCCCCATGCAAAGGGGGAAGCCATCATAAGCTGTCATAAACTACTTGTTGTCATAAGAAACTGAGGACCCAATATTGCTAGATTTTAATGTGGATTCTTCCACACTGTAAAATATTGAATCATCAATAGAGTGCATCTACACAAAATTTAGAAAGATGGGAAATGACTGTGTGCCATCAAGTCAAGAGAGTGGTCCCTGGGTGAGGATGGAGACAGAAGGGAGCAGGAAGTGCTGGTCCTGCCCTGTTCCGTGATCTGTGCTAGCTACACCGTTGTGCTCACACTGTGCTAATTTATCAAGCTGTGTGCTTGGAATATGGCACTTTTCTGTAGGTATATTACACTTAAAGTTTTTTGGTTGGGTGTGGTGGCTCATGCCTGTAATCCTAACTCTTTGGGAGGCCAAGGCAAGCAGATTGTTTGAGCCCAGGAGCTGGAGACCAGCCTGGGCAACAAGGTGAAACCCAGTCTCTACAAAACCGTAAAAAGTAGCCAGGCATGGTGGCACACGCCTGTGGTCCCTCAGGAGGCTGAGGTGGGAGGGTCATCTGAGCCAAGGGAGGTCAAGGCTGCAGTGAGCTGTGATCGCGCCCCTGCACTCCAGCCTGGGTGACAGAGCAAGATGTCTGTCTCAAAATAATCAAATAAATAAATACATACATACATGAGAAAAGAGAACCTTTTCTACCTCCCTCAAATCCCTGCCCTCTCCCACCCCATTGGGGAGGATGGAGGAGAAGGTTTGGGATTATATGCAAGACAGTCTCAGAAAAAAAATAATACATAAAAGTTGTGTTTTTTTTGTTGTTGTTGTTTTTATCTTGGAACTCAAAATAACACTCTAAGTCAAATACAGCTCAGGTCATGGATTTGCTAGTATAAGTCACCTCTTTTAAACCTTTTGGGAATCATTTTTCTGATTCAGCTTTTCTGTGCTGAATCATGTCATGAGTTACATTCAGGGGCGGAGATACAACATCACAGGACACACCCTGTGACTTGATGCTATTAGGAACCTTGCAACCCAGAGAGCTTCTTGACAATGCAAGGGAGAGTTGCTTCTGGCGATGGTGAGCTCCCCTTCCCTATGGAGCCTGACAACTCCAGAACTGGAAAATCTGGAGTTCCAAATTCTTTTCCAGAATTGGAAAATGCCAGACAACTCATTATCAGGCATTCTGCAGAGGGCTTGGGAAGAAGGAGCTGAACAAGATGACCATAAAGTTCTTTCTGGCCCTGAGAGCCGAAGAATCCAAGATCACCCATCTTTCCATTCATTCAACAAATACATACGTAGCACCTCCTTCATTTCAGATGTGTACCCAGCACTGGAAATTCAGCGAACAAATCCCACTGAGATCCCACTTAAAGACCCTGTAAACCATCAGGGAAGGAAGGCATTGAGCAAGTTGAGTGGAGAGGAGGAGAGGAGAATATCAAGAAAAGATGGAGACATTGAACAAAAGGGGCTTGCTGTCTGATGCACTAGAAACCAACACTTGCACTAGAAACCAACACTAAGACACCAGGTTTTGGAAAAAAAAAAAAAAAGCCTTTATATTGAAAGTCGACTCCCAAGCAGACAGGAATCAAGCTCAACTCTGTCTCCGCATGCTGGTTATAAGGTAGTATTTTTATCAGAGAAGGTTAAGGGGGTGGGTTCTGAGATCAGCAGGTGATTGGTGGAAGGAAAGGGGAGGTCTGGGAAGCACTCAGGCATGCGCAGTTATCTCTGCATGCTCTCTCATGGCTCACATATGCAAATTTGGGAGGAGTCAGTCTGAAAGGTGGTGGAAGTTCAGGCGGTGATGTTAGCAAGCCGGTACTGCAGACCCTAGTTGGTCGTTTTGGTTCTAATCAACTTTAGCTAGTTCTTTTATCTCATAAATGGAGGGAGTTTCTGTGTTTCAGCAAGTTGTTTTTTTTTTCTCATTTGCCATCCTGCAAATACAAGAATTTCTGTTCATCATTGGTTTCAACTCTTTGGGACACAGTTTCAAGCATGTGCCCAGCATTGGAGATTCCATGATGAGCAAAACCTTTAAGATCCCATTGAAAGGCCTTGTAACCCATCAGGGAAGGAAAGAGGGAAGGGAGGGAAGGAGGGAAGAAAGGAAAGAAGGAAGGAAGGAAAGAAGGAAGGAAGGGAGGGAGGGAGGGAGGGAGGGAGGGAGGGAGGGGGGAGGGAGGGAGGGGGAGGGGGGAGGGAGGGAGGGAGGGAAGGGAAGAAAGGAAGGAAGGGTGTTAAGAAGGAGTGAAGGAAGGAAGGAGGGAGGGACGGAAGGAGAGAAGGAGGGAAAGAAGGAAGAGAAGGAAGGATGGGTGTTCAGTGGAGAGGAAAATGATGAGGGCAGTCAGGGGGCTCTGCTTTCATCTCCTAGGGGCCTATTTTAGTCTAGGTGGAGTGAAAACAGTCCATGAGTGGGGATGTTTCAGCTGAGACAGGAATGAGGATATGAGTTAGCCAGACAATGGGAGTAGGGATTGTCCGAGGCGGGGAGGCAGAGGTAAATTGAGGAAAGGAGGAAAGTTCAAACAAGCTGAAATGCAGACAATGCAGAGGGCAGTTGTGGTCCTAGAATCTCATTACATCTTTATTTCCAGGATTCAAGGAATGGAAAATTCTATGATCCTATAATTTCGAGCATCTATGATTCAACAGCTCTCTATTATTAAGATTCTCTGAATTTAATTTTCCCAGAGTTGATGAATACATCTTTCTAAGTCCCTGGCTTTCAGGTGCAATGAATCTGCATCTGCCTTAGATGATTCCTTTGCTAGTGTAGACAGGGTTAAAGAGAAATATTTGCAAAAAAAAAAAAAAAAAAGCCCATACACATTTACTCTGCAATCTGCCTCCCAATTAGACTCTGTTCTTCTCTGCTCTGGGAAAAGAGACAAAAGAAAATACAGACAGGGGCCCTGCTTATACTAACGAGTGATCTCCATGGGCAGAGTTAATGCCAAGCCCCGTTCAGCCGCTAGGCCATCCCCAGTACAGGGTGAGCACACAGACTAATTTAGGTGGAATAAAAACACATTTTTACATGGTGCCCTGACACCAAGACAGGCATTTCCTCCCCACAAAACAAGCCCAATTATCATGGCACGCTCTGTGGCCTCTGCTGTTCTGTGAAAAGAGTTGCAAATTCTTTTAACCCTTTATAACACAGAGAACAGGAACAAAGGGGAGCAGGAAGTTGATTCTGGACACGTGCACCATGCAGCGTCACACTGAGAGCTCAAGTGTTTGACCCCAGGAAAGTACTCAGCCATTTGGTGCCTCAGTGTCTCCCCCGGATACAGGGCTGTTGTGCCAATTATATAAGTTAATGCAGGTGAAACTCTAAGAACAGTAGCTGACATATAGCATATGCTCAATAAAACTTACCTATTAGCTGTTTTTATTAAATAGAAGCCAGAAAATACCATGCAATATATGCCATATTAAGGGATGGGTTAAACCAAGATCTGGCTTGCTGATGTGTGGAGAATACACTGGGCAGGACAAGAAGTGTGAAAGGGCATGGGGTGCTGAGGAAATGGCAACTTGTTTACTACACAAGAACCTAAGGTCCCTGGTGCCTAGAGTAGAGCAAAGAACAGAAGGAGAGGAAAAATGGAAATGTGGGTTATGGATGCCTTGGTCAGTCCAGGCCGCTGTAACAGAGTACCATTGACTGGGTGGCTTATAAATAACAGAAATGTATTTCTCACATTTCTGGAGGCTGGAAGTCCCAGGTCAGATGCCGGCATGGTCAAGTTCTGGGGAGGACTCTCTCTGAGGTTGTAGACGGCAAACTTCTCACTGTGTCATCACATGGTAGAAAGAAGGTGAGAAGGCTCCCTATGGTCCCATTTTTTTGTTTGTTTGTTTGTTTGTTTGAGGCAGAGTCTCGCTCTGTTGCCAGGCTGGAGTGCAGTGGCACGATCTCAGCTCACTACAACCTCCGCCTCCTGGTTTCGAGAGATCCTCCTGACTCAGCCTCCCAAGTAGCTGGGACTACAGGCATGTACCACCACACCCAGCTAATTTTTGTATTTTTAGTAGAGACGGGTTTTACCATTTTGGCCAGGATGGTTTCTATCTCCTGACCTTGTGATCCACCCGCCTTGGCCTCCCAAAGTGCTGGGCTCACACCCGCCTGGCCCCTCTAGGGTCCCCTTTATAAAGACACTAATCTCATTCATGATGCTCCACCCTCATGACCTAACCACCTCCCAAAGGCCCCACCTCCCAATACCATCACCTTGGGGATAAGGATTTCAACATATGAATTCGGGGCTGGAGATACACAAACATTTCATCCATTGTACGGAAGATCACTAAACGTTTTGAGATCAAAATGATTCATTAATTATACTTTTCTCCCAAGTACCAGAAACACAACTCAAACTGGCTTAAGCAAAATAAATAGGCTCATGGAACTGGAACTTCCTGCAGTAAAGCTGGCTCTAGGCTAGATCAGACTAGATTAGCTCTAGGTTAGCTGAACTAGATTCAGATGCTTCCATGATTTCTTCAGGGCACCACTCCCTCCATCTCTGAACTCTGCGTTTCTCAGTGTTGGCTTCATTCAGCAGCAAGAGCTCCCCAACTGGTGACAGAGACAGCCATCAACAGCTCCAGGCTGACAAACTATCAGTGAAGCCACCCTAGGGGAAAGAATATTCCAGGCCTGAACTTCCTTGGTTTGGTTTAAATGTGTGTCTCTGAACCAATCAGTGCTCCAGAGAATGGATGATATGATCTCTGACTAGTAATACCTGGTCACGTGTTGTGTGCTTATTACTGGAGATGGGGGTGGCATCTTGGCTAGAGATCAAGAAAGAGATAATTTTCCACATACAAGGGATGTGTGTGTGTGTGTGTGCTCTGTCACCCAGGCTGGAGTGCAATGGCATGATCTCGGCTCACTGCAATCTCTGCCTCCTGGGTTCAAGCAATCCTCCTGCCTTAGCCTCCCGAGTAGCTGGGATTACAGGCATGCACCATCACGCCCAGCTAATTTTTTGTATTTTTAGTAGAGATGGGGTTTTGCCATGTTGGCCAGGCTGATCTTGAACTCCTGACATCAGGTGATCTGCCCGCCTCAGCCTCCCAAAGTGCTAGGATTATAGGCATGAGCCACTTCGCCCGGCCTGTGTGTGGTTTTATGTTGTTTTGTTGTGGTTGTGTTATTTTACCAGAAGAAGGAAGATGGATTCTAGGAGGCAAAAATATCATATGTTCACAGTATATCTGTGTAGGTTTTTATTTGTGCTTTTGAAAGTAATGTGGATTTGTATGAACAAAAACAAAAAAGACCACAGCAGGGGTGGCAAATGTGGAATTGTTGCTGGACCAAACTGAGGGTCGGGCTGCTCTTTCTTCCAGACCAATAATGAGATGCAGATGTACTGGGGAGGAAGAGAGTGTTTATTTCTGTAATTGGTTACAGGGAGAAGGCCTGGAAAATATTGCCAGACCAACGCAAAATTACAAAGTTTTACGGAACTTATACACCCTCTAAGCCGTATGCCTCCGTGTAAGCGTGCATTCATGTAAAGACATAGTGATTAACTTCTAATCCATAACTAAGGTCTGAGTCCTGAAGACCTGCCTTTGGAGCCTCAGTAAATTTACTTAATCCAAAGGGGTTCAGGTACTGGGGTGACTACCCTTATCTTGTCTCCTGCTAAATCATGAAGGAGTTTGGGGAGTTCCTTCAGATCCCCAATAAACTTGTTTGTGGAGGCCTGGGGAGTTTCTTCAGACCCCTAATAAAACTTGTTTAATCCTAAGTGGGTCCTGTTAAGAACTCCTTCATTATCTTGTCATGCTTTAAGGCCCAGGAAAGGCCTAGGCAAAACTCTTGGTGGGCTCTTGTTACGTTCCAGCCTTTGTATAAGGGTAATGGCTGTTTCAGCTTTTAACATTTAACTTAACCACTCAGTCAGTGCTGAAACAGTTGTTATGAGGACCTGCCTGTTCAGCCGTTAGGGAGACCTGGCCTGCCACAGTTTTATGTTGTTTGTTGTGGTTGTGTTATTTTACCAGAAGGAAGATGGATGCTAGCAGACAAAAATATCATATGTTCACAGTATATATATTGTAGGTTTTTATTTGTGCTTTTGAAAATAATGTGAATTTGTATACATATTTTAAAAAAGACTAGAGCAGGGATGGCAAATGTGTCATGACCTCGTCATCACTACACTTCTGATACTCACGGCAGGCCTGGCTCATTCATTGCTAATCCACCACAGTTTTCTCTATTGATTCAGCACCTTGCTATCGGTCAGTTTCAGTAGGAACTATTTGCCACCTCTGGACAGAGGAAAGGGGTCTAATTTATTTCCTCTTTCTTGGGTGCCATACCTCTGATATATTTCAACCAGAAGGTGATAGCTGAAGAGAAGATGGGACTGAACATCTTTCTCATCACTTTGGGAAAGAAAAGGGAAGGAATGTGTCCAATGTTACAAGAGCTGGAGTATCCCAAATGTAAGCCGAGAGCACCTTTTCCTAGCAGCAATAGCCCGGGAATCAGAGCGCTCAGTGTCCAAATCCTGTCTTTCCTGCAGACTAACTCTGTGGCCTTTGGTCAATTACTTCGCCTCTGTAGAAATGTTTCTTCATCCGTAAAATGGAAATAACAGCAAATCCCTTCAGGGTCATCGTGAAGACGGAAGAGATGATGCAGGCAAAGCTTTTGGCCAGACATATACTTAGTGCTTAAGAAGCAAAGGCTACCTTTGAAGCCATCAATAATATGCCTTCCTGCAGTTTTCCACCTTCCAGGCTCTTACTGGTTTTTGTTTGTTTGTTTGTTGTTTCTTTAAATTCAGTTGAGGAAGTGAGAAAATTAAGATAACCAAGTGGTTTCATGACAACATTATGTAAATCCATCTCCCCGTGGATCCTTCCAGCTAAATAGAGAACAGAATTTGAATTTCCAAAAGTAAGTCAGTAAACTCTCTTATCATTGGGGAATGTGGAGCCTGGTTAATCAAATACAGAGAAATCAGAGTTAATCAAATAAGGAATTACTGTGTTGCCCATGTTGGGATTCCCCTTACTAAAATAATTAGAATGCAGTAGAAACAGAACTAAACACAACTCAGGGGCTCCGCATTACCCAGAAGATCACACAGCTCAGAACATGGCCCCGGACTATAGTTGTGGTCCCACTGGGGGCCCACGCAGCCTCCTCTCACGACTACGTTCCTGGGCCCCAGGCACACACCGGGCATTTCTGTGGTTTTCCACGCATTGTGCCACTCTCCGTCTTAGAGGGCTTTCATCACATCACAGGGCCTTTCCACGCCACTCTCTCTTCATCTATAAACAGGCACAATGGTACTTCCTCACTGGCAGCTTGGGAGACTCATGAGGGGCCGTGTGTGTCCGTGTGCCTGGAGGAAGGCCTGCTGGGCTGTAGGTGCCAGAAAGCCTCAGCTAAGCCTGGATGTGAAGGTCTGAAAATCCCTGTTATCCAACAGCAATCCCAGAAGAGCGATGGCCTCAGGTTCAGGTAGGGCTTGGAGGGCCTTTGCAATCATAGAAGAAAACCACAGGAATTCTATTTCATTTAAGACCCTTCTCTGGACCTCCCTACTGACAATTCCAGGCTACTTAGGTTATAAAAGATAAACCCGGCCTGGAGCGATGGCTCACACCTGTAATCCCAGCACTTTGGGAGGCTAAGGCGGGTGGATCACAAGGTCAGGAGTTCGAGACCAGCCTGCCCAATACAGTGAAACCTCATCTCTACTAAAAATACAAAAATTAGCCAGACATGGTGGCGTGTACCTGTAGTCCCAGCTACTCAGGAGACTGAGGCAGGAGAATCACTTGAACCCTGGAGGCAGAGGTTGCGGTGAGCTGAGATTGCACCACTGCACTCTAGCCTGGGCAACAGAGCGAGACTCCATCTCAAAAGAAAAAAGAAAGAAAAAAGAGATAAATCCAGGACAGGTGCAGTGGCTTACTTCTGTAATCCTAGCACTTTGGGAGGCCAAGGCGGGTGGATCACTTGAAGTCACGAGTTCAAGACCAGCCTGGCCAACATAGTGAAACCCCGTCTCTACTAAAAATACAAAAATTAGCTGGGCGTGGTTGTGCACAACTGTAGTCCCAGCTATTTAGGAGGCTGTGGCAGGAGAATTGCTTGAAACCAGGAGGCATAGGTTGCAGTGAGTCGAGATGGCACCACTGCACTCCAGCCTGAGCGACAGAGCAAAACTCTATCTAAAGAAAAAAAAATCCTGGTCATTGTAACTTAGGAGACTTAATTATTCATAAGAAGTGAAGAAACTGATCTGTCTCAAGCATCTCATCAAGAAATACCTTTGAATGTTTGAATGCAGGACTTCATAAAAGCAGCAGCAAAGATCATAATGACATCCATTGAGAACTCCTCATGTATTAGGCACTGTTCTAAGTATCTTTCATGTATTCACTCATTTAATCCTCCTCCCCTATTTTATAGAGAAGGAAATGGAAGCACAGAGAGGTTAAGCAACTTTCCTAAGGTCACACAGCTAGTAAGTGGCAGAGCTTAGGAACCTAATCCCTCTGTAGCAGATGATAAAATCCACTCTCACTCACATTCTGCAGAAGTGAGACATTTTGATGCTCTTCTTTTCCCAGTCAATAATGTGTCTTAAGCCAAATCTCAAACCTTTTTGTTCATAGTTCGTAAAATGCTATCAAATGCTCTACAAATCAGCACCTTCCTTTATCATACGCAATGTGCTTTGATATTTTCCATAATATTCCATTTTATTTTGTATTATTTTAGAATGCTGGTTGCCATCTGCTAAATTGATTTTAAGGTGCACTAATCACTCATGCTGCACAGTTTGAAAAACATCATGCTAGAATCTAAGTTACTTAAAAAGGGTCAGACTCAGTCACCACTATAAGGCTAGTGCCCCGTGTGGTGCCTGGCTCATACAAGACCCTCTGGCCATGTTTATCCAATGGAATGTTTAAATATAAATGCCCAGAGCAGAGATCTCTGACTGATGGCCCAGAGTTGAAGTCTAACCCATAGAATTGTTTTATTTCATCTGCATAGAGCTTATATTTTTGTTGAAAGTTTGCTAACATTTCAAAAGCAGATTCAGGAGAATAAGTTCTGCTGATTTATTGTACAACAAGGTGACTATAGTTAATAATAATGTATTGTATATTTCAAAGGAGCTAAAAGAGAGGATCTTAAATATTCTTACCACAAAGAATTGGTAAGTTTTGGAGGTGATGGGCATGATAGACTGATTTGATCATTCCACAATGTATACGTGGCTCAAAACATCACATCATACCCCATAAATACATACAGTCATTATTTTTCAATAAAAGTAAAACAAAACTTTAAAAAAGAGACCAAAAATACAAAGTCAAATTAAAATTAGGAGATTTTAAAAAGTACCCAGATCTCCAGCTTCTGAAATAATCAGATTTGGCAAATCTGGGGGACTGCTGGGTGAAGAGGAGTTCTGGCTGTGTCTGTAAGCAGAGCTCCACACCCCCTTCCCCACTCTCTGTCCCCTCACTGGGCCTCTATTCCATCTGACTTTGGACTTCTACCCCACCTTATTTTACCCCAGCTAATGTTGTTCATTTGTCCCCTACCTGGGCCCTGTCAGCATCATGATTTGGGTCTGGCTGAGGACCTTAATATTAAAAATGAAATAGGAAAAATCTATAAGCAAACAATGACACTTAACCACTCTCCACCATCCTCCGTTCCCTGCTACGATTCCAACAGTGACCTTAAGGCATGATTGCTTGAATGCCTAGAGACGTTTAAATTTGGATTTCCTTTTGTTCCCTCTGCTCATCTCACCAGACAGTTGTTTTAAGACATCCCTGCCAATGCCCCATATCTGTCTTGCCTAGAGCCTTTCCAGGAACCCAAATTCCCTTCTGGGAATCTTTAGGAGTTGGGTACCCACCGATATCTGGAGATTCTGTGTGCTGTGACTTGCCACGAAGATGGTGGCTTTAGACAGGATGGGCTGTTTGGGAGCACCGGCTCCGAAGCCAGACTACCACTCGCTAGGTGTGGGACACTGGAGCAAGTCTTTTAGCTTCTGTGTGTCCCTGTGTCCTCACCAGATAATGGAAATAATAGGAGCATATATATCAATGCACGGTTTGGGAAAAATTAAATGCAATAATTCACGTAAACTGCTTTACCATGCTGCCCAATAAATATCAGTAGTTATGAGATGCCGCAAACACAGGGGTATTTTGTCAGCCTGGCTGTGCATGGAAATGGTGGTGTGGGGTTCCCTGGGCACAGGAAGGTCTGTCAGAAACTGTCACCAGCTCATGTTGAGGCTGAAGGGGAAGGGCCTGGTGGTGTTTCAAGCTCATCCTTTGTGTTCATCATTCCCCAGGGCCCTCTGGTGACCATGGCAACGCAGCTTACAGGTTGCCAAGTTCAAAACAATGTTTCTAAGCAAGAAGTTTTGCTGACATCACCCGTCTTGATGAGAAGGGAATGGAGACTCGTGGGTCCACACTGCTGTCAGGGCCAACCTGAAGAGAGGAGAGCCTCTGTTAGGCCTCTTTTTACCTGTCTACCTAAGTAATGATGTCAGGGCAAAAACAAAACAAAAACAAACAACAAACCCCAGGCCATTATTATGAAACAGCTGGCATGACCATCTTGGGCCCCACTTACACCACTGCTTACAGTGTAGTAAACTGAACCTAAGCTTTGGGGTCTGATGAACTAAGAGCCAATCTTTTTTTTTTTTTAAGACAGTCTCATTCTGTCGCCCAGGCTGGTGTGCAGTGGCGCTATCTCAGCTCTGTGCAACCTCTGCCTCCCGGGTCCAAATGATTCTCCTGCCTCAGCCTCCCAAGTAGCTGGGATTACAGGCAGGCACCACCACACCCAGATAACTTTTGTATTTTTAGTAGAGATGGAGTTTCACCATGTTGGCCAGGCTGGTCTCAGACTCCTGACCTTGTGATTCGCCCGCCTCAGCCTCCCAAAGTGCTGAGATTACAGGCATGAGCCACTGCACCCAACCCAACATTTCTTGAAGATGAAAGAATAATTATCACAGAGCTAGTTACTTGCTCCTCACTCACTCACTCACCCTGAGTAGCTTTCCTGTGTTTAGTTTGCTTATCTGTGTCTTCTATATCTTTTCACGACAAACTTGTATGCCTTGTCCAATAAAACACCTCAAAATACAATCTGAATGTTAACACTAACATAACATCAATATTAACACCCATTTACTAAGGCTCAGGTCAAATTCTACTTCCGTCACAGGCTTTCTTGGATATATCTGGCTCACACAGAATTTCCTTTTCCTTTTATTCTCTCTCCAGTGCCTGCATGGTCCTTTGTACATCACTGAAGACATTTACTGTGTCCTAATCTATGGGTCAGTTTGTACCTACTCCCTTGTTACGCAGACATCCCTAGGGGGTAAAGGCGACCTTGTTTAGTCTCTGGGGGCACCAGCAAATGAATGGGTGGGAGAATGAATGGACGGTTGATGATGAATGAATGATCGAATAATGAGTGAGTGAATAAAGGAATGAATGGGTGACTGAGTAAACGAATAAGTGGATAAATGAATGGATAAGTGGGGGAATAAATGAGGGAGTGAATGAATAGATGAATGAGTGAGTGACTGAATGGATGAATGAGTGAATGAATGATTGAGTGAATGAATGATGATTGAGTGAGTGAATGAGTGAGTGGTTGAATGAGTGAGTAAACGAATGGATGGATGACTGAGTGAATGAATGAATTCATTCTTCACTCTTCAAAATTCTGGTGTGGTGCCTTCATTGTTGGAGTGCTTTCTGGACTCCTTTCCCCTTCTCTCAACCCTTTCACGCACCCCCAGCTGATTCTCTCATGAATGCCCTCTGCCCTCCTGCTTCACTCTCCTGCTGTCTGAGACAGAAGTCAAGTACCCCAGCAGGAGCACAGTGCACACAGCCCTGGCTCCAAACGTGTAGGCAGGGAAACAACGAACAATCCTCAGGAAGCAGGAAAAGCCTTTCCAGGGTGGGAACACCATTGCCACTCTTTGGTATAACACTCAGTGTGAATCCTGGAGGCAGAACAGGGCAAAATAAGGTGATGTGGATGCAGAGATACGTCAGTCTCTCTATTCACATTCCCCAAAGGCTACATTTATGACAGTTTCTTTAAATGCAATCTCATGATAGTATGTTGTTGTTAAAAACTCCCATCATCTTTGCAGCGGTATTCACAATACCCAAGTTAATGGAATCAACCTAAGTGTCCACCAGTGGATGAACAGATAAACAAAATGTGGTATATATACACAATGGAATACTATTCAGCCTTGGAAAAGGAAGAAATTCCGTCATCTGCAACAACATGGATGGAATTGGAGAATATTATGCTAAGTGAAATAAGCCAAACATAGAAATACCAATACTACATGTCCTTACTTATATGTGGAATCTAAACTAATTGAGCTCATAGAAGCAGAGAGTAGAAGGTTGGCTACCAGAGGCTGGGGTTGGGGATACTGGAGAAATGATAGCCAAAGGGTACAAAGACTCAGTTCAATAGGAAGAATAAGTTTGGCTTTTTAGATCAATAGCACACTGTGCTAAATATGGCTAATAACTGAGTCCTGTACATTTCAATATCACTAAGAAAGGAAATTTCTAATGTTCTCATTCCCAAAACATTAAAAATTGGGGTGATATATATGTTACTTAGCTTAATTTAATCATTCCACATTATATTTAAACATAATAACACCACTCTATACCCCATAAATACGTACAACTATAATTTGTCAATATACAACAAAAATAAAAAATAAATGTGTAAACTGATCCAACCTTTGTGGCCTTAGGATCATTTGGAGAGTTTCATAAAAAACACTAATGTTCAGGCCCCACCCAAGAGAATCTGATTAAATTAGTTCCTGGTAAGCTTGGGCATTGGTATTTTTTTGAGACAGAGTCTCACTCTGTCACCAGACTGGAGTGCAGTGGTGCAATCTCGGCTCACTGCAACCTCTGCCTCCCGGGTTCAAGCGATTCTCCTGCCTCAGCCTCTCGACTAGCTGGGACTACAGGTGCATGCCACCACACCCAGCTAAATTTTGTATTTTCAATTTTTGTATTTTTAATTTTGTATTTTTAATAGAGACCATGTTGGCCAGGATGGTCTCAATCTCTTGATCTCCTGATTGGCCCACCTCAGCCTCCCAAAGTGCTGGGATTACAGGCGTGAGCCACTGCACCCGGCTGCGTTGGTATTTTTTTTTTTTAAAGCTCCTCAAATTATCCCAAAGTGCAACCAGAGATGCAAACCATTCTATTATGGAAAGTGATATCAGAGCAAGGCTTTGCTACACAAAGAAAGGCTGTTACAAGGTGGTTGAGATTATTGTCAGGGCCTTATTTCCCACCAACCTAGAGGACAGCACCCTCTACCCAGCGTAAGGCAAAGGAGTTTCCCCTCATCTCCTTACGGGGACCCAAATCCTCCATCACAACCATCCTTTGTAGCTCCACCCTCTATGGCTTGAAGAAATCATGCTCATAAGTGACTGGCTGGATTCCCTATTATTCGCGAGTTCCAACACAGCAAAACTGAGCGCTGTTCATCTTTCTGTTTGCAGTACGTAGTATCAGTCCTAAAATGTTAGAGGACCATAACATGGAATAAAATAGAAAGATTCATTGTCAGTGCTGTCCACCAAATTATGCTGGGCCTCCAGCCTTCCAGGGTTATCGTATAACTATATTCCCTACCCCCTTTTAAGGAAATGTGACCAAGTGACTTGCATGGGCAAATAAAATATGCACAGTCACTTCCAAGAGGAAACCTTCTAAAACAACCTCTGTGGAATTTACCAAGTTCTGTTTCACTTACTAAAACGATTGTGGAAGCACTTGTCAAACTGAAGCCCTATCAACCTTCGATAGTTGAGTTTTTTCAACAAGAAGACCTCCCCCGACCCTCCTCCTCATGTTGAGTTTGTGGCATGAATAAGAAATAAACTTGCGGGCTGGTCTCAGCGGCTCATGCCTGTAATCCCAGCACTTTGGGAGGCCGAGGTGGGTGGATCACCTGAGGTCAGGAATTCGAGGCCAGCCTGACCAACAAGGTGAAACCCTGTCTCTACTAAAAATACAAAAAATTAGCCGGGCGTGGTTGCAGGCGCCTGTAGTCCCAGCTACTTGGGAGGCTGAGACTGGAGAATTGGCTGAACCTGGGAGGCGGAGGTTGCAGTGAGCCGAGATTGCGCCACTGCACTCCAGCCTGGGAGATGGAGCGAGACTCCATCTCAAAAAGAAAGGAAGGAGGGAAGGAAGGAAGGAAGGAAGGAAGGAAGGAAGGAAGGAAGGAAGGAAGGAAGGAAGGAAGGAAGGAAGGAAGGAAGGAAGGAAGGAAGGAAGGAAGGAAGGGAAATAAACTTGCATGCGGTTAAGGCACTGGATTGTGAGGGCTATTTGTTACTGCAAAGTAATACAACCTATCCTGATTCAAGAATGCAGCAGAATGGAGTGGAGTGGATTAGAAAGCATTCATCACACATAGTGAGGGTAAGTATTGCTATGGTAAACTTCTGTTTCAATTGTGGGTGTGTGTGTGTGTGTATGTGTGCGCACATGCACCCCGGATTATAAAGTATAATTTCTTTCTTTTCTTTTCTTTTCTTTTCTTTTCTTTTCTTTTCTTTTCTTTTCTTTTCTTTTCTGTTCTCTTTTCTTTTCTTTTCTTTTCTTTCTTTCTTTCTTTCTTTCTTTCTTTCTTTCTTTCTTTCTTTCTTTCTTTCTTTCTTTTCTTTCTTTCTTTCGTTTTGAGACTGAGTCTCACTCTATTGCCCAGGCTGGAGTACAGTGGCACGATCTGGCTCACTGCAACCTCCACCTCCTGGGTTCAAGCGATTCTCATGCCTCAGCCTCCCTAGTAGCTGGGATTATAGACTCCGCCACCAAAGCCAGCTAATTTTTGTATTTTTTAGTAGAAAACGGGTTTCACCATGTTGGCCAGGTTGGTCTCGAACTCCTGACCTCAAGTGATCCACCCGCCTCGGCCTCCCAAAAAAATATATTTTTTATGGTAGTTCTCAAACATTTTATCATGACCCACAGTACGAATTGTGCTGTATTTCATAACACAAGCATGCATACACATGCTCATGGAACCTCACTTCAATCACATTCTTATTCCAACCACACTGATCTCTGGTTGGTTCCTTTTCCCCCAGTTCCCTTGGGTGGCCGGATTTTTCCTTGCATTCAGGTCTTAGCTGAAATGCCACATTCCTTCCAGAGTGGCCTTTCTGAGTACTAAATCTAACTTAGAGTTTCTCAGACACTATCAATCCGTTCTATTTGCAGTATTTATTGTAATCTGGTCTTTTCTCATTGGTTTGCATGTGGGCTTGTTTGTCCATCTCCTTGAACACCTCTCATGTTTCCCCCTCTGGCACTTAGTAAGGACTTATGATCAGAGAACCATGTTGATATAAGAGGATTTACTCCTCTGGAAGGCACAGAGGATGCTACCAAAATTCTATCCTCTCCCTCTATTTCCCAGTCTCACGTGTGCTTATGTTGGGGTCCGTAGGACAATTGCACTGTCAATAGAAACTATATATGTCCCTTCTGGCATGTGGCCATCAAATACCAATGTGGTACTTCCTTCAGCCTTCTCTTCCCATCCTGCTGCAATTTGGAGGCCCTATGTTTCAGGTAGCATGGTCACACGATATAAAACAGCCTTATCCCAGCACTTTGGGAGACCAAGGTGAGTGTATCGCTTGAGCCCAGGAGTTCAAGACCAGTCTCGGCAACACGGCAAAACCCCATCTCTACAAAACAATAGAAAAAAATGTAGCTGGGTATAGTGGCATAAGCCTGTAGTCCCAGCTACTTGGGAGGCTGAGATGGGAGGATGAATTGAGCCCAGGAGGTTGAGGCTGCAGTGAACTATGATCACATGGCTGCATTTTCCAGCCTGTGCAACAGAGTGACATCCTGTCTCCAAAAAACAAACAAACAAAAAACAAAAACCCAGTCTCCTAATCACAATAGAACTCCACCTGAGGTATTCAATGACTTTCATTGTCTTAAGCCAGCTGAAATTTTAGGGTCTATTTTTTACTGCAGCAAAGTGTAGCCCAGGCTGACTCATGCCACTCTCGAACTTTACCCAGCCCCTGCTCTCATTTAGGAATCTTCACAAAAAGGTGACTCTGCATTTTACAAGGTTAAGTATTTGGAATCCACTTATGGATTGATGGTAGGGTATCCATGGTTGAATAGAATAAATACATATTCATGTATAAAAATGAAGAAAATGAAAGTATTTGCATCTGACTAGCCCAGCAGCTGCCTCTAAAAGGCAGAAAAGCCTGGTTGCTCATTAGGCATGTTTCCCTGTCCTTGAGCTTAGCAAGAGGGGATCCATCCAAACTGAATTCATCACCTTCCAGTGATTTCCTCTCCAGCACGGACAATAGCATCAATTAGAACCCAGGATGAATGTAGGTAAAACTTTATTCCAACAAGGATTCAACCTGCCTTGTTTCTAATTACTCATTTATTTCCCTCACAAACAATGTCGATAGCCCAGATGCCGCTTCTGCAGAGCAGCGTGTGCTCCCCCAGGAAGGGGGCTGGAGGAGACAGCCAGTGTGGTGTGAAGGTTTCCATGGTAATTACACACCTACCTCCAGAAGGCGCTGCCCAGTGAAATCCGTAGTTAGCCACCAGCCAGCTAATTAGAAGAGGCCTTTGGCACTTGCTCATGTTCCGGAACATTTCTTCCTGGTCAGTTAGGAATGGGTGGTCAAGGCTTCATCCAGACAAGCCCAAGTCTCTTTAGCCCCAAACCCCAGGGAAAGTCACAGGCATGAAGGGAGAGTAATGTATTCCATTGGCGCATGGAGAACAGACGCTTGACAGCCTTTTTTTCTGCATCTGGCAAACATGAAGGTCATTTAGTAGCAATGACCCTGGGTCACAGGCGTGGGGACCGTGAAGGGAGGGAGAGACCCAACCATTCACAGCAAAACCCAGGGAGTAACTGAGAGTTCAGGGGAGAAAGTGCTGCCTCTAGGGGAAAAATTTTGGGGGGAGGTGGGCAAGGAAAGACTCTGGATCTAATGAAGTATTTTGGTGTTCATGGACATGCAACCGGGGCTCCACGCTCAGGAAGTTCAAGCTTGGGCTGGGTGTGGTGGCTCACGCCTGTAATACCAGCACTTGGGGAGGCCAAGGTGGGTGGATCACTTGAGATCAGGAGTTTGAGACCAGCCTGGCCAACATGGTGAAACCCCATCTCTACTAAAAATACAAAAATTAGCCAGGCTGGTGGCAGGCACCTGTAGTCCCAGCTACTTGGGAGGCTGAGGCACAAGAATCGCTTGAACCCAGGAGGTGGAGGTTGCAGTGAGCTGAGATTGCAACACTGCACTCCAGCCTGGGTGACAGAGCAAGACTCCATCTCAAAAAAAAAAAAAAAGAAAAGAAAGTTCAAGCTTGGTTGAACACTGTGCTGTCATTATCTTAAACTTTTTAGTACTTTTTAAAGAAGTGGTCTTGCATTTTCATTGTCACTGTGCCCCAAAAATTTATGTAGCTGATTCTGGGAGCTCAGGTGGACAGGTGTTCTAAGCAGGTAAATTAAGGCAGCAGGCTATGGATATGGAGAAAGCCCCTAGGAACACAAGCAACCAGGACTCCTAGGCCACCAGGTACTGGATCCAGGGCACTGTCCTGAGGCCCAGATGAGGATTATGACTAACTGTGGCTCTGGAGTTGAAAAGACGTGGGGCTTAAATCCAGCTTGGTCAGTCACTTCTCGTGTGGTCTCGGATAAATGACCTAAGTCTTCTGCAAATCAGTGTTCTTATCGATGATATGGAATGCTAATAGTAGCAATTTCATAGGGTGATGGTAAAGACTGGCGCATAATTTTTGCTTCATAAGTGTTACCTAATACCCTCATGCTTCTCACTGATATTGTATGATTCTTCTTTTTTTTTTCCTGAGATGGAGTCTCACTGTGTCACCAGGCTGGAGTGCAATGGCGCGATCTCGGCTCACTGCAACCACTGACTCCCTGGTTCAAGCGATTTTCCTGCCTCAGCCTCCCGAGTAGCTGGGATCACAGGCACGTGCCACCATGCCCAACTAATTTTTGTAAGTCTTTTTACTAGAGACGGGGTTTCACCATGTTGGCCAGGATGGTCTCGATCTCCTGACCTTGTGATGCACCCGCCTTGGCCTCCCAAAGTGCTGGGATTACAGGTGTAAGCCACCGTGCCTGGCCGTATGATTCTTATACTTCCATCCTCATATGGTTATAAGGCCACCTGCTGGGGCTCCTGTGCTATCCAGGTGACCCACAGACCTTGTTTTTCCTGCCAACAGCATCCTAAAGAAGACCAGGGAAGCCAACGCATTGCTCCTTTCCTCTGAATTCTCTCCTCCCAGTATCTTTCCTTTTGTGCAAGTTTTATCTCCATGACAGATTCTTAGCTCCACCTTTAAACCTTGAGAACCTATTCTCACCGTCTAATTTTACTAAGGAAGCTGACTTAGAGGTGACTGTCTTGTCCAAGGCCATCCAGTGGTCAGGAACAGAGCCACAGTCCTACCTTGGTCTTCCTCACCTTCTCTCCACACTGTTGTAGGAGACTGGGTAATGGTCCTTCATTCCCTCCAGCCCCAGAAAAGGACTTCAGCATGCTTCAGGTTTTTGGGATCTGCTCTCTTCTCATAAATTCATTCTAATTCCCCCACCATATAGTTATCACCAGGAAAATCCAGCACCTCTTAATTGGGGGCTGGTCAGAGCGAGACTCTGAGTGTGAGGCATCAGTGAGCAGGAGGATCTGCTTATTTTAAGCAGCAGTGAGCTGTATGGGATGCTAATTGGCAAACAAAAAGGCTGTTCAAGCCTGAGCTGAATTTGGCTCATCCTGCCAAGGAAAGGCAGCCCCATCCACAGGTTGGAAAAAGGAGAGACAGTGAGGGGACACCCGCTTCCTTATGAACCTGAAAAAAGAAAGCTAATGTATCCAGCTCTCCAAGTTTTCAGAAAAGCACAGGCTTTGGCATCAAATGGAACTGTGTTAAATTTGTCCTCTGTTGTTTACTAGCTGTGTGACAATTAGCAGGTTACTCTCCCTCTCTGAATATTTTTCTTACCTGTATCATGAAGCTAATAATGTGTACTTTTCAGGGTCATTGTGGTAGTTAAATAAAATAATCCATTTCATTCATAAAGTACTTAGCACTGGCACCAGACACATGTCCATCACCACGATCAAGATATCACTATCATCAATATTAGCAAAGAGCAGTGAGATTCTTTGGATCTGTCCTCAGTTCTTCCTGGTGATTTGGAAGTGCAGGGGCATTGAATGGCATCAATAATGCTTATCAGAATAATAGAAGTAGTAATAAAAGAAGGAGAGAGACGGCCAGGCATGATGGCTCACCCTGTAATCCAGCACTTTGGGAGGCTGATGCGGGAGGATCGCTTGAACTCAGGAGTTCTATACTAGCCTGGGAAACATAGTGAGACCACTTCTCTACAAAAAATGTAAAAATTAGCCAGAGTGGCCGGATGCAGTGACTCACACCTGTAATCCTAGCACTTTGGGAGGCCAAGGCGGGTGGATTGCCTGAGCTCAGGAGTTTGAGACAAGCCTGGGCAACACGGTGAAACCCTGTCTCTACTAAAATACAAAAAATTAGCCTGGCATGGCGCACCTGTAGTCCCAGCTACTCGGGAGGCTGAGGCAGGAGAATCATTTGAACCCGGGAGGCGGAGGTTGCAATGAGCCGAGATCACGCCACTGCTCTCCAGCCTGGGCGACAGAGTGAGACTCCATCTCCAAAAAAAAAAAAAAAAAAATTAGCCAGAGCATGGTGGTATACACCTGTAGCTCCAGCTACTTGGGAGGCTGAGGTGGGAGGATTGCTTGGGCCCAGAAGGTCGAGGCTGCAGTCAGCCATGATCCCCCCACTGCACTCCAGCCTGGGTGAAAAAGTGTGACCTTGTCTTCTCTAAAAAAAAAAAAAAAAAAAGGTAAAATAGGAGAGAGACATTAATATTCAGGCAACCTGACTTTGGCCCAGAAAGCATATGTGGCCATTCACCCCAGGCCCGGTAGCAGCAAAAGCAGTTAGGAAAGACCTTTCAGTGGTTCCTGGAAGCCCTGGTTCCCTTGGGCAGGGACGAAGAGGACACCACAAGGGAAAAGGAGTGAACAGTGGCAGGAAAACGAATCGGGGAGTTGGGAGGAGCTGCCTGCCATTAATCATCATGAAGAATAGGGCCTGGAGAGCTGCCATTGGCTCCACGGTGATTAATGACCTTTTTAATTTCTCTGCGCATTGTCCCAATTATGCAGGGGCACGGAGGGAGGCCCCGCTTTCCCTGGGGAAGCAGGGAGGTCTATGCAGTGCCCTGGAGTGAGACAGAGGACGGCTGTGGGGAGACCCGGAGTTGTTTTCCAAAGAGCTTGGACCCAGAGGGCAGGGCTGGGAGGACTTGCAGCCCAGATTTCAGAACTTGGCCAGTGAGAGACAGCCTGGTCTCTAGAGAAGGCTGGTGATGGACACCACTCTTACCCTGAAACTCAGTGCAAAAAGTAGAATCATTTTCTTACAGGCTCAAGTAAATTTTCAGTTTGAGTTCCCATACTTCTCTGGTGACAGAATCTTACTCTTGTTCCTGACATGTGTCTAAGTTCTGGGTGTCAAGCATGGGCTGGGAGTCTGAAGCAAGGGGCTACTTAAGATTCTTGACCAGGCAACTACGTTCCGGTTCATCCATCATCCGGTCAGACCCTCAGTTGTCAGTCCATGGAGGCTGCTGCTACAAAACCTCGCATTTCTGTTCACATCCAATGGCTCTCTCTTTGTTGTTACTATGCACCGAGGAGCAATGGGCATCTCGTAAAAGCTATCTATGGTCCCAACTACTGAGAAAGACTTTCAGATCTGCCTAAGCTCTGTGACCCTCCAAAGTGATGTTCTATTGAGAGTCAAGATGTTAGGGCTACCTCTGACTTATGCCAATCTCTCTCTCATCATCCCTCCTCTTCTCTCCGCAGCTCAGCCCAGGGCAGCGCACAGTGCATCGACCACCCTTTCCTGGTTCCACAGACGCTGGGCATAGAGCCAGTCCTCTAAGCTTTGGCCTCCACCAAGAGTTCAGGCTTTTCCAGCACAAAAGCCAGAGACTAGCAGGTTAGTTTTGGTTGCCACCCTGCAGAATTAAGCACAGTACTAAAGTGGGAGTTCGCTTGCTTTCTCTCTCTCTCTCTCTCCTCCCCTCCTTAATTTTGAGAAGTAAGGTGGAGGAGGGAAGAGAAATAAAGAGAGAACCAATGGCTAATAGCTTATAAATATTATCCTGCCACATGTGCAGAATGCTATGGAAAGGTTCAGAAGGAATGAGCACATCCCATAGAAAAATCAATAAAATTGTTCATGCAGAGAGCAATATTTCTTCATTATTAAGAGCACAGGCTTTAGCGTCTGACAGATCCTGGTTCAGTCCTGGCCCCTATTTACTGCTGTGTCACCTTGAGCAACTGGATTGGTTTCCCCAATCCTCAGTGCTCTTCTCTGTAGAATGGGGATTACTGGGGGACGAGTTGGAATGGTGCATGTAGAAGGGCTTTGCAAAGTCCCATGGCCGTACCTACGACAAAGACAGAGCAATTTCATTTGTTAGAGATGGAAGGAGAGGGTGAGCAAATGGGGGAGAGAGTGAGCGAGTGGGTGAGAGAAGGTAGCTAAAATTTTGAAAATAAAAATGGGAGGCCAGGCGCAGTGGCTAACACCCATAATCCCAGCACTTTGGGAGGCTGAGGTACATGGATCACATGAGCTCAGGAGTTCGAGACCAGCCTGACGAACATGGCGAAACCCCGTCTCTATTAAAAATACAAAAATTAGCCAGGTGTGGTGGTCACGCCCATAATCCCAGCTACTCAGGAGGCTGAGGGAGGGAAATTGCTTGAACCCAGGAGACAGAGGTTGCAGTGAGCTGAGATCACACCACTGCACTCCAGCCTGGGCAACAGAGTGGGAGGCTCCATCTCAAAAAATAAATAAATAAATAAAATAAATAAAAGTAAAAACATAGAGAAGTTTGAGAGTTTGAGGTCTCACCTTAAGCCAGCCAGAGAAGTCACAGAGACAGGAAAGAAATTACAAGATCTAGAAGAAGTAAGGGAAGAGTAGTCGCTGGACTTGAATGGTTGGACCATGCCTCATGGACACAGTGGTGTCAGGAAGGAAGCACAAAGGAAACCCAAGGCAGTAGAAGGAAAGAGAAAGACACCATGACTTTCTCTTGGAAAGGAGAAACCATGACGAAGAAGTATGACATGAGAGAGACACCATGACTAAGAAGCATCTGAGGGAAAGAACGGTGACTCTTCTCTCCCTCTTCCTTCCTCTCTCCCTCCCTCTCTCCTTCTCACTCTCTCAAACACATACACACACACTCTTACAAATGCACATATGGAGAGAAATTCTCAGTGAGTCACAAACCCATCTCTCCTGAAAGTTTCTCAGCAACAAGGGAGACAAGGCTTGGGTTGGCTGAGTGGAGACTAAAGGCAGGAGATGGGTGAGGTAGCACTTTCCCAATTCCAAAGTGCAGATGCAGATCTGAGTCAGGAGTTGTGGGGGAACACACACCTCTGCCTGTCCAACAGGCTCCACATGGTGCTGATGCTGCTGTCAGTTAAATGCACTGTGTGGCAAGGGATGGGCCATGTGGCATTTAGCTGAGATGGCATTACTCAGGGAATTCAAGGGGCCTCCTTCATTGTGTGTTCTGGGAGATAAATTCCCATTCCTTCATCTCCAATAGTCCTCAATAATCTCTTGGTAACCTGGAAGTGGCAGGTCCCTTTGCTTTTTATTAACTGATTAAGTGGGAGAGAAATAAGGAAATCCAATCTGTCATTTAAGCTTCAGAGGTTGTCTTGGTTTCAGTGAGCCAAAGTTTCCACATCTCCAGGGGCCATATTCCCCCAGGAAAAGCTGTCATCCCTCCATTCTTCTCAGAAGTCAGAGAATGGGGACTGTCTTTCTCTCCTTCATTTTCCAGTTTTTGATCTTCCCCAGTCAGCACAACACACACACACACACACACACACACACACACACACTAGCACACATACTGCATGAGTGGAAATAAATAAATTTATTCTACTGAATAAAATAAAAGTCAAGCTCCTCATAATGTCATCCAAGGCCCTGAATTAGAATCCACCTTTCCTTGGTCCACCTCTCCTTGTATCTCTTTTCCTCCCTCACTAAGTTCCAGCCATAGTAGCCACCTTTCTGCTCCTCTAAGGCAGTGGTCCCCAACTCTGGCTGCTCCTTAGAGTGACCTGGGGAGGTCTTAAAATATATCAGTGCCCAGGTCAAGCCCCAGACCAATGAGCTCACAAGCTCTTGGGGATACAAAACAGGTATTCATAAATTCTAAAGCTCTCTAGGGGATTCCAATGTGCAGGCAGGTTGAGAATTACAGCTCTAAAGTTCAAGAGCTCCCTACTCTCAGCACTTTGCCTCCCTCCCTCTGCCCTGTCCTTTGCAGCTGACTCCAGCTCTTCTGTTAGCTCTCAACTCAAATGACTCCTCTTCAGTGAAGCCTTCCAGGAGCATCTTTGTTTCTTTCCTAGAATTTGTTATACTCTGTAATTTTCCTATTTATTTATATGTGTGTTTATTGTCTGTTTCCTACAGTTTAATGTTAGTCCCATAATGCCAAGAACCATGTCTGGTGTGGTTTGCTGCCATACCTAACATGTAACATAGTGTTTGATCCATAGTACGGGCTTATCAAATGGTTGGTGAATGATTGAAAGGCCATTCAATCATTCTTTATAGAACAATTCAGTGTCAGATGCCCGGAAGTTGCTACTTAGTTTAACTCACCTGTTCGTAGAATCACCCTAAGTAAGGAAGCCCCCAAGGCTTGGGCCTTCAGAAAGATGGTGTCTCATATGACTGTATATCTTTCCTTACCTTCACCTTCCATGATGTCTTCTTAGTCTGTAGTGCCCTCAACCTGGGGACTCCTCAGCTAAGCCTGCCAGCTCAGCATCCTCACCCAGTTCTCTTAAGAAGCCACATCACTCCAGAAAGGAGGAAAACATTTCTCTTCCAGTGTTTCCACCTTCTTGTATCATGTACGTTGTGGAACCCAATCACGCATTGAGGTCAACTCAAGGCTCCCAAGTGCTGAATTTGCTAGCTCAGCAAATGAGAAAAGGTGGTACTGGATCCAAAGAGAAGAGTATGTTTGAGGTGCTGTAATCCTAATTATCTTCCTATTCGCAGAAGAATTTCTCCACAATTCCCTGACAAGTATGCACCCTCATCAAAATCAATATTCGCTTCTACCAGAGCCATGCAGTCATAGTTTTATGGAAGGAAATCTAATCTCTCTTGTTAGCACAACTTTGTCGCTTCCTTTACTAAGCAATAACCCCATCATTATTAACTTAAGGACCATTCACTGATATGGTTTGGATCCATGTCCCCACCAAATCTCATGTTGAATTGTTTTTTGAAGTTTTTTTTGTTGGGTTTTGTTTTGTTTTGTTTTGAGACAGAGTTTTGCTCTGTTGCCCAGGCTGGAGTGCAGTGGCTCGATCTTGACTTGCTGCAACATCTGCCCCCCCGGGTTCAAGTGATTCTCTTGCCTCAGCCTCCTGAGTAGCTGGGATTACAGGCACCCCCCACCGTGTCCAGCTAATTTTTGTATTCTTAGTAGAAACGGGGTTTCACCATGTTGGCCAGGCTGGTCTCAAACTCCTGACCTCTAGTGATCTACTGGCCTCAGCCTCCCAAAGTGCTGAGATTTTAGGTATGAGCCACCATGCCTGGCCTTATGTTGAATTGTAATTCCCAGTGTTGGAGGTGAGGCTGGGTGGGAGGTGACTGGATCATGGGAATGGGTTTCTCATGAATGGTTTAGCACCATCTTCTTGGTGCTGTTCTCATGATAGTGATAGTGAGTGAATTCTCACGAGATCTGGTTGTTTAAAAGTGTGTGACACTTCCCCCTCACTGTCTTTTACTCCTGCTCTGGCCATGTGACGTGCCTGCTCCCCTTTCTCCTTCCGCCATGATTGTGAGTTTCCTTGGGCCTCCCCAGAAGCTGAGCAGATGCCAGCATCATGTTTCCTGTACAGCCTGCAGAACCATGATCCAATTAAACTTCTTTTCTTTATAAATCACCCAGTCTCAGATATTTCTTTATAGCAATGCAAGTACTGCCTAATACACTCACGCTTCTCTGAGTGGGGCTAACATGACTGGAAACATCATCAGCTGTGAATTCCTCTATCTTAACCTATCAGGGAAAGGAGTGTCAGATCCCCAAACCTCTCACCTATGGCTCCTCAGTTTATCTAAACATCCAGAAGAGCAGTCCTTCTTGGACTTTTTTTTTTTTTTTGAGATTGAGTCTTGTTCTGTCGCATAGGCTGGAGTGCAGTGGCACCATCTCTGCTCACTGCAAGCTCCGCCTCCTGGGTTCAGGCCATTCTCCTGCCTCAGCCTCCCGAGTAGCTGGGACTACAGGCGCCCACCACCACCTCTGGCTAACTTTTTGTATTTTTAGTAGAGACGGGGTTTCACCATGTTAGCCAGGATGGTCTTGATCTCCTGACCTCATGATCCGCCCACCTCAGCCTCCCAAAGTGCTGGGATTACAGGCATGAGCCACCACGCCCACCCCGAACTTTTCATATCCTCCCTAGCCCAACATGAGAGAAAGGAATATTCCCCCCTCTCCCCATGAGACATGCTCCCAGCAGAAATGACCAACCATAGAAAAAATAAGGTTATCTGCAGATTATGAGCTAATAGCTATAAAGTTTACAGCAGGGGGCCTGGTCCATGGTAGGTGGTTAATTAAAAAAAAAAAAAAGAAAGAAAGAAAAGAAAAGAGAAGTGCAGTTATTACTGCAGTTGCTGCTTCTACTTCTACTACCACTATTACTTGTGTCCCTAGCACTTAGCAAAAGACTTAGTATACATTAGCCACTTGATGAATGCTTGGTGAATAAATAAGTGAATGAAGGAAAAAGCTGAAGCACCTCTTAAAACTGTGTCATCCCACATTCCACAGATAGAAAAGCTGAGTCGTTGTTCTGATGCCAAGGCATTTACCTAAACTGTGCTCATGAGGCCAAAGCCCTGGCACTTGGCTGGTAATTTCCCTGCAATAGGCCTGCCCAGCCTTCTGAGGCTCAGGGAGGCACACATTCAACTCCTGTTGCCTGGGAGAATATTTACACAGGACACCACTGCACACAGTCATTAAAACAGGGCTCCAAAATTGATTTGCAGAAACCAAATTGCTAGTATGGGTAACTAAATGCCAAATCAGGACTTTATAGATCCCAAAAGGTTGATTCTCTGAAGATGACATTTTTGTTTTAGAATAAAGGGAAGGTACACCTACATTTAAAATTCTACTGAACCTGTTCAGGGTGGAGAAGAATCATCCAGTTGAAGCCTAGTGAAAAAGAAATGGTATTGGTATTTACTTTGAAATGAGCTTATGAATAAAGACATTCTTTTTGTTTTTGTTTTTGTTTTTGTGTGTGTGTGTGTGTGTGTGTGTGTGTGTGTGTTTGTGTGTGTGTGTTTTTGAGATGGAGTTTTGCCCTTGTTTCCCAGGCTGGAGTACAATGGTGTGACCTCGGCTCACCACAACCTCCACCTTCTGGGTTCAAGCGATTCTCCTGCCTCAGCCTCATGAGTAGCTGGGATTACAGGCATGTGCCACCATGCCCGGCTAATTTTGTATTTTTAGTAGAGACGGGGTTTCTCCATGTTGGTCAGGCTGGTCTCGAACTCCCCACCTCAGGTGATCTGCCCACCTTGGCCTCCCAAAGTGCTGGGATTACAGGCGTGAGCCACCACGCCCAGTCAGGACAAAGACATTCTTTTCTGATTGAACAAATAAGATAAAATACATTTTTGGCATATGCAGAGTTGGCCCAGCTCACACTCAAAAAAAAAAAAAAAGTTGCTATCTTATTTTCACTCTGGCATTGAAAGGAAAGTGATGTAAAACTGACAGAGAAAATAATAATTGCTACTGTTAACTGAGTAGTTATTCTGTAGCCGGTACTGCGCCAACAACATCATGATGATTATCTCGATTGTATTAACTTCTTTAGTCTGTTCAGAGAAGCCGAATTGTCCGAGGTTCCCCCAAAGGAAACTGAATGCTGGGCTTGAAACTCAAGTCTACCCGATTCCAAGAAGCCGTTCTCTAAACTGCTTCCTCCTAGGGCTTAGAGGAGATGAGCTTCTCCCCTACAGTATAGAATTATTTATTCAAATCACTGATGTAGGAGGTTGACGGGTACTGAGCTCTGGCATACTGCATCAAATAGCCCATTTCATTCAATCAGTCTCATCCAGCAACAATGGGGAAGGGTGGGAGGGAAATAATAATAAGAAAAGAAAACCCTACAACGTGGCCATTTTTTCTTAAATGGCTGAAGAACGATGAATGAGACCAAGAACTTTTCGACTCCTCCCCCAAAGTCATCTGTTGTTGAACAAAACTGGAAAAAGTTTCCCTAGAACTAGAATGAAAATCAAGATTAAGTTAAGCAGTGATTTTAAAACTCATAAAGACCAAATTTTTTAAAAATCTCAAGTTTCTACTAGGAATGTGCATTTCTCATTAATTCAAAAAAGAATTCTTGTTTTCCTACTCTGTGCCACCCTAGCTATTTGGGACTCATCTGTAAATAAAACAGACAAAAATCCTTGTCCTTAGGAAG
Organism: Homo sapiens; assembly: GCF_000001405.40. NCBI lineage: Eukaryota > Metazoa > Chordata > Mammalia > Primates > Hominidae > Homo > Homo sapiens. Next base: position 26,735,489 of record NC_000016.10, read on the forward strand.
CTGACACCCTCAGCAGTGGGATGTAGACAATGAAAATAAAAATAAATGAAAATTACATACTTGATAAAAAGTGATGTTACTACAGAAAAAAAAATAAGGTATGATAAAAGGGATAGAGCATGCTGGGAGAAGGAGACAATATTTGGGCAAATGTTTCAAGGAGGCTAAGGAACAAGCCAAGCAGGTGTTTCAGGAAAGTGTTTCAATTAGAGGACAGGGCAAGTGCAAAGGTCCTGTGGCAGAAATGTGGCTGGATGGAATGAAGAACAGCAAGGACATCAGCGCTGATGGAGAGAAGTAAACAAGGCGAAGAGAAACGGAAGAGGAGGTTTGTGATGGTTAATTTTATGTGTCAACTTGGCTGGGCTGAGGGATGCCTGGATAGCTGGTAAAACTCTTTTTGGGTGTGTCTGGGAGGATGTTTCTGGAAGAGGTTAGCATTTGAATGCGTGAAGACCTAATAAAGCAGATGGCCTTCACCAGTGCAGGCAGGCCTCATCATGCAGTCTATTGAGGTTCTGAATAGAGCAAAAAGTCGGAAAAAGGGCATATTTACTTTTTTCTTGGGCTAAGAGCTCCATCTCCCCCGCCCCCAGACGCTGGGTCTGGACTGGAACTACACCACTAGCTTTCCTGGGTCTCCATCTTGCAGACGGCAGATTGTAAGACTTCTTGGTCTCCAAAATCAGGTGAGCCAATCCCTCATACAAATCTCTTCCTGTAAATCAATAGGTCCTATTGTATTAGGTTGGTGCAAAAGTAATTGCAGTTTTTGCCATTACTTTCAATGGTAAAAACCGCAATTACTTTAGCACCAACCTAATATCTATTTCTTTGGAGGACCCTGGTAAATACGAAGTATTGAGGACAAAATTATGCTGGGTCTTAGAAGGCCCTTATAAGCACTTTAACTTTTACTCTGAATGAAATGTGGACCCATGGGCAGGTTTTGAGGAGAGGGGTGATCATGGTCTGATTTATGTCAACAACTCAGGAGGGAGGCCACTTAGGAGAGTATACAGGGAAGAGATGATGAGCAGTGCTGTCAACAGAGTGGGTGAAAAGTTGCCAGATTCAGCACAGATGTTGAAGGTATAACGAGCAGGCTTCTCTGAGGGTTTGCATGTGGGGTGCAAGAGAAGTCAAGAACTTCTCATGTTTTTGGCTTAAGATCTGGATAAATGGATTGCAATGAACTGGGATAAGGATAATCATTGTTCAGGCAGTTTTGGGGGGAAAGTCAAGAGGGCTCTAGATGTGGTAAACTTAAGATTACTACCCAACATTCCAAGTGAATAGTAGGTTGAGTATGCATTTAGATATATGAATCTAAGTTCAGGAGACAGGTCTGAATCCAGGAATCCAGGGATTCCCTCTCTTTTTTTCCTGTACTCTGGCTTTAAATAATACTTAGGTGCTGGTCATGCCAAAATCTGTAGCTCTAGCTCAGCCCTTGTGCCTGACTCTAGATTCATATAGACTGGCCAATGGTGAGATGGTATCTGGATACCATCTGAAATTCAGCATGGTCAGTGGAGAACTCTTGATTTTTCCCTCAAACTTCTAACTTCTCTCCCTTCCTTCCTTCCTTCCTTCCTTCCTTTCTTTCTTTCTTTTCTTTCTCTCTCTTTCTTTTTCTTTCTTTTTCTTTCTCTTTCTTTCTTTTTCTTTCTTTCCTTCTTTGTTTCTTTCTTTCTCTTTCTTTCTTTCTTTCTTTCTTTCTTTCTTTCTTTCTTTCTTTCTTTCTCTTTCTTTCTTTTTTTTTTTTTTAGGTGGAGTTTTGCTCTTGTTGTCCAGGCTGGAGTACAATGCTGTGATTTCGGCTCACTGAACCACCTCCTGAGTTCAAGCGATTCTTCTGCCTCAGCCTTCCAAGTAGCTGGGATTACAGGTACCTGCCACAACGCCCAGCTAATTTTTTTTGTATTTTTAGTAGAGACGGGGTTTTGCCATGTTGGCCAGGCTGGTCTTGAACTCCTGACCTCAGGTATCCGCCCGCCTCAGCCTCCCAAAGTGCTGGGATTACAGGCATGAGCCACCACGCCTGGCCTATCTTCCCTTTCTTGACTTCATAAACTGACACCATCATCCCTTCAGGTTTCTCAAACCTAAAACTTCAGAATGATCTTCAATTCTCTTCTCTTACTCTTCACATACAATCCATCAATAATTTCCTCTTATTCTACCTCCAAAATATACATCAGAATTGTCCAATTTTTTTGCTACCTCTACTGCACCCCCCTATTCCAAGCCACTATCTCTCACCTGGAATACTACAATAACATCTGTCTTGTCTATTTTCTTCTCTACTGCCTAACCTACATGCTTTCCTTCAAACAACCACCACCATGCACCTCTGGCAGCACAAATCAAATCATGCACACTTACCTCATGACTTCATGCATAAAATCTTTCACTGGCTTGCCAGTGGCTTAGAATGCATCCAGTCTTCTAATTGTGGCATTAAAAGGCCCTACGTGACCAGGTCCCTAAACTACCTCTCCTACCTAAATCCAAGTCAACGCCCCCTACCCTAACTATGATCTAGACACAGAGGGGTTTTTCTGTTTCTTGCATTTTCTGGACTTTATCCCTTTTTAAGACCTCTACATATGCTGTTCTTCATCCAGGAATATTTTACCCACAGATCTCTGCTTGGTCCTGTTTATTCTCATTACTCAGGTCTTAGGTCAATGTCATCTCTTCAGAATGCCTCTATTTGATCCAATGATAACCTACCCCCTTCACAGTGATGTGTCACACCTTTTTCTTTATAAAGCATATTACTATCTGAAGTGAGTCTATTTAATGTTAGCCAGGTTATATAGTCCTTCCCCGTGTGAATGTGGCACCCATGAGCACTGTCTTGTTCAATACCGTATTCTCCATTGTTTTTATTTTTTTATTTTTTTGGAGATAGGGTCTCACTCTGTCACCAGGCCGGAGTGCAGTGGCATGATCTCTGCTGACTGAAACCTCCACCACCCTAGGTTCAAGTGATTCTCCTGCCTCAGCCTCCCACGTAGCTGGGATTACAGGTGTATGCCACCACACCCAGCTAATTTTTGTATTTTGGTAGAGACGGGGTTTCTCTATGTTGGCCAGACTGGTCTCCAACTACTGACCTCAAGTGATCCACCCACCTCGGCCTCCCAAATGCTGGGATTACAGGCATGAGCCACCGTGCCTGGTCCCCTGTACCCGCCATTCTTAAACAGTGCTTGACATATATTAGGCATGGTATAAATGCCTATTCTATGAGTAAACTTTTCTTTAAATGGTGCTATAGTGGGCACATTTTAAAGATCAGCTCAAATTAAACAGCTATCCAAATTATGCAGTTGTTGAAGAAGTCTTCTGGGACGTGACAGTTGAAGTGACAGAACCATATTCTAAGGTATGTCTCCTTCATCTCTTGAACCGAAGAAAATCTAGGTGGCTACTCCATAGGAACTATATCGCCCACCAAATAACAGCTAGCCAAATTACTGGAAAGTGCCAGGGAGAAACTGGCCTTAAATAACCTCTCTAAATTTGTGTTAAAAACACAATCCTTAAAGGGATGGCAAATAGCCCTCAAATGGAAAGAACTGATTTATAACACATTTTAAATTAAACTTTTTATTTTTAGATAATTGTAGATCACATGCAATTGTAAGAAGTAATACAGAGAGATCCTGTGTGCCTTTTACTCAATTTCCTACATGGTTAACATCTTGTAAAACTATAGTACAATATTACAACAAGGATATTGACATTGATACAATCCAAGTCCCTAACACATTTTGAAAAAAGCAATGTTTTTATTCTTAACTCCTATGGCAGTTCTCCTCTTGTAAGGTCTCATTCTGAGCTCACAAGTGACCAAGGCATGAAGGCATTACCCCCTTTCGAGAGTAACTGCATGTTAAGAGAGATTATGGAGAGCAAAATACAGTTAAATATATGAAAATAGGTACAAATTCATTATTACTCAGAGAAATGCGTATCAAAACACTGAGATACAACTTTTCCTCAGTCAGAGTAACAAAAATCAGAAAAGTCAGATAACATCCAGTGCTAGTATATGTATTGTGAAACAGGCATTTCCATATTTTTGTTGGAAGCCTTAATATTTTGTTGGGAATTAATATGGCAATAGCTATTGAAATAAAAAAATACCTTTTGATGTATCTATTTCAACTTAAGGTAATCTGTTTTACAGAAATAAAAATATCAGTACAGAGACATGAGCATATTTATTGCAATAATGTTTTGTTTGAAGTATCAAACATACACTCGCAAACACCCTGACACACCCTGAATGTCAATCAGTAGAAGAATGGTTAAATTAATGATGTAAATCCAAACTGAAATATTATGCAGCTATTTAAAAAAGATAAGTTGATTTACTCATATATCTGCAGGAATTTCTGGTGTGATAAATGAGGGGAAGAAAATGAAACTGGAAAGTAGTGTACATAATATAATACAAGTTTAGAAAAAAAATCTACAAATGTGTATCCATATTTGTGTATGTATAGGAGCATGAAAAAAGTTGTGGCAAGATAAACAGATAATTAGCATTGTTTTTCTCAGAGGCTGGAGGGAAAGTTAGAAGGAGTCAGGGAAAAAATTATTTACTTCTTTAAATGCCTTTGAATTGTTTGTCTAGTTACAAGAAGGATGCCATGTTGGTTGAGATTTAAAAGAAACCTAATAAGTAAGAAAGGAGAGGGAGAAAAGAACAGAAGATCAAAGATGGTCTTCAAGCCCAAAACAATGAATAGTGATGGCTGAATTTCAAGTATGACAGGCATCTCTGTACCTGGGGAGGGGACAGGAAAGGGAAGCAAGAGAGAGGAGATGCTACCCTTTAGTCTGGGTCCTGGGAACTTATCTTGGCTTCCATAAACCCTGCTGCACAGGCCAGGGGAGAACAGCAAGACGAACCACACGTCTGTAGGAATTTATGTGGATTAAGCTGCCAACCACCACACTGAGAGGAGAGGCAAGCAGCTCATTAAACAGGCCCTGGTAATTGATTTCCACGAAGCAGTTGCCTTTCTTGCAAGCAACAGTACGGGCATCCGGACTGCTTCTGCAAACCAGGCACTGCCATAGCAAGGAGCACTTTGATGTGTGGCTCCTCCTCACACCAGGAAGGAGGCATCAGTCAACAGATTTCATTCCCTGCTTCCACTGAACCCACAAGAAGCCCAGACCTAGATGTGCATGCTGAGCTGCGGCCACTGCCTCAGCGCCAGATGACATTCTTAGGAATTTCGGGGCAAGACTCTCCAAGCAGTGCCTTGAATGAGAACTGAGAGAAAGAGGTAGAAATCTCCACCTGGGTGCTTTAGATGAAAAGACTCCAGGGCAGTACAGCTTCAGAATCATCAGCTGCACACGTATTAATGTGCAGAAAAGCAGAGTCTCTTCTAAAACAGCCACACCCAAGGATTTGAGAAGCAGAACCCCATATTGGAAATGCCTGCCTACACAAGCAATTAAATTGGATTTATGTCACATTGCAAGTCTGCCCCCAAGAACTGTTCTCCCAATGCAATTCTGCTAAATCAGATGACATTCAAAGGTATTTTCTTGCCACCCATAAGGCTCCTGAATGAGTCATCTGTAAAAGGAGTTAGTTAACCTCTATATACCTCGGTTTCCTCATTTATATAATGGGAATAATAATAGAATCTACTTCGTAAGATTCTTATAAGGACACAATGGATTAACAAATGAAAATTACTATATGCATCCAGCATATAGTAAGCAGTCTGTAAATTCTTGTTCTTTTTTTTAAAGATGTGATTGATAATTTCTTTTACACAGCAGTTTGTTTAAAGTGAGAGAGACACACCTGCAGCCCTTGTATCTGTGGCATAACAACACTAGCAGTATTTAACACTAAACACAAGTAGTGTGTGCTATGCCATGCACTCGGCTCTGTGTTGTCCCTACCTTACCTCCTCTCTTCATCCTCACATCACCCTGTGATGTAAGGGCTTCGATTGTCTGCATTTTTTTCTGAGTATTGGAGAAGAGAGAGTGTGTGTGTGTGTGTGTGTGTGTGTGTGCGCGTGTGTGCACGTGCACGCACTCACGTGCATGTGTGCATGTGAGTATTTAAAGTCAAGGTCTCGCTCTGTCGCCCAGGCTGGAGTGCAGTGGCACAATCATAGCTCCCAGCAGCCTCAAACTCCTGGCCTCAAGCAGTCCTCCCGCCTCAGCCTCCCAAAGTGCTGGGATTACAGGTGAGCCACTGCACCTGGCCTGAGCATCAGAAAATTTAAATATCTTTCTCCTGAAGGTTTTCCAGACAATATTGGGCAAAGCTGAGATTCTCACTCAGCTCTAGCCAACTCCAGATTCTCAGCTCTTACACATGACCCACACAGCTGGAGCAGGTGAGCAGGAAACTGCATAGAGAGTTTCTCATACCTAGCTCCTTATACCCACAAGGAGAGGGAGAGCATCAGGACAAATACCTAATGCATGTGGGGCTTAAAACCTAGATGACAGGTTGATAGGTGTAGCAAACCACCATGGCACATGTATGCCTATGTAACAAACCTGCATGTTCTCCACATGTATCCCAGAACTTAAAGTAAAATAAAATAAAATAAAATAAATCAACACAGATTCCTCCTTCCTACCCCACACTCTTAATAAGTCAGAACCTTGAGAGTGGGCCCAGAACTGTTTACTTTGGACAGGCTTCTCAAGTAATTCCTATGTAGTTAGCCTAGTGCTTGAATTCCAAAACAGAAATTGATTCCAAAACAGGGTTGGGTTTCTCTTTAACTCACGGGAAATCCTCTAAGGAAGGAAATCCTCTTACCTAGACTAGATCTTTTCATCTGATGTTGGCTATCCTAAGCCGAGTACAAATCTCTACAAGAAAAAAACTTTTGTGAATTCCAACCTTTACTTTTAATTAAACTTTTTTAGCCCCAAACTTTCGAGATGCCTGGAAGACCTTTCCTATCTTTCTTTACTTCCCACTTCAGTATTCTGTTTCCGCAGAAGCCTCAGCCTGCCTCATCTATTAAATGACCCACAGTTATGAGCAATGGAAAGATAAATCTGTTTCATTCAATAGAAATATTTACTCAATGAGTCTGAGTCATCAAAGCCTCAGAAATTTTGACACATTCATTAATTTTGTTCAACTTTATTTGTTAACCGTAAAAACCAGGAACTATACAAGCTCTGAAGGCTTTGCCTTTTACATGAAGATGTATTTGTTGGAAAGGAGTGCTGAAATGAACATTTCTTTCCACGCAGGGATTCTTAATCACACCAAACAAAGTAAAAGAAGAGCTTGGATATGTATTATTCCACTGAATCTAGGTTTACTGAGCACCTGCCGTGTGAAAGGCACTCCCCAGGGTTAAGCAGGAGCCGCTGAAACAGATGTGGCTTCTGGTCTGAAGACGCTTATATCTGGGAGGGGAGATAAGCAAATATAACCGTAACAGGAGGTGGGATGTGGAATGTGTCATGAGACAATGAGATGAGCACTGACTAGTTTTGCCCTTCTAGAACCTGTTTCTTCTTTGGGCAGCAGCACCTGAGTTTTACCTTTAGAATCATCCATTATCCACTATGACTCCACGTAACATGGAAGTCACTGACTACCACACTCCAGCTTCATGGTGGGAGCCCAATATAGGTTTGGCCAATCAGAGTACTCCATTCCTCTGGCCACAGTGATTGGTTCAGAAATAAGCATGTGACTCAACACAGTCCAGTAGGATTCTCTCCCAGGATCTTAATAGAATCATGTGAGAATAGAAACTCTTTCTCCTGAAGTTATTGAGCTGGGGAGACAGCAATGTGAAGCTGCCAGGTCAGGTCCACCCGCAGAGAAGGGCTTTCCTGAAAGTGAAGGCGACAAAAGACAGGGCCCACATGGTAGTGTTTGTCCTCCTGGACCCAAGTTTACCTGAAGAATAATAATTCTGTGTGTGAAGATCAGGGTTCAAAGTCTGCACCCAAGATGGAGGCGTCAGAAAGGGTTTCCTGAGGCAGTGGCTGTCCAGCCGGGGAAGGATGGCGTTGGAATTGGTTCAAGGGCATAACCACCACTCTGCACACCTTTCACTGGAAGTTTTCCCACCAACAGACCCCCTCCAGCAGCTGCACTCCAGAATCATTTTAATTCAGTCATGGCATGTCTTCCAAGAAAGTTTTTTTTTTTTTTTTTTTTTTTTGAGACGGAGTCTCGCTCTGTTGCCCAGGCTGGAGTGCAGTGGCGCGATCTTGGCTTACTGCAAGCTCTGCCTCCCAGGTTCATGCCATTCTCCTGCCTCAGCCTCCCGAGAAGCTGGGACTACAGGTGCCCGCCACCACCCCCGGCTAATTTTTTGTATTTTTAGTAGAGACAGGGTTTCACCGTGTTAGCCAGGATAGTATCGATCTCCTGACCTCGTGATCCGCCTGCCTCGGCCTCCCAAAGTGCTGGGATTACAGCCGTGAGTCACGGTGCCTGGCCAGAATTTTTTTTTAATACAATGGGAATAATATATTTTCCTTTTCCTCTATTTTTATCACACATTTGTGTGTACAGTAGGTGCTTAAGGAGTGCTTTCTGAATTACAATATCACATTCTTGAGTAATAGGCTAAACTCAATCTCAGAAGACAGGCATCCAAGGGTCACCAAACATAATTTAAATGAGGACAGAATCAAAGAAAATGTCATGCTTATCTCAAATTTGATCTACGAAAGTGCAGAATTAGTTGTTTTTTATTCTAAAAATTCTTGCTTCAGGCGCCCCAAAATGATGGTGCCAACAGGCCTCTGAGATTGCATTTCCTATGAGCAGTCTTTTTTCCATAACCTCTCTTATACCTTTATTAATATCACTGCTACTGGAAGGCATGTTCAAAGGCTCCCTCATTCCATCTGCACCCCAGAGTCACCCTGAATAGGAAAATTTTTTGTCCTGTGTGTCTACACGTATGTGTGTTTTCCAGTTTAATATACTGTTGTTCCATCCAAGCATAAACTTCCCATGAACTCACATGGAAGAGTCGAATAGAAGTTGGAGCACAATAAATGGAAATTGGGCAGTGAGGCTGATAAAAACCAATCCTGGATTACTAAGCAATAAAACATACATGTCACTGGGGTTCATCAAAACGAGATCCTGGGCTTACCAAGCAATAAATTGCATGTGCCACATTGATCGGTCTGGGCTGCTGAGAGCCACTTTGCCAGCAAGGTTTTTCAGACCTAGACAGGGAGAGGAAATGGGATGAGGAGGAGTTTGGAGTCTTATCTAGACTATTTTTTTCCTGAAAGGAAGCAAATCTTTTTTCACCAAGGAGGATCCACTGAGTTACGTCCATGCTTATTTGTACCTAATATCCTCTGAGTGGGTTCCAGGATCACCTACCACCACCATCAGTGCCATCCTTCCACACAACATGTTCTGATTTTTCTTAGTTTAATATTCAAAATTGTCTGGTTTAATTATTTGTTTACTGGCTGTTCTAAGAGTGCAGGAATCTTACCTGTCTGTTTTTTCTCTATATCCCAAACACCTAGATTGAGGTATGAGACTCAGGTCCATGACGTTGTAGGAGACCAATAAGTGTGCATTGAATGATTGAATAAACAAATGAGTGAATTACACGATGGAAAGACAATTGAGCTTGGAGTTAAAATTAAGCCAGGTCTCAACCATGACATTCAATCCCCATGGGACTTCAGTGAAGTAAATGCATATATCTGGAACAATTTCATTACCCATAAGATGAAAGAGTTTGATCATATTTCAGGATCAGCGTGTGTTTCATTTTGTAGCAGCTTAACTCTCCTAATGAACTCCAATCTCATGCAGAATTTGCATGTTTATGACAGATAAGTAGAAGCTGCTCTACTTGAAGTCTGGGAGTGAACAGAAAACAGACTTCCCTCACCTTGGCTCTTAACCACCTCTGATCTCTGTGATGTCCCAGAACACAGTAAACCACCGGACAAGATGTGAGCATGTTTCTTAATGATTCAGTAATGCTCAAAGTGATGCCAAATGAATTACTCAGGGATAGAGAAGGGATGTACAGCTCAGGCGTAAGTGACAGACACAACCAGGGTTTTTTCCCAGGCCTGCCTGACTCAAAATCCCATGTGTTTCCATCCCTCCACCCACCCATCCATTCACCATCTATCCACCTATTCATTCATTCTCCCATTTACCTTCTCATCTAATTATCCACCCATCTTCTTATCGAGCCATTCATTATTCCACTCATCCATCCATGTGTCAATTCATTTATTGAGCAACTATTTTATTGATTTTCAGGAACTAGGAATATAGCACTGGACAAGCAAGAGCACGTTTCTATCTTTGCCAAGCTTGAGTTCTAGTGATGAAGTTAAGTAAGAAAGTTGGAAGACAGGGAAGAGAGATAAAATGTCGGCTAAAAGGAAGAAAAATAAATCAGGATGAAAGACTAACAGGGTTGCGGGTGTGCTGTTTTACATAAAGAGGTCAGGGGGGCTGGGCGCGGTGGCTCACGCCTGTAATCCCAGCACTTTGGGAGGCTGAGGCAGGCAGATCACTAGGCCAGGAGTTCAACACCAGCCTGGCTAACATAGTGAAACCCCTTCTGTACTAAAAATACAAAAATTAGCCAGGTGTGGTGGTGCATGCCTGTAGTCCCAGCTACTCGGGAGGCTGAGGCAGGAAAATCGCTTGAACCTGGGAGGTGGATGTTGCAGTGAGCCAAGATTGCGCCATTGCACTCCAGCTTGGACAACAAAGTGAGACTTCATCTCAAAAAAAAAAAAAAAAAAAAAAGTCGAGGAGGCTTCTCAGAGGAAGTGACTTTTGAACAGAGTTCTGGAACAATCCGGAGTATGTCCTATGAATAGCAGAAGGAAAAACATCCCAGGCAAAAGAATCTGCAAAGGCCATGAGTTAGGGGTGCTCCATGACATCCATCTGCCCGTGAAAAGAACTGGGCTCAATAACTTGAATGATGCTGAGAGATCATCTGCGAGAAAAGTTTAAGAATGCTTACTTTGCAAGGTTTTCATGAGGATTACATGAGATAATCACTGCTTAGGCATATGTAATGTGTAAAAGGTGCTCAAAGAACAATTGCTGAATAAGGAGAGATAAGTTTGATTCTGCGTTTTCCAGATTCCCTAATCCACAAGTAGCTGCTGAGCATCTATGATATGGAGGCTTCTTGATCAGCCATCCACCTCATTATCTCTTTTGACTATCCAAATTGCTGTAAGAGTTAAGTCCTATTATTGTGAAGTTCATATGGCATATGGGGAAACTGAGGCAAGAAGAATGTTAGGTAACCAGTCCAAGGTCCCAGAAGCAGAGAGGAGAAGCCAGGCTTTGACCTCAAGAATCTGATGCCCGAGCCCCTGGGCTTAACCACGGGCCACTCTGTTTCCCTGAGTGACTTGGCCCAGAGCCGTTGTCATGGAGTTACGGGTCCCAGAGAACGGATTCTGCAAGAGGAATAAGCGGAGTGATGAAGATCAGGTGGGCACCTGTTTCCCAGAGGAGACTTCTCTTCTGATGCCACATTAAGGGGTTGCCCTTTCTCTCTGCTGTCTCCATATGATTTCTTTTTCAATCGATTATTATTTTTGAGACAGAGAGACGCTTTACACAAGAGAAGCAAAGTGAGGAAGCCAAGGAGAGAGAGGGATTCTGCCATCTCAGTGATTCCTGTAGGTGCTTCCAGAACTCTCATCAGACCCTTGGAGCTTCCAGACCCAAACTTCGATGCCATGTGCTCTGGAGCATGCTCCTTAACCAGTCCCACTCCCATCTCTCCCTAACCCCTGCTCCTTCGCTCTCTCTCCTCCAACACTCTCTCTTCCTCTCTCTCTCTCTGTCCCTCTCTTTCTCTCCCTCTCTCTCTTTCCCTGTTCTCTCCCTCTCTCTCTCCCCCTCTCTCTTTTTCTCTTTCTCACCCTCTCTCTCCCCACCTCCTGCTCTCTCTCTCCACCTCCTGCTCTCTCTCTCCCCTCTCTCCCACTCTGTCTCTCCCGCCTTTCTCTTGCATGCTCTCTGTCCCCCTCCTCCTCTCTCTCTCTGTCTCCCTCCCTCCCCTGCTCTTTCTACTACTCTTTCTCTCTCTCCCTCCCTCTCCCTCCCCCCTCCCTCTCCATCCCACTCTTTCTCTCCCACTCCTTCCCTTCCCCCTCTCTTCTTCTCCCTCACTCCCCTCTCTCTCCCCTACTCTTTCTCTTTCCCTTCCCCCCTTTCTCTCTCTCTCCCCTCTGTCTCCCTTTCTCTCTCTCCCCCTCTCCCCCTTCTCTCTCTCTCCCACTCTCTCTTCCTCCCTCTCTCCCTCTTTCTGTCCCCCATATGCTCTCTCTTTCTCTCTCCCTCTTGCTCTGTCTCTCTCTCTTTCTCACAGACACACACACGCACACAACTAGAATAAGCCCCCCTCCTCTCTGCTCCCACATCCCCATATTTCTTCTCTCTTAGCCTCAGCACGGCATCCTCCCTATTGTTAGCTTCCTGGCCTTAGCCGCACTTGCCTAAAATCATTAATGCGTATTAAGTGATTAGAGTCAGGCAGAGCTGGATTAAAGACCCAGCTCTATCATTATTAGTTCTGTAACCTGAAGCAAGTAACTTATCCCTTTCCTGGTCTTCTATTTTTTTTATAGACTTAGGGGTACAGTTGCAGTTTTGTTACATGGATATATTGCCTAGTGGTGAAACCTAAGCTTTTAGTGTAACTATCACCTGAATAGTGTATATCGTACCCATTAAGTAATTTAGCATCCCTCAACCCCTCCCACCCTCCCACCTTTTGTAGTCTCCAGTGTCTATAATTCCTTTCTGTGTGTCTGTGTGTACATATTATTTAGTTCCCGCTTACAAGAGAGAAAATGCAGCATTTGACTTTCTGTTTCTGAGCTATTTTCCTTAGATAATGGTCTATAGCTCCTTCCATTTTGCTGCAAAAGACACGATTTCATTCTTTTGATGGCTGAGTGGTAGTCCATGTTATATGTACCACAGTTTCTTTACCGCATCATCCATTGAGGGGCACTTAGGTTGATTCCATGACTTTTCAATTGTAAACAGTGCTGTGATAAACATACGAGTACAGGCGTGTCTTTGATATAATGATTTCTTTTCCTTTGGGTAGATATCCAGTAGTGGGATTGCTGAATAAAATGGTAGTTCTATTTTTAGTTCTTTGAGTTCTATGAGAAATCTCCATACTGTTTTCCATAGAGGTTGTACTAATTTACATTCCCACAGTATGTAAACATTTTCTTTTCTATGCAGCCTCACCAATATATGTTGTTTTTTTGACTTTTTAATAGTAGCCATTCATTGTGGTTTTAATTTGTATTTATCTGGCCTCATTTTTTAAAAATCTGTAAGTAAGGATAATAATAGTAAATACTTTATAGGATGATTACAAGTATTAAAGGGTTAATCTTATAAAGGTAATAAGCATAATGCCTGGCACACAATTAGCATTCAATAAGGATTACTTGCATGGTTACGAACATTTCCCAGAGTTCAGAGAGTCTGTCCAGCTTGTTCACTATTGTATTCTCAGTGCCTGGCACGATGCCTGTTCCACAGTAAGAGCTTGATTATTATTTATTGAGTGACTTAATGAGCACATGAAAATCAAAATGGAAAAGGTGAAGAAGGAAAGGAGGCATAACTTGTGGTTATACCCTGAGCATGTTCGTTTGGACACATCATTTCCTATAATTCTCACAACAGCCTCATGGAAATAGATCTCATTGTTTTTCATTTTACAAAAGAGAGGGGAAATGACCTGTCCAAATCGCAGAGCTAAATAACAGGGCCTATTTTTTAAACAACCACAGAAGGGCTCCCAAAGTTATTACTGGGAACTCCAGCCCTGGTAAAGTACTAATACTATCATTGAACCACTGGAAAATAGAACTGGGAGACAGGCCAATCCATCTGGAGGATGGAGACTGGTGACCCACCCATAGGGTGAAATTTGGTCAATGGATGAGATTATTTGGTTTGCTTAGTGTTTCCAAAAGTGTTAGGTCTACATATAAAATTTTAGAAATTTCTCATAAAATCTGGACTACAGGCTTTTTTGGAAAATCCAGAAGCTCTCCAAACTCAAGGCTTCTGTTCCTGCATGAAAGCAAAGAGCTGGAGCTGGCTGGCCCCCTTCTGCAGTGCCACAGCCCCCTTCTCCAGCCCCTCACACAGTGTTTGCTGGTGTACAAACAACCAGCCTGCTTCATTGCTCTGTTATCTCTTTGCCACCTTTTGGCATCTAACATCCCCGAGCCAGTTCAACATTTTCAATCTAAAGGTGGGACTACTGAAGCTCAGAGAAGAAAAGTGGCTTGCCTGAGGCCACAGGCTTAGTGATAGGATCTGGAATTTTAATTCTCCTTCTCCAATGATCTTTACATAAATGCTTCATGAATGTGTCCAGGAAAGCTTCTGGATTCAATATGCCATGCCTGGAAATGCCCACAAATTAAAATGACTGCTACAGAGTCCATTTCCAAGAGGAATAGTCAGTGTCTATTCTTAAGGGTGCAAGGCAAAAGAAAAAAGAATCTGCCGGGCGCGGTGGTTCACGCCTGTAATCCCAGCACTTTAGGAGGCAGAGGCAGGCGGATCACGAGGTCAGATCAAGACCATCCTGGCTAACACGGTGAAACCCCGTCTCTACTAAAAATACGAAAAAATTAGCCGGGCGTGGTGGCGGGCGCCTGTAGTCCCAGCTACTCCGGAGGCTGAGGCAGGAGAATGGCGTGAACCTGGGAGGCGGAGCTTGCAGTGAGCCGAGATCGCGCCACTGCACTCCAGCCTGGGCGACAGAGCAAGACTCCGTCCCAAAAAAAAAAAAAAAAAAGAAAAGAAAATAATCGTGACAACCACAGGAGGTAGGAGCTGAGACAGGAGACCTCCAAAATCAGTTTGTGCCCCATCCCCACTCCCAACTGGTTCATTGTCATTCAGAAAGCTAGTTAGATACCTGGCGTGGTGTTCCAAGATTAGAGACCCTCCTGCTGTTACAGAATCAGAAATTGTTAGCCAGTATTTACGTTTCCCTCTAGAAGCCTCAAGATGTTTCTGGGGCATGCCCAACCATGGGATTCTTCTGCCTCTGTGATGGCAGAGAATCAGGAGGCCAGAGACCACATTCAGTGGCTCAGTTCCTTTTGTGATATGTTGCACTTGTCATATCTTCAAAGCCCAGCATCTTAGTTTAGTGACACAGCATTCTAGAAGCACAAATGTAGAAATGTAGAAAATCTCAAATAATGAATGAGCTTTTTGGACAAGGTTAGTCAACCCTAGAAAGTAAGATAGAGAAAAGTAGTGCAAAGCAAACAAGCTCTTTGGGCTAAATAAGGAGCGAGCGAGGGTCTCTCCTGTGGTATCAGATGTTGTCCCACTCTAGGTACCGTCTGCCAGAGTTGCACCAGAAGTGTCAGCAGGTAAGAAATTTCATGTATTGGCAACCCCCGTAGGGTGTGTGTGTGTGTGTGTGTGTGTGTATGTGTGACAGTCCTGAAGCACAGTGTGATTTCTCATGCACAATCGATCCTTCTCCTGCTACATAAACACCCTTACATCTAATAGTGCTCCCATCTGTGAAAGGCCAGTATGCAAGAAAGTGATTTGTTTATCCTACTAAGAGTAAGCAGGAAACAATATATATTGTTGTCTTAGAGAAAAGGGAAAAACAAATCAGATTTGTGCATTGAAAGTCAGTGATTACACTGGCGATGACCATAGTACAATAAGTATAAACTTGATTATTTCTAGAGGCTCATTTTCTTGGTGTTGTTTGTACTTAAACTGATATTGTGAGTGGAGAGAGGGAGCCCTCCCTCCGTGATATTTATGCTTTCAAGCCTATTTGCTCAGGATGTATCCGTGCCTATGGATGAAGTCCAAGCTCTCCAGCAGAGTCTGGCCCCTGCTGTCTTCTCTAGCCTCATCCAAAGGCAGTGCTTCTTCCAGCACCGCCCTGTAGCATACACAATGGCCACGCCAACCTCCTCACAGATCCCCACATACTTCGTACTCACTCACATGTCCCAACATGAGCACATGCTGTTTCCTCTGCCTGGAACAATCCATTAACCACGCGTGTGGAAAATGATTTTTTTTTTTTTTTTGAGATGGAGTCTCACTCTGTCACCCAGGCTGGAGTGCAGTGGCGCGGTCTTGGCTCACCGCAACCTCCGCCTCCTCGATGCAAGTGATTCTCCTGCCTCAGCCTCTCAAGTAGCTGGGATTACAGGCAGCTGCCACCACATCCAGCTAATTTTTGTACTTTTGGTAGAGATGGGGTTTCACCATGTTGGCCAGGCTGGTCTTGAACTCCTGACCTCAAATGATCAGCCTGCCTCGGCCTCCCAAAGTTCTGGGATTGCAGGCGTGAGCCACTGTGTCCGTGTGGAAAATGGATTTATACTTGAGTAAAGGTCCAATAATAACCCATAACCTCATCCCCTGACTTCTCAGCAGAGTTCACGACCCTTCCTCTTTCTTTCTGGTGGCTTTTGGATGTCTGCCTCATAGTACTTATCCTGTCCTATTGGAATAATCTGTTTATGTGCCTGTCACCTGCAGTCAGCTGTAAACATCTCTCAGGTAAGAATAGCTTCTGCATTTCTGCATCGCCAGCACCTAATACGAAGTAAAAGAAGCACACACATCAATGTTTGAAAAATGTATGCTGAATTGTGTTAATAAATGAATTAGTAAAAATCTTAGAATCTCATATTGGCTTGCTATTTTATTGATGAAAGATTCTAATGATGGGCCACTTTGAAGTGCCTCTTCTAAAAATCACATGCCCCCACCTCTCTTTTAAAAGCTGGCCTGGACCTTCCAGAGAAGTTGGGTTGGTGCAAAAGTAATTGCGGTTTTTGTATTGTTTAAATTTGACATTCGATATTGGAATACATTCTTAATAAATGTGGTGATGTTATGCATCATTAAATGCACATGTCTCCCTCTATGTTTTTTGCTAATGACTTATTACTTGCTGTTTACTTTATGTTTATTTTAGACTATGGAAGTGATATTAGACAAAAAACAAATTTGACCAATTTTCTTATTCGAGTTCAAAACAGGTCATAAAGCAACAGAGACAATTTGCAACATCAACAATACATTAGGGCCAGGAGCTGCTACCAAACGCACAGTGCAGAGATGGTTCAAGAAGTTTTGCAAAGGACACAAAAGCCTTGAAGATGAGGAGCATAGTGGCCGGCCATCAGAAGTTGACAATGACCAATGGAGAGCAATCATCGAAACTGATCCTCTTACAACTACATAAGAAGTTGCTGAAGAACTCAACATCGACCATTCTAAGTCATTCAGCATTTGAAGCAACTTAGAAATGTGAAAAAGTTCAATAAGTGGGTGCCTCATGAGCTGAGCAAAAATAAAAACAAATCGTCATTTTGAAATGTCGTCTTCTCTTATTCTACGCAACAACGAACCATTTCTCAATCAGATTGTGACATGCAATGAAAAGTGGATGTCATATGACAACTGAAGACGACCAGCTCAATGGTTGAACTGAGAAGAAGCTCCAAAGCACTTTGCACCTTGCTGTTTGCTGGTCTGCTGCCGGTCTGATCCACTACCGCTTTCTGAATCCCGGGGAAACGATTACATCTGAGAAGTATGCTCAGCAAATCAATGAGATGCACTGAAAACTGCAAGGCCTGCAGCGGCATTGCTCAACAGATAGGGGCCAATTCTTCTCCTCAACAACACCTGACCACACGTTGCACAACCAATGCTTCAAATGTTGAACAAATTCGGCTATGAGTTTCCACTTGAGTGGAACAGTAGATGGGAGGAAAGGCATGAACCACACAGGATTATCTTTGTTGTTCACTTAGCTAATGCTTTTGAGTTCCTGCCATGTACCAGTCACCATGCTAAGACATAGAGATGCAGCAACAAATAAAACAGACCAAGTTCCCTTCCTCACGTATCTTAAGATCCAAGTGCAGGGATGGGATCAGCAAACTAGAACACGTGCCAAAGCTGCCCCACATCTGTTTTTGTAAATAAAATTTTATTGGGAAACAACCACACAAATTCATTTACACATCATCTATGACTGCTTTTTCTCTACAGCAGCAGAGTTGAGTCATTGTGATGACATTGTGTGGTCCACAAAGCCGAAAATATTTGCCAGTCTGGCTCTTTATGGAAAAAGTACCTTGGTTTCATGTCTTGTGGAAAATGCACACAATAAATAATTAAATATGGCCAGGCACAGTGGCTTATGCCTGTAATTTCAGCACTTTGGGAGGCCGAGGCAGGTGGATCACCTGAGGTCAGGAGTTCGAGACCAGCCTGGCCAACATGGTGAAACCCCATCTCTACTAAAACTACAAAAATTAGCCAGGCATGGTTGTGGGTGCCTGTAATCACAGCTACTCAGGATGCTGAGGCAGGAGAATCACTTGAACCCAGGAGATGGAAGTTGCAGTGACCCGAGATCATGCCATTGCACTCCAGCCTGGGAAACAAGAGCGAAACTCCATCTCAAAAAAATAAAATGAAATAAAATTAATAATTAAATACGTTAATGACCCAGCTTATTCCTGTATTCCTGTGTGATATTTCTGTAAGACCACGTAATATAGAGTAATGAAGGGTAGGGCTGGTGACCTTAAGATGATCAGGTGAGTCTCTCTTAGAAAGTGATATTTTGACTGCAACAGGTAGTATAGGACAAATGCCCTAATGTAGGAAAGAGTCAGGACCCAAATGAAGCTAGAGTAGCCAGCTAGATTCATGGGGAGAGGGCACCATCTGCCATACAGGCAGGATTCCATCTATGCAGGGCTTTGCAGGGCATGGGAAAAGGGTTGGGTTTTAATTTTATTGCAACAAGAAATCCTTGAAGTCAAGAACTGAACTGACCACTGTAGCTCCAGTGCACAGAATGGATTATCTGGTGCAAAAATGCAAGTAATGCAATCAAGTGACTGCACTCAGTCCAGGTGTGGCGAAGATGGGCTATGCATGTGCCGAAACTTTTACCACTTTTGCAGGGGTAGGAAAAGTGGGAAGGTAGAGGATATAGTAAGGTAGTATTTCTAGATTCTCTCACAGTTAGGTGTGGCCACTTGGCTAAGTTTTAACCCATGAAAAATGAACATAAATCGTATACCCCTGCCAGGCCTGATCCATAAAACCTCACTGCATTTTCCTCCTCCAGGCAGATGAGCAATCTTTAAAGCCGTATTCCAAAGATGGTGAGGTCACAGCTACAGAAGACCAGAACTCTGGATTGCCATTTGAAAGAGAGTTTCCCACTCATTGGGAGCACGCGTTTTGAACTTTACATAAGAGTGATATAAACATTTATGATATTTGAGTCGTTATACGTTTTTGGGTTTGTTTGTTACAGCATTATTTTGACTGTGGTCACTGATAGCTCAGACTAGGGTTGTGGTTGTAGAAACTTGATTACCCAGCAGCTATGGGTGTGCCAAGATGGCTTAGGGTCCTGGGTAAAGGTCAACATCTCTCTTACTTTTTGCAACCTTTTGCAGGAGCTAAACACCATTCAGCACTTAGCTGGCCCTTTCTGGGCTCTGCTAGTCCTCTTGGATATCTGCCTACCCCAGTGCTTCTGGCTTTTATGCCCCCCAGAACTTTCCTGCTCCCCAGGGACTGTCTGTTTGATTCCAGTTGCCTGGGCAGCTTTACCTCGTGCATAATGATGTTCCATAGCCCATGTTTTATTTCTTGGGTTTTCAATCCTTTCATAAAAAATGCATGCTGGATGAAAGGTTTTACATACCAAACAGGCCAGAGATTTAGGGCGGCTAGCTTAGTGATTCAAAATCGTTCCTTTTCTTTTTTTTAATTTTTATTACAATTGCTCTGAAAGAAATCTCTATCGCTTGATATTAACAAATGTAGCCACCGAAGCAGATGCACATACCCACAAACACCAGGAGAATTAATTACCTACAGTTAGATCCGTTTCATCCTTTTTTTCCCAAAGCAATGCTGCAAAGACAAGAGCTTTATTGCAGTCAGCCACTAGCCTCGAGCCTTCTATTTCTGCACCCGAGCCCACCAGGCAATGGAGATGACAAGAAAACTTCATGGGGGAGACCCCTGGGTATACTCTTCTGGCTAGATATGTCCTGGAGTGACAGTTATCTTCTAATTTAACTAAAATCTGAAATCTGAGAGGTGTAAATTCTAACAGTAAAACTAATAGCACCTCACATATAGGTAAAGCTCTTTGCTTACAAAAGTGCTCACACATCTGTTAGCTCCAATGGCTTCTGCAAGGGAGGGAATAAGGCATCTGAAATTGCTGCCATACCTTGGTTGCAATAATATTAGCTATCATTTTGTGCACTTCTTATGTGCTAAGCACTGTTTTTAACACCATACATACATTAACTCATTTAATGCTCATAACATCCCAATGGTCTCGTTATCTTTACATTAAAGAAGAAGAGACTGAAGAATAGAGAGACAAAATAGCTTGCCCAAGGAAACCAATCTAGTAAGCAGTGGAGCAGGGATTTGAACTCAGGAGGTCTAAATTCAGAGCCCATGGTCTTAGGCACTATACTGTTTTGGAAAACTCTGGATTTGGAGTTAAGATGTTCAAATTCTAGCCAAAATTATTTCATTAATAAAATAAGTTTCTTAGTCTGGGCAAAATTTGTCTGATTTTCTTAAACATAGCATCCTCCTTTTCTTATTGTAATAGACTGTTAAATGAATCTATAGCTTTGTTCACACCTCCTTGCATCCGTGCCCCTGGGTTGGCCCCTCCCACCTTGGCACTGAGCTTGGTCATGTGACTTGTTTTGGCCAGTAGGACAATAACAAAGGTGATTCTGTCATAAACTTAAAAACACTTGTGCAATGAGAATTGTCCTCTCATGCTGCTCTTGGGAACCCTGTGACCATGATGTGAATGGCTCTAGATGAGCTAAGAGCCACTACACAATAAGACACACATAGTAATCACCCCAGCTCAGGTAGAAACAACCTCCAGAGATGTGAATCAGATCATGCTAGTTCATTCAGTCCTAGTAGAGCCACCAGTCTTTCAAGATCAGAAGAACCCTTAAGACAACCCACAAAATAGTAACACAAAATAAATGTTTGTTATTTAAAGTCACTAAGTTTTGGGGTGGTTTTTTATGGATGGATGGATGAATGGATGTGTCAATGGATGTGTGGGTGGATGAATGTGTGGGTGGATGAATGATGGATGGATGTGTAGGTGAATGGGCGGGTGAATAATTCAATGGATGGATGGATATGTGGATAGCTGTGTGAGTTGATATGTGGGTAGATGGATAGATATGTGGGTGGGTGGATGGATATGTGGGTGGATGGATGGATGTATGTGTGTGTGGGGTGGATGGATAAATGGATGGATGGATGGATGGATGAATGTATGAGTAGATGGATGGATAGATGGATGGATGTGTGGGTGGGTATGTGGAGGAGAGTGGATGGATGGTTGGATGAATGAAAGAATGTGTTGGGGGGATGAATGAATGGATGGATAGATGGATGGATGAATGTGTGGATGGATATGTGGAGGTGAGTGCATAGGTGAATGAATGTGTCCGTAGATGGACAGATATATGGATGTGTAAGTGGAAGGATAGATAGATGTGTAAGAGGGAGTGAATGGATGATGGATGGATGAAAGTGTGAAGGGAGTGGCTGGATGATGAATGTGTGGGTAGATGGATGGATGGATGAATGGATGGGTGTGTGGGTGAGTGGGTAGGTGGATGAATGAATGATGGGCAGATGGATGGATGTGTGTATGGATGGCTGAGTGGAAGGATGGATGGATGGATGGATGGATGGGTAGGAGGACAGAATTGATCATGGATGGACGGATGTGTAGGAGGACAGAATGGATCATGGATCGATGGATGTGGTGGGAAGTGGATGAATGGATGGGTTGCTAGATATGTGGGTGGATGGATGGATGGATTGATGGATGTGTGGGTGGATAGGTGGCTGGTTGGCTGGAAGTGTACATGGGTGGATGGATACATGGATAACTTGATCAATTAACCTATCAATTGGTCAACCAATCACTTAAATAAATATAGAGAAAAGATGGAAGAGAATAAAGCTCAGGCAAAGTAACCAACGCTAAGGCTATTGCAGTAGATGTAGTGGTGAGAATCAGATATTAGAGATATTGAGAGGTATTTACAACTGCACTTAGTAGCCAGTTGAATATGGAGGAACAGAGAATCAAAGAAATGACTCCTAAGTTTCTGGCTTAGGTGATGGGGGTTGGTGGAGTCATTAACTAAAAAAGGAAACTAGAATAAGGAGAATGTTTTCTTGTAGCCCCCCATCCACAGTCACATAGATTGCCATCTTAAACATAGTGCCATGACTTGTACCTGGAATTTTCAGGGGTCCTCCCTATTGTGATCCCTCTAGGATTCTCCTTAACATCCAGCACAGCACTAGGAGTCGAGGGAGTTCTAGAGAATTCTTGCTGAACAATACCTCAAGAGTACGTCTTCATGACCAAAATGTCACAACAGGGACATAGAACACTCTTGGCTGAGTCAGGACAGAATCCTGTCCACAGGCACCCCAAGGCAGCAATGACCAACACATGTCCTGCCCAGCTATGACCAGGGACAAACAGCCCAGATTTTTTCTTAACAATCCAGTGCCCACTGTGAACAAAGAGATGCCAAGGCCATGAGCATCAATCTTATGTAAGGCAACCCCTTTAGAGAGATGCACTGCAGTTCAGTGGTCCAGAGAGAGAGAAAAATGCATATACCACTGTGAAAATGCTTCCAATAGCTCTTCATAATATTTTTAAAAATTAAGATAAAAATAACTTTTCATAAAGTTAAATTTATTAAAAATGTAAAGGAATGACCTTTATTCTGAGATTATGCCTTTCCTCCTTTTTTATGTGAGGATGTCTCTCCTGTATGAACTGATGATAATAAATGGTAGTTCTTGTATCTTTCTAATGACCTATTCAACAATATCAGAAATCAGTAACTTTATGTGAATTCTGGTTTTGTGTTTAATTTTAATGACAGTGGTACAGTAATAGTCAATAGATGCTGGTCATTAACCAGACACTGTCCCAAATGCTTAATGTGTAATAACAAATTTGATGTTCAGAACCACCCTATGAAGTGGGTGCTTTTATTATTTCTACTTTCACATGAGCAAAATGAGACCAGAGATGTTTAATGAGTTGCCTGAGGTCATATAAATGTAGGTTTCAGACTCTGTATTACTTGTGCAACTTGGCGAGGCTGTTCCAGTTAGTCCACTCATTCCCTCACATATTCATTCAACTAGTACTTACTGAACACCACCCATGTGCCTGGTGCTGTGCCAGGCATTGGAGATGGCACAGCAAACAAGACAGACAGGGTGTCTGCCTTCCTGTACTTACAGTATACCAGGAAAGACACAAAGCAATCACTTTGGCTCACAGCTCCAATAGGGACCAAAGATGCTACTGGGACATGGTCATATGAGGTGGACCTTCTATTGGGAGGATCAAATAAGTTAAAGGTTTTTCCTTTCAAAGGCTCACTTGAAAAATACCTCTTTTTTTCCTCTAGAGGATCTCCTTTTTTTTTCTCCTTATTGAAACTCACATTGCTAATAAAGACATATCCAAGACTGGGTAATTCATAAAGAAAAAGAGGTTTAATAGACTCACAATTCCACGTGGTTGGGTCGGCCTCACAGTCATGGCAGAAGGCAAGGGAGGAGCAAAGGCACATCTTCCATGGCAGCACGCAAGTGTATGTGCAGGAGAGCTCCCCTTTATAAAACCATCAGATCTCCTGAGACTTATTCACCACCACGAGAACAGGATGGGAAACACCTGCCCCCATGATTCAATTACCTCCCACTGAGTCCCTCCCATGACATGTGGGAATTATAGGAGCTACAATTCAAGGTGAGATTTGGGTGGGGACACGGCCAAACCATAACACCATAAATTTAGGATTTGTGCAAGAACAGCCTTCACTAACTCAAATAAAAAAAAAAAAAACAAGTCAGGCTGGGCTCGGTGGCTCACGCCTGTAATCCCAGCACTTTGGGAGGCCAAGACAGGCAGATCATGAGGTCAGGAGATCAAGGCCATCCTGGCTAACACGCTGAAACCCCGTCTCTACTAAAAAAATACAAAAAAAAATTAGCCGGGCGTGGTGTCGGGTGCTTGTAGTCCCAGCTACTCTGGAGGCTGAGGCAGGAGAATGGCATGAACCAAGATTGTGCCACTGCACTCCAGCCTGGGAGACAGAGTGAGACTCCATAAAAAAAAAAAAAAGAAAAAGAAAATCACTTGAAGCCAGGAGGTGCGGGTTGCATGAGTTGAGATTGTGCCATCGCACTCCAGCCTGGGTGACAGGAGCGAAACTCAAAAAAATAAGAAGAATAAAAAAATCAGACCAAAAAATAGAAAGAGGCCAGGGAAGACTGTTCAGTCTCCCTCTAACCTAGGATGAAGGAGTCCTGACAGCTTATACCTGAAGAAGGAGAACACAATTTCTCCGCACCTTCCACCTCATGCCAATGAGATCAAATCCAATTCAGGGACTGTGCAAAAGGGAGCAAAAATCACAAACAGACTTGTCAAACATGAACTGCTCTCAAAACCCACTATGTATCAGAATCTCCTGATGGAGGTGGATTTAAAAACACGGATTATAACTCAATAATTCTAAACTGTCTCTCTGACATCTGCATTTTTAACATTCTCCCAAGGTAGTTCTTATGCACTCCAAAGTTTGAGAACTAGTAGTGTCTGTCTCTGTTCTTTCCTGCTTCATGCCTCCATGCCAAGGTCTCTCTCACTTCACCTTCCCCTGTGCACATGTAATGGTGCCCTCATTTCAAGCATGGGGGCCAGCTGGTGACTGCATTGGGATTTGGGTTTAGGAGGAAGTAGAAACTCTCACAGTTCTTTAGAAGGTGCTATTTTCTCTATTATCCCAGCTATTCCTGAGACCCTCCCATCAGGTGTGGTCCATTGGGCCCTCTAATAGCAAGGTGATGCCTTGTTTGCTGTTGAGATCACTCAATTGCCTCTCAGCATTCCATGTATAATAACCTCTCAGCATTCCATGTAAGGAAGCAATGTGATTGTGAGTGCAAGAGCGAGACAGCCCTGGACTCTAGCTGAATTCTATCACAGCTCCTATTACTTCCGATAGCACTATCTGGCCCAGGTCACCAGGTAACCAGCACATGGGCTCTGTGAAATACAGATCATGCCCCTCCCGGAATTAGCAAGGGTGTCATTTGCAGGGAACAGCAGATTAGAAGTGGTAATTCTAAACCTGTGCCAAGATCTTTCTCCATCTCTAGTGTGCTAACATTTGGTGTAGTTCAGCAGATGGGAGGGCTAGATTTGGGCACACATCTGTGTCCTAGACAAAGCTGCTTGGAAAGAGAGCCTAGATCCAGATTGAGAGATCTCATTCACTGAATGTGGTATGATAATCTGTATTCCTTTCTAAGGCCGGCTGAGGTTCACTTCAATCTGGCCAGGACTGCTTGGCTGATGGGTTGGAGGCAGAAGTTTGGGGTACGACATGGAATTTCCGGACTCTGGTTCTCCTCTTCCTTATCCTTTTTCTTGCTTTATTCACACCTTAGAAGTCAACATACTAATAAACCCTATTCAGGATGGTGGAGTTGGGTGACCCTACTACCAGAGGGTACATTCAAGGACATAGGGTGGAATACTTTATAAATCAGCTAATAAATAGAAATAAGAGGGTATTATTGTAGAGAGAATATCTTGGTCTACTGGATTGAACCTCAGTGTCCACATCTGTAAAGTAGAACCAATACGACCTAGTACAAAGTGCTTCGGACAAGCCACAGGTGGCACCTTGATATTGTGTGTCTGGTTGTTGTTAAAATTGCAGCAGAGTTCTCTCAAGCCCAAGGACTGAAAACAAATTAAAAGGCAAGTTCTTGGCCGGGCGTGGTGGTTCACGCATGGGATCCCAGCACTTCGGAGGCAGAGGCGGGCAGATCACCTGAGGTTAGGAGTTCGAGACCAGACTGGCCAACTTGATGAAACCCCATCTCTACTAAAAATAGGAAAATTATCTGGGGGTTGTGGTGGGTGCTTGTAATCCCAGCTACTCGGGAGGCTGAGACAGGAGAATCACTTGAACCCGGGAGGCAGAGGTTGCAGTGACCTGAGCCAGGGGTGACAAGAGTGAAACTCCATTTAAAAATAAAAGGCAAGTTCTTGTACCACTCTGCCTCTATAAAACAGGTTTTCTTTACCAAGGACCTGGAGAAAAAGAGTTAACAGGAAGGAAGGCTTCAGGGTTAGTAGGAAAATAGAAAACTATGTTTTGGGCTTTGAAATGAGAACCTCTAATGAATGAGATAGACTTCTAAAAAAAAGGACTTTAACTTGTAGTTAGGGCAGAAACAGTAGGAAAGAAATATAAAAGGAAAAGTAGATGAGGCAGAACCTCATAGGCTCCTGTAAACAGCCTTAGCCCTGCATGGGGGAGAGAAAGTCTGAAGCTGATGTGAGAGGCATCTTTTCATTTTGAAATCCTGACGGGGTCCACATGAAAGAAGTAGGTGAATGCCAGAGGGATATGGAAATGGAAGGTTAGAATAATGTGCTAGTCCATTTTGCATTGATAGAAATACCTGAGAGTGGATAATTTTTAAAGAGCTATATTTGGCTCATGGTTCTGTAGGCTGTACAAGAAGCAAGGTGCCAGCATTGGCTTCTGGTGAGGCCTCAGGAAGCTTCCACTCATGGTGAAAGGGAAGAGGAGCCGGCATGTCACATGGCTAGACAGGGAGCAAGAGAGAGAGGAAGAGGTGCCAGGATCTTTAACAACCAGCTCTCCTGTGAACTTATAGAGTGAGAACCCGCTGTTTACCACAGGGAGGGCACCAAGGAGTTCAGGAGGGATCCACCCCCATGACCAAAACACCTCCCTCTAAGCCCCACCTCCCGCATTGGGGATCACATTTCAACATGGGATTTGGAAGGGACAAATAGCCAAACCATATCAAAGAAGTTGAGAAAGTCTTCAGTGCAATAGGAAAAGTGATGGCCGCAAAAGGAGTTTATGCTCACACCTAAGTAAGAAGAGTTGCCAGAAGCCTGAGAAATTCAACAGCGAAGAGACACAATGTTTCAGGTAGAAGCATGTGACACAGAAAATTGGCTTTCCTGACATCGAAGGAGGTACACATGTGGGAAGTATCACCCAACAGGAGCCCCATTGCTGAAATCTGAGAAACTTGAGACCAGGACCTTGGACAGAGCTCACATGAGCCCAGAGGACAGAGGGAAATAAAGGCATCTTAAATATGAAAAAGGGCCCGGCAAGGTGGCTCAAGCCTATAATCCCAGCACTTTGGGAGGCCGAGGTGGGTGTATCACGAGGTCAGGAGTTCGAAGCCAGCCTGGCCAACATAGAGACATCCCGTCTCTATTAAAAATACAAAAAATTAGCTGGGCGTGGGGTCGGGGGCCTGTAATCCCAGCTACTGGGAGGCTGAGGAGAGTCACTTGAACCTGGGAGGCAGAGGTTGCAGTGAGCCGAGACCACACCAGTGCACTCCAGCCCGGGCGACAGTGCAAGACTCCAAAAAAAAAGTACGATATGTGAAATAGAGGCCAACAGAAAGACGCAAAATTGGAGGCATCCCCACTGCACAGTTTCAAACTCGGCTAGAAAAATAACTACCTAAAGCTAATATTTACTGAGCACTTACTGAGTAGTAGGCACTCCTGTAAACTCTTACATGGTTCATCTCATTTCATCTCTAAGAGTATACAAATTACACATTTCAATAGAAAAGGCAATGGGGTGGTGAAAATTCTCTCTGAGATTTGACAAGTATGATGTCACAACCAACTTTTGGGTTGGAGCTGTTTAATTGGGCTTTAGGATTACAAGACTGCAGATGACGCTGGACAATTGACCTGAATGTACTAAAACTGAAATGTCATTCCCTTTTTATTTACTCTGATTTCCATCTATGCTTGCTGCTCTCAAATAAAAATGAGACTTTTTTATAGTCTAAGGCTGGTTGCAGCAACCAGATGGAGATTGTAAGAACCATTTGGACTCTGCCTGAAAATATCTCCCCTTTTTTTGAGATGAATACTATTTTACAAAAAGAAAAAAAAACTTGTGTTCACCCTATGGTTCTGATAGCTCCAAATATTTGGAAAGATGGGATACATGAGAGACATTTGTTTTGAAGTGTCTGACTTCGAGAGACTAAAGGAACAATAGCAGCTCAAAGGGAGACAGTATAGATTCCAGCTGCATAATAAGGCAATCAGAATATTATGAGATACCAGAGTGAGGCATCTTTGACTGTAACAAAGCAAAATAAGAAGGTTATGGAGTAAGAGAAAATAATTTTGTATTTTTTATCTCTTATGCTTCTCTGGAAACATAAGACTGACTTGGAAAAGGAAGAAATGGATCGTGTCAGCTTTAATAAAATAAAATTTTGAAAGCATTTTATATTGCCAATATCCAGTTATAATTGGACAATTTTATTATTTCAAGAACACTATGTAATCCTCTCTGGAGAACTTGTGTAAATATATAACTAAGCATAATTTTTACAAACAAAGTGGACCATTAGTTTTACCTTGAGATGCAGGGTAGAATCCCCTGGAAATTTTTCCCAAAATTAAAAAGAAGTTAAAATCCAAATACGTTTTAGGGCTCTGTATTAGTCAGAGTTCTCTAGAGGGCCAGGACTGATGGGATAGATGCATATATGAAGAGGAGTTTATTAAGGAATATTTACTCACACGATCACAAGGTGAAGTCCCACAATAGAACATCTGCAAGCTGAGGGGTAAGGAAGCCAGTCCAAGTCCCCAAACCTGAAAAGTAGGGAAGCTGATAGTGCAGCCTTCAGTCTGTGGCTGATAGCCTGATAGCCCAGAGCCCCTGACAAACCACTGGTGTAGGCCCAAGAGTCCAAAAGCTGAAGATCTTGGAGTCTGATGATGTTCAAGGGCAGGAAGCATCCAGCACAGGAGAAAGAGGGAGGCCAGAAGACTCATCCAGTGTAGTCCTTCCACGTTCCTCTGCCTGCTTTTATCCTAGCCACGCTGGCAGCTGATTTTTGGAAGGATTAAATAAGATGATGTATGAATGGATGTAGAAAGCTGCCTCACATTCTATGCAGGCTGGGTCTATGTCTCCCATTCCACTGTCTCAAATGTTAATCTCCTTTGGGGACACCCTCTCAAACACACCCAGGAACATTATTGACATCTTTCAATCTAATCAAGTTTACACTCAATATTCACTATCACAGGCTCTATATGGCCCAGTCTTGACATGAGATCGCATTTAGAGAATAATAGTTGCCATTTGTTGCATGCTTACATTATGCAAGACAGCATTCTATGTTCATTCATCCATCATCTCATTTAATCTTTACAAAAGCTCTTGTGAGACGGGCCCTGTTATTAGACCTTGTCCAAGTCACCTGCTACCCCTTGGCTGAGTTACTATAATGATCTCCTAACTGGTCTCCTTCATTTTACTCATGAATTCCTGCAATTGTTTCTGACATGCCACATTGAGAGGGATCCATTTAAAACACAAATTATATAAAGTTTCTCCTCGGCTTAAAACCCTCCCATGGCTCCCAATTGCACTCAGCATAAAAGCCAAATTTCTTATTTTGGCGTACAAATTCCTGTCTGACCTAATACTCTGTTAACCGTCTGACCTCACCACTGCACGAAAGGGCTGGGTGTGGTGGTTCATGGTACTGCAGGCTGTACAAACCTGCTGGCTGTCCTCCTTGCTCACTTCCTCCCAGCCATGCTGGCATCATTGTTCCTTGGATATGCACTCTCCTGAAGCCAATTTGGCTTTCATTTGCTCAAATGTCACATTCTTAATGAAGCCTACTCTAATTACTCTATTTCAAATTGCATTCCACCCACCAGGTTTCCCCATCTCCTCTCCCCTGTTCCATTTCGACACAACACTTTTAATTTATTTATTTATTTTTTGTATTTGTTTCTCATTGTCTGTCTCCTCATATAAAAATGCAATTCCCCAGAGAAAATAGATTTGAGTTTGCTTTATTCACTGGTGTTGACCAAGTGCCTAAAAAACAGTGCCTGGCACATATGGACACCGATAATCATTTGTAGAAAAAAATGTAATAATTCCAGTTTTAAAATGAGGAAACTGTGAAACTGTGGCATGGAAAAATTAAAGAACTCACCCAAGGTCAAAGCCCAGGTAGCTTGGCCAATAGAGCCAATGCACTTATGTCCTCCAAAAAATGCAATTCATTAGCCAAAATGTGAGTTAAAGGTGACTTCTGTCAGAAATTCCCTTCACTCCATAACCTTTTCACCATAGATTCCTGTCTTTTCTCTCTCTCACATAGATGGAGATCAATGTCTTACAGAAATAGAGAGAGAGAGAGAGGGAGAGAGGTATGATAGACAGATAGATAGATAGATAGATAGATGATAGATAGATAGATAGATGATAGATAGATAGATAGATAGATAGATAGATGATAGATAGATAGATAAATAGATAGATAGATAGATAGACAGACAGACAGATAGATGACATTGATAGGGATAAACCCACAAGAGAAATTCTTGGCTCCTTTATAATTACTCTCATTTACACAAAATAACCCAGAATCTCCAGTGAGAGGGAGCTGGAGGCTGAGAATAAATGAGGAGTTATCAATGTTAGAATACTGACTGGGGCAAAGATTAAGCTATTAATACCAACACATTTAAAAGTGTGGGCTGGGTGTGGTGGCTCATGCCTGTAATCCCAGCACTTTGGGAGGCTGAGGCAGGTGAATCACAAGGTCAAGAGATCCAGACTATCCTGGCCAACATGGCAAAACCCCGTCTCTACTAAAAATACAAAAATTAGCTGGGGGTGGTGGTGCGCACCTGTAGTCCCAGCTACTCAGGAGGCTGAGGCAGGATAATTGCTTGAACTGGGAGGGGGAGGTTGCAGTGAGCTGAGATTGTGCCACTGCACTCCAGCCTGGCGACAGAGCAAGACTCCGTTTCAAAAAAAAAAGTGTGTTCTTTTGCAGGTATACCCTATTCCAGTTCTGATTTAGTAGATCTGATTTAGTAGACGAGGTCCACCAGTTTTTTGTTTTTTTTTTTCAAACTTCACAGGTGAGTCTTAAGTGCACCTCTTGTTAGGAAGCCCTGGAGAGGGTGTGTCCTCTTATTCTACTCTATAGTAACGGTGGAGTGGACTTGGTTGAAACAATGGACTGGTGCCTTTTTAAAGACTTCTTCAGACAAAGTCACAAAAGTAACTGAACACTCATCTGATTGCCATGTTTTTAGAATCAGTTGTAAAGATTGGAGAAGAACCCTACAAAAAGGCATGGCTTTTCTAGGACTCCATCACCCTCCTCCTTTGAGGAAGCAGCAACACACCTGACTCTTCACAGCCCTGGATGATAAGAACATACTGTTCATAGAAGCAGATTTGCAGCCCTCTCCTCCTCTCAAGCCCACACCAAGAAGAATGGAGGCTCTTTTGTGGATTAAAGATCCAACTGGATCATGGCCCGAGAATGTAAAGTCTTCAATTAAACACTTTGTGTCCTGTGCAGAATGCAATTCCCCAGAGAAAATAGATTTGAGTTTGAGTCTGACTTTCCCCCTGCAGTTTGCTTCTCTGTCATGCCAACATGTCCATCAGCTGCTGCTTCTAGGAGAAAAAAGCTCACCTTCCTCCTCCACTTTAAAATGCCAACAACAAGTAGATAAGCTTCAGAGTAATGGAAATCTGGGACCAGCCACCTAGATTCTCAAGACATTTTTCTGCCCCCACAACTTGAGATTTCATTCCTGTGCTGTGCTCTCACAGTTCTATGCAGACCAGAATAATTAGGTGTTAACCATGTAGCGCGTATTAGTCCATTCTCACACTGCTAATAAAGACATACCTGAGACTGGGTCATTTATAAAGGAAAGAGGTTTAATGGACTCACAGTTCCACCTGGCTGGGGAGGCCTCACAATCATGGTGGAAGGTAAATGAGGAGCAAAGCCATGTCTTACATGGCAGCAGGCAAGAGAGCTTGTGCAGGGGAACTCTCCTTTATAAAACCATCAGATAGTATGAGATTTATTCACTACCATCAGAACAGTATGGGGAAAACCACCCCCATGATTCAATTATCTCCACTTGGCTCCACCCTTGACATGTGGGGATTATTACAATTCAAGGTGAGATTTGGGTAGGGACACAGCAAAACCATATCATAGAGTCCCACTCATCCAAGTAACCTGCATGCTCCCCAGCCACCCTCAACAGCAGAACTTGGGTATCTACTCATGTAGGAGCTGTCCTGCCCTATTCTTGTGTCAACTATGACCAGAAAAGAGCCATGGAGACTCAGCCCAGCACTGACTAGAAGTGAGAACTAGACCAACTTTGTCAGAAGTCTGATATCTTTGTCCCTGGAGTAGGTCCTGAGCAAGTCATATCCTTTCTTAGCCACACAAGTATACAAATCTGGAAATCCCAAACCCATATTGACTGGTTAGAGCCTTCACTAGCAGTCTCCTTCCTATGGGGGAACAGCACCCCCATGCACCTAGGCATCAGTGGAGGTCCTAATACAAATTGAACTGAAACTCCAGGACAGGATGATTTCACCCAGGCTGCCACTGGGTAGCTCACATTGTGGTCCTCACTACCAGGACCAAACACACTGAATAGCAATGCTTGCCCACTCAACCTCAGAATAGGAACACTTCATACATCCCCACTGCTGAGTTCCTCCACCTCTTCTGCAGCCTTGCAGTTACAGCTGAGACCACTCAGGCAAAGACACCCACTCCCCCCAGATGGAATAATTCCCCCAGACCCCTGGATCCCCTGCCTTTCCTTGCCCTCATCCCAGGAGCCAGAACCCTTGTGCCACCCAGATGGAAGCTTTCTCCCAGACGCGTCCTCCAGAGTGCAGCCACACACGGGGAAGCTGACACAATGTCTTCAAACATTTTTAATTGCCCTGTCAAACTGACAATTATAGAACTAATTATTGAGGAGACAATAACAGATACACTGACTGAATCAAGCGTCAACCGAGTTTTTATGTAATTATGCAATTTAATGAATTGAAGGCTACAGTAATGGACTATTGCTGGTTAATTAGGGACTCCCTTTATGCTAATAATGCCATTTATTTTTGACTCGTGGTATTTATTTTCAGTGTCGAAAGCATTGGACACGTCTTCCTCTGACACCAGCATGTTGGGTGTTTTTCAGAGGGTTTGGCTGCCAATTGTGCTATTTATAGGCAGCAAGCTTATTTCATTCACTGACTGAAGAGCTCCAAAAGGCTCCTATTATATTACAAGCATCTCGTTTTAGACCTAGAATAGATTTTAATTATCCTGCTGGCTGGGTGAGGTTCCCTGTCTTCCTTCTCCTGAGATATTGGGGAACAGAAAATTAAGGGGTTGTGGCAGATGGTCCTCCAACTGTACCCCATCAAGGTCAGTCCATGCAAAAAGGCAGAGATACCCTTTTATGCTTTATCCTTATTCCACAGCCTCCCCTGTTCTCCCTGGATCCCTTTCCTAGCACATTACATGATGAGAAACCAAAGTGCAGAGCAGTGGTTCTCAACCAGGGGCCAGGGGATACTTGTCAATGTCTGGAGGCCTTTCGGGTTGTCACCACAAGGGCTCAAGTAAGGAAAGGTCAAGGAAACTGCTGAGCACCCTGCAATGAACAGGACAGCTCCATAAACAAACATAGAATTATCTTGCCCCAAATGTCGATAGGGCTGAATTTGAGAAACCTCAGGATAGAGTATCAATAATCATGAAGCAAGTGGATTTTTGCCACTCTGGTTCTGCAGAGGAAAACAAATATTTCGCAGCATCTAAACCATGATAGAACCGTCAAAAGCATGTGAAGTCAGCTACATAAATTGCAAAACATGAGTCACAGTTATGTTTGTTCTGAAACAGCATAAAAACTCACAGGATTCTTTTTCTTTTTATGAAAATAGAAAAATGATGAGCATTCTTTCCCAGAAAAGCCAGGGTTCTTGCCTTTCTCTTTGGTCACCTAACACCAATGAATGCAAACTTGCCTGTCATGGTTGTTAATTACCTGGAGCAAAATGCAAAAACAAAGGAGAATGTGATCAGGTTTTCATAAAGCAAAACTCAGCCAAATTTTTCATTTTCAGATTTCATTTTCTTCCTACTCTCTAAGAAGACATCTTGTGTTTTGCCTGCCCAGCTTTCTTTCTTTTCCTCACTTTTTAAAAGAATTCTCTCTCGCTCATTTTCAGTCTGTTGGGTTTGGATGACATGAGACAAACCACTAGGACACATGGTGGCATGAGATCCAGGCCTGGCCAATCTTTGTAGACTATTCTCCAGCTGCCTCATCAATTTGTCAGGTAAGTGTGAGTGACCTAGGAGTTAACCTGTGACTGTTGATAAAGCAAATGGATTTTATTCTTGTCAGCTAGACTGGACTCTGGAATGGTGAAAATCTGGAGCTGACTGAAACATCTTTGTCACGCTCAGAGGAAAACATTCCTAAGATATGAAAGCCCAAGAAGGTGAAGGAGGTGGAGAAGAGGAAGAAGGAGCAGGAAGAAGAGGAGGAAAATGAGGAATGAAGGAGGTGAAAGAGGAGGAGAAGGAGGAGGAAGAAGAGTTGAAGGAGGAGGAGGAGGTAGAAGAGAAGGAGGAACAGGAAGAAGAGAAAGAGAAGGAGGAGATTAAAGAGGAGGAGAAAGATAAACAATAGAGGAGGTGAGAGAGGAGGAGGAAGAGGAAGTGGAAGAGAAGGAGTAGATGGAAGAGGTGGTGGAGGAAGAAGAAAAGAAGGAGGAGAAAGGAGAGGAGGAAGCAGAGGAAGAGAAGGAGGAGGAGGAAGAAGAAGAGGAGGAGGTGGAGGTGGAAAAGGAGGAGAAGGAGAAAGAAGAGGAGGAGGATGTGGAGGTGGAGATGTAAGAGGAGGAGAAGGAGGAAGAGGAGGTGAAGAAGGAGGAGCAGGAGAAGGAAGAGGAGGAGGAGGTGAAAAAGAAGAGGGAGGAGGAAAAGGAGAAGAGGGAAGGGAAGGTGGAGGAGGAGAAGGGCAGGGAGAAAGAGGAAGAGGGAGAGGGATAGGAAGGGGAGAAGGATAACAAAGGACAAAAGTATAGATAGATAGATTAGATAGATAGATAGATAGATAGATAGATAGATAGATAGATAGATAAATGATAGATAGATAGATAGATAGATAGATAGATAGATAGATAGATAGATAGATAATCTTGGTTCTAGCTGTTTCTACAGCCTGATAATTGCCCAACTTTTCAGTATCATGGGCAATAAATTATCTCCTGGCTTAAGAGTCACCTCCTCATTCCTCTCTTCTAGCTTTTCCTCCTCTGCCACACCCCTAAATGCCAGTGCTCAGAGGACTCTCTCCAGGGACGTTTTCCCTCTCCACTCTTCCCTATCTTCACTGAAGTCTTATCCTCACTTCTTTTCTCAGTTACCATTCATGTGTTGAGGACTCTTGATTTAATATTCCCAGGCTTCATCTCTGTCCAGATATCACCACTGCCTGCTGGAAATCTCCAACCAGAAGCCTCAGCAACACCCAAAACCCACCTTCTCATGGCTGCACTCTTTACCTTCCCTCCAGCCTTTCTTCCCCTACAATTCTGGTCTCATGGAAGGAATCGTCACTTACTAGGGACCCAGGTTAGGAAATGGACACTATCCTCAAGTCCTCCCTTTCTCTCATCCTTGATATCTTGGCTCTGCCGCCACTTGGCCCTGCCACCACTTGGCCCTTATCTCTCCCACCTCTACCCCTCCCTACTTCTTCACTCCTCCACATAGTCTTTTTTTTTTTTTTTTTTTTTGAGACGGAGTCTCGCTCTGTCACCCAGGCCGGAGTGCAGTGGCTTGATCTGGGCTCACTGCAAGCTCCGCCTCCTGGGTTCACGCCATTCTCCTGCCTCAGCCTCCCAAATGGCTGGGACTGCAGGCGCCTGTCACCATGCCTGGCTAATTTTTTTGTATTTTTAGTAGAGACAGGGTTTCACTGTGTTAGCCAGGATGGTCTCGATCTCCTGACCTCGTGATCCACCTGCCTTGGCCTCCCAAAGTGCTGGGATTATAGGCGTGAGCCACCGTGTCTGACCTCCTCTGCATATTCTATTCTGCACACCAAACAGGCATTGCCCTCCATCCTGCTCCTTGCTCTGCTTGGAAGGCCTTCCCAGGCTCCTCAAAATGGGTGAGACGCTCCTGCTTTGTACTCACAATCTACATCACTTTTCATTAAAATTGTTTACTTTGATAATAGCTACAGTTAATGAGCTTTTTTTTTTTTTTTTTTTTTGACAGAGTCTTGCTCTTTCTCACCCAGGCTGGAGTGCAGTGGTGCAGTCTCGGCTCACTGCAGCCTCTGCCTGGTTCAAGAGGTTCTCCTGTCTCAGGTTCCCAAGTAGCTGGGACTACAGGCGTGTGCCACCACACCTGGCTAATTTTGTATTTTTAGTAGAAATGGGATTTCACCATGTTGGCCAGGCTGGTCTTGAACTCCTGACCTCAGGCAATCCACCTGCCTCAGCCTCCCAAAGTGCTGGGATTACAGGCATGAGCCACCACACCCAGCCAATGAGCTTTTTATGCTCAAGATTTTTACCCAAATTATCCTTAATGCTTCTCGCATATCCTTAAAGGAAGACACTGTTATCTCCATTCTACAGATGAAGGAAATAAGAGTACAGAGAGTATCTGTCAGTTGCTCAAAGTTGGACAGCCAGGAAAAAAGCAGAACTGGGTTCTGATCCAGGCAGGCTGGTCACAAATCCTATGTATTGACCACAATGCCACACTGCCTGTTCATCCTTTCAAGCTAAAAAGTCAGCTTTTTAGGGATGGCACAGCTTTCATCTGTGTGTCCCTACTAGCCAGAAGTGCCACACATTGTCAATGAATGTTTGTCTGGTTTAATTAATGAAGTAATAAATACATAAAATCCCATTCCTCTTTCTGGACATAGGTGTTTGTTTTGTTTTGTTTCTTCTGCAACAGGCAGGGTTGAGTCACAGTCAACTTTCAGATTCTATGATGCTATAATTCAAACAAACTCAAGCCAATTAACAAACTTGCAAACATAAGTGACTCATCGGTTTCTGTTCTTGTATCGGTCATTTTCTATCTGAGAAGAGCTTGATCATGTGGAGTTTGCATTGTCCAAGGAGAGATGCCAATTGAACAATCCTTTTAGAAATCACTTTCTCTGCCTTCATTCCTTTCCACTTCAAAAGTCTCAATCAATGAAATAAATGATACTCAAAGTCTCAAATCACCTGGTCCTCCTCCTGCTGATATCCTCTCTAAAACAATTAAAAAAAATAAAAGCAGATTGGGGGAGGGGAACAGGGGGAAAGCTCTATGCTCTATAATGAAACCAGGAGAAAATGATGTTTGCTTGCTAGATTGGCACCAACTTCTCTTCTAACTGGATTCAGAGCAGATCTAATTAGCTAGGCTGAGGCCAGGAAAGAGAATTTTTGCATGGTTTGCACCTTCTCAGAATTCCATGGCAACAAAACCAACTGGAATGAGAGTGACAATTACAGTATATTTAATGTTAATAACCTTACTAGATTCAGGTGCAAAGCGTGCTGGAATTTCAGCAGCATTGGCTGATGAGAAGTGGAGAAGCTGAAGTGGATAGGATGGGGAACTCCAGAGATAGATGCAACCCAAAAGCACTAGGAATGCTTTTCCCAAAGACATAGACTGATAGTGTAATATACATAATCCAAAGTATCCCACAGTCTTGGGTTCCATTCTGGTCTGCATCAATACCCCAAGTTGTCCACAGTGATTAGTAGATAAATATAGAAAGAATCCAGGTAGCAGATGACACTTAAGCCTAACGTGTGGGAAGATTATAATTTCTGTCCATTTATAGCAAGACTTCAGAAAATGGCTGAGAGAACAGGAAACAAAGTTCTGTACCCTTGGTAGAAGAAGCTGACAAAATCCAGAGAGAATATAGAAACTAAAGTCAAAAGAGTAGGAGGACAGATTAGCAATGCAATTCCAACGGACAAGAAAAGATCTAGGCAAGGTAACTGAGGCAGATGCAACATGGCAGATGCCAAGACAGAAGAGGCAAGGGTTGAAAACTCCAATGCCTGTGGAAGTCAGAGAAATAACCTGAGTAAGCCAAGTGGTTCAGAAAAAACTGGTGACCTGGAGGGCACAGGTCCCATCTAAGGGGCAGCTACCAGTCAACTCCAGTTCATTGGGCGGTACCAACATTGCTGAGTCTTCCAAGTTTTCAAGACAAGCCAGAAATCCAGAGTTTGTATGGAATCCCACACATTTTAACTGTTGGCAATGAGTTTCTCATATTTTAAGATAAATTGCAGCCCATACAAAATTTTCTGAAGGCTAAATATGATTCTGCAGCCTCCCCGTTTGAGCCAATCCACAGGAAGGGATTGTGGAAGCACAGAGCTCCCTCCAGCACCCGGGATATTGGCTCCATAGTGATGGCACTCATTCCAGAGACAACTCCTGCTGGTAGCTATGGATCCTGATGTTCAGGTTATACTTGGAGAATTGGGAGGGGAGAGGGGCAGGGACATCAGATGGAAGTCTTCATGACTTCGGAAATATAAGACTAAGGAGGCTAAGGCTCACACCAATCCCAAAACCACAGTCAGAGTTAAAGAAATGTTGGGAGAAATTCGTGCACTGTGTGCAGAATCAGAGCAGGAGAATTTGCTGATGATTGACACTCAAATAAATAAATAAATAACCAGCTGATTCTTTTTATTTTATTTTTTTCTGGGACAGAGTCTCACTCTGTTGCCCAGGCTGAAGTGCAGTGTCATGATCTCAGCTCACCACAACCTCTGCCTCCCGGGTTCAAGTGATTCTCCTGCCTCAGCCTCCCAAGCAGCTAGGATTACAGGTGTGTGCCACCACATGGGACTAATTATCGTTCTTTTTTGTTTGTTTGTTTTTAAGCAGTGTCTTGCTCTGTCACCAAGGCTGGGGTGCAATGGTGCAATCTCTGCTCACTGCAACCTCCACCTCATGGATTCAAGAGATTCTCCTGCCTCAGCCTCCCAAGTAGCTGGGATTACAGGCGTGGGCCACCATGCCTGGCTATTTTTTGTATTATTTTTTAGTAGAGATGGGATTTCACCATGTTGGCCAGGCTATAACCAGCTGATTCTGAAGGGCTCCACTCAGATCCCCTCACCATGCACACTACTCACCATTTCTATGCACACAAGAGGCATTAATCCTCATGGGAACAGCCTTTAACCAATGGCTGCAGGGTGATGTGGGTAATTACTCTTGTCCACTGCTCTTGTGTTGAGATCACTCTAAGGTATTCCACGTCTCACCCCAGTGTCCCCCAGTGGGATTGAACCCTCGTTTTCCACAGCCTGCTCAGTGATGCACCAGTTATTGACTTCCTTTCCTTCATCTCACCCCCCAGTTACATGCCACTACTTCCTAGGATCACCTCCCAGATAAACTACATGCACCCACATCCCTGCCCTAGGGTTGGCTCCTGGGGGACTCAAACTAAGGCAATAGCTTTTCTTTTCATTTTATTTTATTTTATTTTACTTTAAGTTCTGGGATACATGTGCAGAACATGCAGGTTTGTTACATAGGTATATATGTGCCATGGTGGTTTGCTGCACCTATCAACTCATCATCTAGGTTTTAAGCCCTGCATGCATTAGCTATTTGTCATGATGCTCTCCCTCCCCTTCCCCCACCGATAGGCTCTAGTGTGTGATGTTCCCTTCCCTGTGTTCATGTGTTCTCATTGTTCACCTCCCCCTTATGAGTGAGAACATGTAGTGTTTTGGTTTTCTGTTCCTGTGGCAGCTTGTTGAGGATGATGGCTTCCAACTTCATCCATGCCCCTGCAAAGGACATGATCTCATTCCTTTTTATGGCTGCATAGTATTCCATGGTATATATGTACCACAGTTTCTTTATCCAGTCTATCATTGATGGGCATTTGGGTTGGTTCCATGTCTTTGCTGGCAATAGTTTTTCAAGCGTGAGGACCCAACCTTAGAGGCAATGGATGGACAGGGTGATGAATGTCTTTGATTCTATGGATTATAGAGGGAGCGCTGGGAAAAAAGGACTGGATACAATGCATATTCCTGGGGATCCTGAGAGCAAACCCTAGGCTTTAATTATTTACATATCAACCCTGGGGAATCTTCTTGAGTTAAATATCCGGTTTGGGTCATTTCTCTCTCTTTTTCTCTCGCTTGTCTCAGCCAGTGGCATACAACATGCAATACACATTGTCTTTCGGGATTTCTGCCTCTGGTTTCTGTGTCAAGGAATTAACAATATGTAAATGAATTCCTAAGTACATCAAGGAAGATCCTGCTCAAAAGAACCCAAAGCAATCCCTTTTATAAAGCGTCAAAGACACTAGTTGCACAAATAACTCCTCTTCAGGCTGTTGAACTTTTCATAATCTGTTGTTTGATAGGATTCGTTTATTATAATCTGGTCATGGCCACACATCACTTGACTGCATTCAGCTGATCCACAGAACTTAAGAAAAGTCCTCCAAGATTCCAAAATTTCTGTCACAAGTCAATGCCCTCCCTTAAAGACTGTTTACTCCTGTGTTATGCAGAGCTGTAACAAATATAAGTGATCTTGGAGGAGGGACTTCTGGAAACAGGCATCAGGGTAGTGGACAAAAATGAGAGTGGATAGCCAGTAACAGAGAAGAAAAGCAGAAAATGCATTAGGACAAACAGAAGATCTCAAAAAGCATAGCATTTCAAGTGATTTAGCTTAGGTTCAAACACTTCTGTGCACCCTCCCAACACAAGTGTGGCAAACGATAGTGTCTGTGAGATGACTGTGCACACACCACACACGCATGCACACACACATGCACACACATGCAGGCACGCCCATCCCAGTTTCCCGCACATGCTCACTGGTTTGATAGCACACACTGAGAGTAAAGTAAAAGAAAGCAAAGTCAAAGAAGTGTGTTTGTCAGCCCTGGCACAAGCTGTGACGGGGACAAGGGCACTAGCAAGTAGTTTACAGGAAAGTGAGTGGGAAGCAAAAGACATAGTTGCCTCAAAATAAAAGGGGGGGTGTGGGCCAGGTGCGGTGGCTCACACCTGTAATCCCAGCACTCTGGGAGGCCAAGGCAGGTGGATCACGAGGTCAAGAGATCTAGACCAGCCTGGCTAACACGGTGAAACCCCGTATCTACTAAAAATACAAAAATTAGCTGGGTGTGGTGGCACATGCCTGTAGTCCCAGCTACTCGGGAGGCTGAGGCAGGAGAATCGTTTGAACCTGGGAGGCAGAGGTTGCAGTGAGCCAAGATTGC
The DNA here is from genome assembly GCF_000001405.40 of Homo sapiens. Lineage (NCBI taxonomy): Eukaryota > Metazoa > Chordata > Mammalia > Primates > Hominidae > Homo > Homo sapiens. The sequence continues at coordinate 26,776,951 of NC_000016.10, forward strand.
ACCACTGCACTCCAGCCTGGGTGACAGAGAGAGACTCTGTCTCAAAAAAAAAAAAAAAAAAAAAAGACATAGCTGCATCACTTCCATGTTGGGAACCATATTCAGGGTCCAAATCCTAAAATGCCTGGAAGATCCAGTTAGACCCAGGACATGTCAAGCAGCAAGAGTAGGAGTCTCTTACCTTTGTCTATGCCATTCGTGTCCCAGCCCCATCCTATGAATGGGAAAGGGAGTGGTACTATCAGACCTCATGCACCACAGGAGCCAAAACCCAGCACAGATCCTGGCACTCACTTCTACTGTCTACCCAGTGCTCAGTTACTAGAGGGGGCCCATTTCCATGCTCTCCTCCTCACCACCAAATAGATGCAGAGCCCAAGGATGAAATTTTTTGCAAGGATGAAAACAGGGGGTACAGGCAGCACATGATGGAAGGAATTCTCGAGGCAAAGCCCAGGAAATGCACTGATGATCATCTTTCTGGGAGCAGAATCAAAACTGTTGGTGAAATGCTAAAGAGCCTTCCCCATCTGTTTCTCTGTTCAGCCCCCCTACTTCTAAGGACATGTCAAGTGTCCCAAGAATACGCCACATCACCTCATCTGTCATATCTGCTATTACCTGAGTAGGAAAGTTAGTTTCCAACAGTAGGATCCAAGCCATGTGTAAGTTCCTCCTCTTCCCCCTCCCTCCCTGTTTCCAGAATGCTTGTCTCTCCGTGACTGGAGATAATGCTGCATGTATCTCACCCTTCTGACTTTCTCACTCTTTTCCTCTTTTTCTCTCCCTTCTGCACATCACAATGCAAAGCCAGTGTTAGGGACATTGTCAGTGTAGGAGGGAAGGACTGGAGTCTGTGGCATCTGCCTGGCCCAGGAGTAGCAGACGCTGAGATGATTCTGTTGGCCCAGGAGGAATTACACAAGAGGAAGGTGAGAATCAAAGGACATGGAGTGAGCACTGCAAGTGGAGAGTCTAGCACATCCTAAGAAAGTAGCTTGAGACAAGCAGATGAGAGTGGGCTCATTCACAGCAGGGAGTTCCTTGTCATAGAACTGTGGGAGCAGAGGCAGGACAACTCCCTGCCAAAACTGTAGAGAGTCTATCTTCCGTGGGTGGATCATTGTTCCAGATCAGAGGTTCACAAATAGGGCGGTGCATCAGAATCACCTATGAAGATACGAAAAATATATTCATTTCCAGGCATCACATCAAAATCTCTGGGAGTGGGACCTGAGAGTCTGTAACACTTTATGCTCTTTGATAACTCCAATGTATTAATAACTGGTCTACCGAGCAGTTTGGGAATGATTCCTACGTTTCCTTCTAACTTGGATATCCTACAAGTTGAGTCACAGTGTGGTCTTGCCTTCACATAAACCATGTGAAATTACTTTTTGTAGGCAAAATGGTCAAACACAGGCAATATTATGTGGTTCAACATAATATAATATTCTGGCCTGGAGCACCATGCAAGACCCCTGGATTTTAAATACTGTTTTTAGGTATGCAACTTTTTTTGCAAGCAAAATAAAAGGGCTATCATTTCCAGGAAAATGAGAAGATAATTTGAAAATGCTTATACAGAACAAAACACCTAAAAATGATGAAATGGTGAATGACTATAATAAAGATCCTTATGGCCAAGATCACAAGAAAGCACAAAAAATCTCCTGGGATGACAAGAGTTAGGAGAGAAGACGAGACATGAGCAGATATAGCAACTGGCCTTGGGATGTATGGACTGTATGGTAAGTAAGCACAATGTTTTGATGCCTGCAGGGGGATAACAGATGAGGCTGTGGGCACAGGAAGAAAAGGAACTGGACCATACATATATGACTGAAATAGAATAATTCACAGGGCTACATTCCAGAGAAAATATGAACCAGAATGGTGCTGCCCATTGGCACAGGGCAATGGTAAGGAAATATTCATGTCTTGTCCCTGACATGGGTCTGAAATTTGAGTTTCCCCTGGGCTCCCAAGCTGATCAATTAACATAGAAACCAGCCCCAGTTTGCTGCTACTCCCAATAACCTGAAAGAAGTAAAAACTCCTGAGCAGGGGAGAAACACCACCACACCAGACTACACAGGATTCCCACAGATAAAGTCCCACTGAAGATGAGCTCTCAACTCAACAATAACAGAAAGGAAAGAAAACAGTGCCCTATGAGCAAAGTCAGCAGACACCAAAACTATCAAGATTGCATGCCCAAGAACTTTAGAGAAAGAGCCTATGCAATAGAAATTCTCAGAGATCTGACACAGTATCCCAACATATGTGAAGCCAATAAGAGTAGAGCTATTTTGGTTTAAAAAAAGAAGGTGGGGGGTGGAGGGAAGGCCTGGGGAAGTCCCAAGGCACCTGAGTTCTCCTCAGACAGAAACAGGTGGAACACTGTGGATGAGAAGAGACATGAGAAGTCCACCATCTTCTGCAGGCAGTGTAGACCATGAACATTCCTCCTTTTGGTTCTTTCTCCTTCCCTTCTTTCCTCTACTTCTGCCTCACAAGGAGGTATTGATTATTGCCACTTATAAGGGGACCCGTTTCAACTCCTCCTGCTGCCATTTAATAGCTGTAAAACTTGGAGGAAGTCCCTTAAACTTTTTTTGTTTTCCTCATATGCAAAATGGGGATGCATTACCCTGAGTTATTTTGCAGATCACAAAAGGCCATGTGTTCATGTCCTGAAGCACCCAAGGGCTCCAAAATAGAACAAATGCACATGACAACCAGAATAGCTCCACTTCTTATGGGTTGTGTAAGATTTGGTTGAGAAAGACCCATATGATGAGAATATATGGAGACAAGTTACAATTATGTTTCTACAAATGACAAACTCAATAAATTGCAGTTGAGACACAGTCTCACTCTGTCACCCAGGCTGGAGTGCAGTGGCACGATCTTAGCTCACAGCAATCTCCACCTTCCAGGTTCAGACAATTCTCCTCCCTCAGACTCCTGAGTTGCTGGGATTACAGGTCCCCGCCACCACACCCAGCTAATTTTTTTGTATTTTCAGTAGAGACAGGGTTTCATCATGTTGATCAGGCTGCTCTCGAATTCCTGACCTCAGGTAATCCACCCACCTTGACCTCCCAAAGTGTTGGGATTAAGGCGTGAGCCACCACACCTGGCCCGATATTTCTTGAAGATGAAAGAATAATTATCACAGAGCTAGTCACTTGCTCCCCACTCACTCACTCTCCCTGATTCATTGTCTGCACTTCTGTTCTCTACTTCATGTCCCAGGAAGCGGTTCCCTGTGGACTGTCTCCCCTGGGCTCCTTTGCTCTCAGCCTTCTAGCTGTACTTGGGCAATGGGGGCTACTGACCCACGTCTGGAAGGCAGGAGGAAAGAGGAGAGAGGTTGACATCAAAGTATTCCTTTCCCTTTTCCTCCCTTATTCAACTCCTGCAGCTCCTCAGTACAGTTCTTCCTGGAGTCCTATAACACCATCTCTTCCACTTTTACCTTCACTGCTAAGAGTACCAAAGACTTCTCCCTCTAACAAGACTTAGTTGCTTCAGCCTCTCTTCCTGGCCCCATTAACCCTACCTGGACCTTTGTAACATCCTTTTGAGTTTCTGCATTTCCCCCCAGAATGAACTATGTTTTCTGTTCAACCCTGACTAATTCAACTCTGTAGAATAAGTCCAAATCTCATTCCTTTAGGGAAAAGAAACTCATTCATTGGGAATAGTCAATTTATTCTTATTTTTTAAACCTCAATGAGTCTCACTCTTTGTATCTGCAAAATGGCCATAAATGTTCTCATCTCTTGTGCTTACAAAATAAAAACTTAGAGAAACTTGAATGTCCCTGAAAACACCACCAGTTAAAGAGAAACACTTCTTCCTGGAAAGGAATCTCTCATCAGTCCAACCCTGAATCTTGTGGGTCACTATCCTGCCAAGTTCTGCAACCAGAGAGAGGAGAGGAAGAAATTTTAGCTTTCTTAAAGAGAATATTTGAGAGATTGAAGCTTCTTAATTCTTCATTGTGAAGGGAAAATTGGGCATTAAATTATTTATTGTATTTTAAATTCACTGACAGAAGCAGTTTTGAAAACCTCACTGTTCTTTTTGAAAATAATTAACCTACTTTAATGTTTTAAATCTTTTTAACATATTTCCTATTAAGTGGTAAAATGAGGGGGAAATAATGTTCAAAGAATAGGCTAAGAGTAGAAAGGAGAGGAATCCATAGCCCTCTTCTTCCAGGATCCATGGATGGGGGGCGATGGGGAGCTAGAGGCTAATTCTAGCTTCAACCTCCGTGAGATATGTCTTGTTCAGAACTAGTGTGTAGCAGGAAAGAGATGACCATTTTTATGGGGTTCAGTGCAAAGACTGAGGATTCCGAAGACTTGAATTCGAAGTGAAGCAACCCTAATTGATTGCAAATAATAGAAAGCCCAACACAAACAGCTTAAGCAAAAAGATGATCTATTTGTTTATATACATGATATATCCATGGGTAAGGCTGGCTTTGAGAAGCCAGTCAGCATATCTTATTCCCTGGGCCTCGGTAATTGGTTCAGAAATGTCTACATGATCCAATCAGAGACAATGAGGTATTATGAGCCTTTCCTTCAAAATCTGGCTAAGGACAAATGTTCTAATGGGCTTATGATAGGGAAAGGTGGTACAAATGTCCCTAGAATGTAATTTTCCTTGCTTCATCTCTCAGTTCTTCTTCCTCTGGGAGAACCATACTCACACATAGTTTCCCCTCCCAGTTATCAGGTGCTGACTTTGTATAGCTTTGTATTTGATTGACTTTGTGTGGACTCTGGGAAAGCACTCCACCCAGGTCACTTTGCCCAGTGGCTTCTAGTTGGGTTTGCCCAACACGCAGCCCTGGCAGAAGAACAGAAAATGAGAGAGGAATCATGGAATCAGCTCCACTCCCAGCTTTGGTGCCCTGGAGCTGAGTAGGAGAGAGGAAAGATCCTTCTTAAAAATATTCCCAGGAAAAGGCTTGTTCCCTCTCATTTGCTCTGGCTGGGTCACATGCACACCTCCAAAATGGCTATGGTGACCAGGGAAATAAGATGCTGAAATCGGCTCAGGCCCAGCACACATGCCCTATCCATAAGGCTCTGGCACAGGAATTGGACTACAGATATATGCCTAAAATAGGATAATTCGAAGAGCTACGTCCCAGAGAAAACACAAACCAGAATGCTGCTACATGGGGAGATGGTAAGGAAACATTCATGTGTTGTCCCTCACATAGGTCTGGATTTTGAGTTTACCCTGTCTTCCCAAGCTGATCAATTAACATAGAAACTAGCGCCAGGTTGCTGTTACTCACAGTAACCTGAAAGAAGTAAAAAGCCCTGAGCAGGGACCACATAGGACCTGAAGTTCATTAGCTGAATCTGGTGGAAGGTGTTAATTCAAAGGAAAATTTACTATATTTGGAAAATATTTATGCATGAATATTTAAGTCACCCCCTACAGGAATTGCTTACATTACTACTGGAGGACCTCCATCTTTGCCTTATTTTATTCTGGGTAGATTTAGGTAAAAAATTTGTATTTTGCCCATCTCAGCATAACCAAGGTGGAGATGAAGGCAAAATGCATAAGACAGCCATTATGGGGATCAAGTGTGTGCATTGGCTGCACTATTTCAGCCCCATTTTTCCCAGTGTTCAGATGCCTTTCTTGAAAAGCAGCACAGAAGTGACTAGAACTGCAGCAAGGCCTGAGGGATCAGCCCAGAGCAGATCAAACCAAGGGCAAGGGCGCCAAGAGCTTTTTACACACATGTAGTGTCTAAGTTCATTTGGGGCTGCTATATAGTAAAGTGCTTGAGACTGAGTAATTAATTTTTTCACCCTTTATTTTAGATTCAGAGGGTACATGTGCAGGTTTGTTTCCTGGGTATATTGCATAGTGCTGACATTTGGGATACAAATGATCCTGTCACCCAGGTACTGACCATAGCACCCAATAGTCAGTTTTTCTATTCTTGCCCCGCTCCCTCTTTCCCCTTTCTAGTGGTCCCCAGCGTCTATTGTTTCCTTCTTTATGTCAATGCATACCCAATGTTTAGCTCCAACTCATAAGTGAGAGCATCCGGTATTTGGTTTTCTGTTCCTGTGTTAATTTGCTTAAGATAACAGCCTCCAGCTGCATCCATGTTGCTGCAGAAAAACATGATTTCATTCTTTTTTATGGCTGCATAGTATTCCTTGGTGTATATGTACCACATTTTCTTTATCCAGTCCTGTCTTGATGACACTTAGGTTGACTCCATGTCTTTGCTACTTTGAATGGCGCTGCAATGAACATGTATGAGTATGTGTCCTTTTGGCAGAATAATTTGTTTCCTTTTGCGTATATACCAAGTAATGGGATTACTGGGTCAAATGATGGTTCTGTTTTAAGTTCTTTCAGAAATCTTCAACTGCTTTCCACAGCAGCTGAACTGACTTACATTGAGACTGCATAATTTATAAAAATCAGAGATTCATTTCTTACAGTTCTGGTGTCTGGAAGTACAAAATCAAAAGGCTTATATCTGGGGAGTGCCTTTGTGCTGTGTCAACCCATGATGCAAGGCAGAAGGGCAAGAGAGCAAGAGGGGGCTGATCTTGCTTTTATAACAAACCCACTCCCAAGATAATGACATTAATCCATCCATGAAGGCAGAGGCTTCATGACCTGATCACCTCTTAAGGGTCCAATTTCTTAATCTTGTTGCATTGGGGATTAAGTTTCCAACACAGGAGTCTTGGGGGACACATCTAAACCACAGTATGTGGGTATCTTGGGCTGGCTTAAAATAACCGACAAAGGTGGGCTTTTAGAACCAGAAATATGCATTCAAAGTCAATATAGGTAAAGAAGGGAGCCCTCCACTTTGGGCATAGTGAGGAATATTAATCAGAGAAAGAAGAAAGTTGGAATAGGAAACTGTCAATGGGACTATAAGGTGAGTTTTGTTTACAAAAAGCAAGGCAGGAACCCAGTGATTGAAACTAAGTCAAGGAGTCAGATTAGGGTTAAGAGTCAAACAGGCTCAAGCAAATCTTATGGGGTTCAGAGAAACCAGAGTTTCCTTGAAAAGCCAAGATCTTGGTCTCCGAGCTCATCTGCAACTATGGGGTGGGAGATAACTAGCTCTCCTCTGAGTAACAAACGTGCGAATCTGCGTCACTATACTGCCTGCACGTACAGGCCACACAACTCAATCCAACAAATATCTGTTAATCATTCACTAAGCCCCAAGCACTGTGCTGAATGCTGGCAGCAAAGAAAAAACAAGAACTAACAAAAACAAAAATAGGCAGTGCTTTCCAGGCGCTACCTCTGTGCCAAACATAGTGCTAAGCACTTGACATAAATTAACTCACTTAATCTTCACAACAAGACAGAGATAAATGACTGTTATCCCCATTGTCCAGATGGGAATACCGAGTCACAGAAAGATGCAGTAACCTGCCTGAGGTCACACAGGAGGAGCTGAGATTCAAAACTCACTCAGCCAGATGCTAAATGAGTTTAATCCAGAGTTGGAGAGGAGAGAGTGGTCATAGAAATCTCTTTATCTCTTTTTCTTTTTTCTTTCTTTTTTTTGAGATGGAGTCTCCCTCTGCCGCTCAGGCTGGAATGTTGTGGCACAATCTCATTCACTGCAACCTCTGCCTCCCCGATTCAAGCAATTCTCCTGCCTCAGGCTCCCAAGTAGCTGGGATTACAGGCGTGCACCACTACGCCTGGCTAATTTTTACATGTTTAGTAGAGATGGGAGTTTCACCATGTTGGCCAGGCTGGTCTCGAGCTCCTGACCTAAAGTGATCCCCCACCTCGGCCTCCTAAAGTGCTGGGATTACAGGCATAAGCCACCACGTCCAGCCAGAAATCTCATTCAAAGATGTGTCATATACATGGAGTCCCTAAGAATAAGAAAAATTTCCACAAATGAATGAGGTGTGTGTGTTGAGTGGGGAGGATGATTATTTCAGGCAGAAAAAAATTGAAGAGGAGAGGACTTGAAAAGAGAGGGGTGGGAGCGCTGGTCCCAGGAATCAAAGGACATCAGTATAGTTGGAGGACAAAGAACAAAAGTGGAGAGAGACAATGGTGCCGGAGAAAGTGGCAGAACCGAACAACTTACAGGTTGAGCTAATGACACAAGGGTGTGTGCTGAGCATAATGAGAAAGTCCTGAAGGTGTAGCGGATATGAGTGTTTCTCCACCACAGTAATTAAGTACATGAAATATCGTAGCATTTCCCACTTTGTCCCTATTAATAAATTAAATCCGACTCTGAGCACCTAGCCTGGCAGGAAACCCAATCGGAATTATTGTTGGAATTTCTTTGTCCAAATCCCCCCAGGATCTTGCAAAAGTCTCAGGAGGCTTACACAGTCCAGACTTCTGGGTCACACCTGTCACCTGACATCCAGACAAGCTACTTAGTTCATGCAAAATGAAAATATCAGGGCCCCTTGTTAAAAGATTATTAATAATTCTAAGACGATGACAGCAGAGCTCTTTTTCCTTTTTCTTTTCTTTTCTTTTTTTTTTTTTGAGACAGAGTCTCGCTCTGTCGCCCAGGCTGGAGGGCAGTGGCACTGTCTTGGCTCACTGCAACCTCTGCCTCCAGGGTTCAAGTGATTCTCCTGCCTCAGCCCCCTGAGTAGCTGGGATTACAGGCGTGCACCACAACTCCCGGCTAATTTTTGTATTTTTAGTAGAGATGGGGTTTCACCATGTTGGCCAGGCTGGTTTTGAACTCTTGACCCCAAGTGATCCACCCACTGTGGCCTCCCAAAGTGCTGGGATTACAGGCATGAGCCACCACGCCCGGTCCAACAGAGCATTAAACCAAGCACAGGGATCTTCTTCGTTTGGGGCCCCATGTGACTACCAGTTTGCGTGCCCCCAAGGATGGGCTTGCCTGATAACATGTTACTTTTGCAATTATTTGAGGCCCCTTGAAGCTATACATCAGTGCTACTTCCCTCAGCTTTGGACTTAGGGTCTTTAGCAAGTCTTGTGCCTTAGCATCTCAGCCAGCCCCCCTACATGTTCCATGTCACCATTTTCCTAAGTCTGCCACTTCCCAAGGGCACCACAGGGAACCAGGGCTCAAGACAGAACCCCAAAACCTGTCCTCACTTTTAAGAACACTCTGCCAACTCAGATCACTTCAGTCTCCACTCAGCAAATATCTCTTCATCTCCGAACTTTGCTTTTGGACAAAAGAAGCCACAGGTGACTGAAATGCACCTTGCACATCAATTTGAGGAAAAGGGAGGCAGATGGTTCTTATTTTTTCTTTAACAGCAGCAAAAAATAAAACACATAGCACTAACTCAATACATTATCCTGCAGGGGAGTGACATGGTCAGATTTATGTTCTATAAAGATCTCTCTGGCCACAGTGTAGAAAATAGATTATGTGAAGGGGGAAGGGGGGTCAAGAGGGAATGTGGAAATACCAAATAGAAGGCTATTTCAGAGTCCAAGAGAGAAATAACAATAGCCTGAAATGTCGGTGCAGATAAAAAAAAAAAAAAACAGACACATCGAAAAGATATTTGGAATATTGTGGCAGACATCAATAGCTGCCGGCTCCAGTACCCACTCTCCTTATGACTAATAGATCCCAATTATGTCCTGGTTGGCAAAATGTGTGTTTAAAAATACTTCCCAATCTTCCTTGCAAATAAGGGTGACTATATAATTCAGTTGTGGCCAGTAAAATATAAGAAGATACCAGGTGAGGTTTCTGGGCTTTTAAAAAGAAACAGACTGGATGGCTTCTATTTTTGCATTTCCTTCATGCTTTGCCCTTTGTCCTGCCTGGAATGTGGGTGCCATACTAGGAGGTACAGCAACCATCTTGGGGCCATGAGGGAATAAGCGTAATACCAAATACACTGATGGTATCATAGAGCTGTTAAATAAGCCCTAGGCTGACTCACTCCAGATTTCTTGTTGCTTGAAAAAAATAAACCTCTTTTTATTGGTCAGAGTGATTGAATTTCCTATTACATGCCATCCCTAATTGATTCAGATATAGACCCAACAAAATTTAGAGTGGATTGAGACGTGGTAGTTCAGAAGTGGGCGTCAGCACCTCTGGAGAACTCCAGTCAAACCCACCGCAGAAACTCCAACCCCACCATAAAGCAAGTTAAGCCAAAAGTGAAGCTCAAAGAAGCTGTAATGTTTAATAGGGGGAAATATATTTGGGTCATAAACCTATTTCCTCCAAAATATTAAATCAACAGTAGAAGAACCCTCCACCTCTCTGGGCCGATGTGTTTACAAGCAGAGGGGATTATGACCCAAAGCTCTGGCAAAAAACAAAAAACAAAAAGTAGATTTACTAGGGAACTCCAGGGCTGCATTTTACTAGCTAAGAGCACAGGCTTCAGAATCATAAATAGCTGGGTTCTAATCCCTGCTCCATCATGTACTAGCTGTGTGTTCCTGGGTCATGTCACTTTACCACTCTACACTCAGTTTACTCATCTGTAAAGTGGAGTTTGTAATATGTGATTTCATAGAGTGTTGTCATGAGAATTGAATGAACTAATGCATATAAAGTAACTGGCAGAATCTGGCATGTATAAGTGCACCCAAAAATGTAAGACTCCTTCCTCCATTCCTTCTCCCACTAGCTTCTTTCTCTCTTCCCAGGTTCTCCCCCTCTTCACCTACCACAGGGAGGCATTGCCTTTTCCAAAGACTGAACTACTAAGGCACAGCTCAACCTTTCTAGGGATAGAAATGCTACCATCCCATTTTACAGACAAAGAAGCAGGACTCAGGTAATCAGAGTAGGGCCTGAAACTGAGGTCTCCTGCCATTCAGCCTCATGCTTTCTGCCCCATGAAACTGCTTGCATTTGTAATCTCTCCACTGAGAGATCAGAAAACTGGACACAGGAAACAGATGCTGGGAAATAATATGAGGAGTGCTGACAGGACCTGAAACCGTTCACTGGGCTCCATTCCTCTAGGATGCTGTAATCCCTTGACTCAATCCATATTTTGGAGTACTGATAGTGCACCATGACTATCAGAAACTATTGGCTATCCACAAGATCTACTCTTCCTTCCACCTATGCACCAGGTATACTACAGTTCCCAGACTCCCTTGCGGTTGGTGTGGTCATGTGATAAGTTATAGCCAATGAAATGACAGCAGAAGTGATGACGTAGGCCACTTCCAGGTCTGGTTCCTAAAGCCTACCGTGCTTGATCCTCCATCTTTTTTTTCTCTTCTGCTGGTTCTTAGAAATGTTATAGGACATTAAAAGATGGAAGAGCCACAGACTGGAAGGAGTCAGTCTCTGAATGGTCCTGTGCAGATAAGCCTCCCTGTTGATTTGAACACTCAATCAGGACTGTTACATAAGTAAATAATACATATCAAATGTGTTAATCCATTCCACATTTGAGTCTACCTATGATAACAATACAGCCTAATCTACTCCAAGTAGCACGCATGCCAAACCATGACTGAAAATAAGATGAAAGCATGAATATGCCCAGGAGAATTCAAATTTGGAGCCTCATTTTTTTAATGTTTATGATTTTGATTTTTGGAGAACTTTAAAATAAATCAGTAATATTTGCACAAAGTAAACGTGACTGCATTACAAAAGCATATGCAGTAAAAACTGAGTTTCCTTTCTACCCTGAACCTCAAGTTCCCCAATTCCCCCTTCAGGAAAGAACCACAATAACTAAATTCTTGGATATTCTTTTAGAAATGTTCTACATCTGTACAAATATACAGTATAGATCCCCATGTACTTTGTTTTATATATATATATATATATGTATATATATATATGTATAGTGTGTGTGTGTTATTCTATGCACCAGAAATATATAAATATATATAAATAGATTGTGTGTGTATATATATATGATTGTAATATATGATTGCATATACTCTTTTTCACCATTAGTGTTTTCCCTTAACCATGTATCTTGAAGAGCGTCTTTCTTCAGTACACAAAAAACTTTTAAACGAATATGCCATAGGCAATTATATAGATATACTCTTGGTTGTTTTAACAGGTTTCCTATTAATGGATATTTATGTTGAGACCTTTAGGTAATTTCCAATAGTTTGACATTGCAAACAATGTTGAAATGGGTATCCTTGTGCACATAGCTTTGCATGCAAGTCCTTAGAACCAAACCATATCACGTTGGGTATGCTAATTACATACCAATAAAAATATTAAACAACAAGCAGGAAAAGAAAACATAAAGAAGATTTGGTCCAGAAATTTGTAAGGATACGTGGGGATTACAATCGAGATGAGATTTGGGTGGGGACACAGAGCCAAACCATATTAGATGGAGTATGCCAATTACATACCAATAAAAATATTAAACAACAAGCAGAAAAAAAAAAACAATATGCAGAAGCTTTGGCCTAGAAATGTCTGTGTCCCCATCCAAATCTCATCTCCAATTGTAATCCCCACATGTCAAAGGAGGGACCTGTAATCCCTACATGTGGAGAAAGACAGTCAATTGGATAATGGGAGCAGTTTCCCCCATGCTGTCCTCATGATAGTGAGTGAGTTCTCACAAGATCTTATGGTTTTATAAGTGGTTGACAGTCCCTCCTTCACACACCCACACTTACTCCTAAAGTCTTCTGAAGGCACCTGCTTCCCCTTCTGCCACAATTGTAAGTTTCCTGAGGCCGCCCCAGCCATGCCGAATTGTGATTCAATTAAATCTCCTTTGTTTATAAATTACGCAGCCTTGGGTATTATCTTTATAGAAGTGTGAGAGTAGACTAATACACAATCCCATAGAGACATAAGATTATTCTGCTTATCTGTTTGTTTGTTTTCTTAAATGAGCTTTTGTAGTTTGTGCCATTCAAGGAAATTTTCCATTTCATCTAAGTTGCCCAAAGTATTAGCAAAAAGCTATTCTTAATATCCCCATATGATCCTTTTAATAGCTATAGAATCTGTAGTGATTATATATCTCCGTGCCTTTCATTCTTGATATCGGCAATGTGTACCTTCTCTCACTCTCTGTGGGTTTATAGTTTTCACCAGATTTTGGAAATTGCTGGCCATTATTTCTTTAAATATTTTTTCATCTCACTCATTTTGTCCTTAGGGCACTCTGACTAAACGTGTTCAGCTGCTGTTCTCCATTCATTTTTTTTCTAATCTTCTTTCTCTCTGTGTTTCATTTTGGGTAGTTTCTACTGCTATGACTTCACGTTCATTCATCTTTTCTTCTGCTATGTCTAAGTTGCTCTTGATTCCATGCAGAGCATGTGTATATTTTTTGAATCATAGTCACTATAGATCTTATCTTCAGAAACACAATTTGAGTCTTTTTTAGGATTGCCAGATTTAACAAATAAAATACAAGACTCCCAGTTAAATTTGAATTTTAGATAAATGGTGAACAATTTTTAGAGTATATGCAATAGTTGGGACACACACTAAAAAAATCTACTATTTGTCTGAAATTCAAATTTGACTGAAGAGCTTTCATTTTATCTGGAAACCTGAGTCTTATATTTTACATATTTCTATTTACAATACTCAACCTTACTGCTAGTTTCTTGAATATATAGAGCACAGTTATAACTCTTTTAATGTCCTTGTTTCTCAATTCTGCCACCTGTGTTATTTCTCAGTAGGTTTTAATTGATTGATATTTCTCCTCATTATGGGTCATATTTTTCTACTTTTTTTCATTCCTGGTCATTATTTGTTGAATGGCAGACGATGTGAATTTTACCTTATTGGATGCTGGGTATTTTTATATTCCTGTGAATATTTTTGAACTCTCTTCTGGGATCCAGTTAAGTTAGGGAAAACAGTTTGGTCCTTTTGAGTCTTGCTTTTAAACTTTCTTTGGCAGGACCGCTGAGTACTCCTTCTAGAACTCTACCCAGTGTCCAAGGATTATTGTAAGGTTTTCCACTCTGGCTGGTGGGAACAGGAACTATTCTCAGCCATGTGGAAGCTCCCTCATTGTTCTTCTAATCCTCTCAAGTGGTTTTTCCTTGATCTCTGATGGTTTCCTTTTCCTGACATGCATGGGCTGATCATGACTCAACTGAAGACAAGAAGGGTCCTTTACTAAACTCCAGATCTCTTTCCTCCTCCTCCTCCTCCTCTTCCTTCTCCTCCTCCTTCTCGTATTCCTCTTCCTCCTCCTCCTCTTCCTCCTCGTCTTCCTCCTTCTCCTCCTCCTCCTCCCTACTCTCTGACCTGTGAACTCTAGTACTTTGCCCTGAGAACTTTAGCTGCTTCGCCCTCCCCCGACTCCCAACCTTATTTCTTCAACTTAGAGAGTCCACTGGGCTCCGCCCAGGTTTCCCTTCTCTGTGCTGTGGACCATAAATGCCCTCCCGGCAGTAACCTCTGGCCTCCTGCTCAGCCTTGTGTGACCCAGTCAGCCCATTTGGCTTCAAGGGATCCTCCTGTGTATGTGCGCACCCTGAGAGTCTTGGGTTTCATCCTATAAAGACTGTGCCAGGTCTGCCATCCCAAGGATACAGCAAGTAACATCTCCACTACGTGGCCTGAAGGGTGTTAGAATGGCAGCCTTTCTCAGATCTTCACTGGGGAATTAAGGAACTATGAGTCTAAAGAAGAGGTAGAAAGAAGAAAAACTCAGCAGGCAAGAGTCAGCACACATGAGCTAGATCATCTCTGTTGCAGAAAAGGGAACCGGGGAGTGGCTGCTGGGAGGCAGGGGTGGAAGCATTGGAGGGCAGAGTGCCAGGAGCCTGCAATATCACATGTAAAATGAAATGCCAGTATCAAGGCTCTGAAGGGCTCTGACAGGCAATCAGTACCCCAGCTGAGATGGGAGCAGGTGTCTCCTCCCCAGGAAGGGCCACAGGGATGGATGTCAAGAGGAAATAGGAAGCAGGAGGAAGAAAGAGTGTCACATGCTGGCTGGAAAGTTGAGAATTCTTGCCCCATGTCTGAGGAGTGCAGCGAGAACCCTGTAGTTTTGCCTGCTCAACCTTCATCCCTTCACCTCTTCTGGAAATACATTTTGATTTTCCTTTGGGGGCTCCCTCCCTCACTCTCAGTCCATGTAGTTCTAAGGAGATTGACCCATTGCCAGGCTCTACATGTGGGCATGTGACTCAAGCCAGCCCCAGCAAAGCCAAACCAGGAACTTTTGTGAGAGCCATAAGAAGATACTGTTTTTACTAAGGTTGCTAAGTTGGTAGGATATAAACATGACATTGCAGACAACCAACTAGGCACTCTGCAGTGAAATTCTCCATGATACTAAAGTCAACGTAGAGGGAAGCAGAACCAGAGGGTAGAGGAAGATTCCTGAGGACATTTTTGAACACCTAGACCCAGCCATACCTGAACCCATAGCCTCCTAAATGTCTTATTTTAGTAAGACAATGAGTTCCCCTTTTAAAATTAAATATATTAAACTCTTACAAGTAGAGATTGCTATAAATATGCTTCTAACGTGTACCCCTAGACTCAGTTCTTGAATAAAGAACTAGAATTTTTTAGCTGGAAGCTCTGCCACTCTCCCCGCTCCTCAGGAGACTCACTCTTGAAGGTGGCCAAGCATCAAAGGTGTCTTGTCTGCTCAGGCTGGCTCTGGCCACATGTTGCTGGGCCTTGCCCAGAGTTCAGCTTCTCAGTTGGGATCCCTGGAGGGCTCTTCCCATTGCTCTGGGTCTCTGGGGGGTGTATTTGCAAGTCCCATCTCCTCAAATTTTACCTACAGACACTTTTTTTCTTTCGAGATGGGGTTTCATTCTGTCACCCAAGCTATAGTGCATTGGCATGATTTTGGCTCACTACAACCTCCACATCCTGGGATCAAGCCATCCTCCCATCTCAACCTCCTGAGTAGCTGGGATTACATGCACCACCACGCCTGGCTAATTTTTGTATTTTTTATAGAGACAGGATTTCGCCATGTTATCCAGGCTGGTCTCAAGCTCCTGGGGTCAAGCAATCTGCCCCTGCCTCAGCCTCCCAAAGTGCTGGGATTACAGGTGTGAGCCACCACGCCCGGCCCCTACAGACATTTTAATATCATTGTCTATATTTAAAAAAAAAATCAGATGTTTAACTTTTCTTAAAACCAAAAGAACTGGGAAATTTGGTCCCACGGGTCTTCATGGAGGTAAGGAGCAGCTTCTCCCCTTACACTGACCAGGTGTTCTCCAGTTTGCCACAGTCCTCCCCATCCCCTGTCATATTCCACCCTGGCCCATGTCATGCACTTTTCTTGCCCACCTGGCACCTTCACGAAGGTGAGTCCGTGAGACCTTTACAGTGAGAGAGCTGAGCCCAGGCCTCCAAGGGGTAGGGGCAGTTCACCTGGAAGGAGGAAGACAGGGGAAGGACTTCTCTTTATCTGGGATGCTCTATGTTCCAGGCAAGATATCCAGCACAGGCAGTAATGATCTGAAAAAGATGGGCTCTGCTCACAGCCTAGTGAGGGAGACAGATGTGTAAATCCCAGCATCTCTGTCTTTCCCATGGCTGTAGTGTGGTTCCTTTGATTCTCCAAATCTCATGTTGAAGTGTGATCCCCAGTGTTGGAGGTGGGGCCTAATGGGAGGGGTTTTGGTTATTGGGGTGGATCCCTCATGAATGGCTTGGTGTGTCCTAATGGTAATCAGTGAATTCTTGCTCTATTAGTTCCTGAAAGAGCTGGTTACTAAAGGGAGCCCAGTACCTCCCTCCCTCTTCTGCTCCTTCTCTCACATGTGATCTCTGCACACAACAGCTCCCTTTCACCTTCCGCCATGAGTGGAAGCGGCCTGAGGCCCTCTCCAGAAGCCCAAGCAGATGTGGTCACCATGTTTCTTGTACAGCCTGAAGAGCCATGAGCCAAATAAACCTCTTTTTTTATAAATTTCCCAGCCTCAGTCATCCCTTTCTAGCAACACAAATGGACTAAGACACCACCGAAGTGCCCAAGATGGCAGAGTACAACCATCTCATGCCACTGAGATGAAAGTTCTGGAGAGGAGTTGGAAATGAGCTATGAATGTGAACATGATATTTCTTGCAAGCCTCATGTTCTCACATGAAAATAGGCATAAAACTTTTATATTCAACCTCTTCATATTAAAAAAAAAAGTTTTACTCAAAAAATAAAAAATTTTAAAAAGGCTGGGCGTGGTGGCTCACACCTGTAATGCCAGCACTTTGGGAGGCTGAGGCAGGTGGATTGCCTGAGCCCAGGCATTTAAGACTAGCCTGAGCAACATGGTGAAACCCCATCTCTACTAAAAATACAAAAAAAGGAAAAATTAGCTGGGCATGGTGGCAGGCATCTGTAACCCCAGCTACTCAGGAGGCTGACACAGGAGAATCGTTTGAACCTGGGAGGTGGAGGTTGCAGTGAGCCGAGACCACACCATTGCACTCCAGCCTGGGCAGCAGAGCAAGACTGTCTGAAATAAATAAATAAGTAAATAAATGAATAAATAAAAAGAAGTTTTATACAATTGAGATTCCAGCAAAGTGAGCCTTGTTTATCCTGAAACCTCCTGTGTTCTCCTGACAAATGGAGGTGAACCCCAGGAGTTATAGGTACCCCACTTTGCGAAGCAGACATAAAATAGAAAATGATAATGAATGTAGTAAGTCCTGTACCAGACACTGTCCTGTGTTGCGACATTTGCACTGGCTCTTTGACTGCCTGGAAGGATCTTACCCCCAGATGCCTCCATGGCTCACTCTTTCATCTCCACGTTTTTGTGCAAGCATCACGTCAATGCAGCTCATTGTCGTCACCCCATCTAAATTGCCACTGCCCCTTCTCTGCAACACTCCTACAACTCTTTATCCAATTCTTTTTTTCCTCCATGGCATTTGTCACTTTTTAATCACCTTAAATACTTTTCTGATGTCTTGTGCTTACTGTTTATTTCCCCCTCTGGAAATTAAGCTCCACAAGAGCTGGCATTTTTGTCTGATGTGTTCATTGCTGCATCTCCAGCTCCTAAGACAGAAACTGGCATAGAGCAGGACTTTAAGGAGTATTTTTAAAGAAATGAATGAATAAATGAACAAATGGATGGTATATCCTCTCCTGGGAGGGAGGACACTCGAGCAGACTTGATCACAACGTTGTACATCTGCTTTGTCTAGAAAGGTAAAATATGAAAGTACATGAGGGCTTTTGAAGCCAAAGGACTAAAGGACCATGAGAAACAAGATATAATCTCACTTTGTTCCCCATGCTCTGAATCCTTCTGAGGCTAACCCATCTACCTGCAGTCCCAGACCCTCCCGCCACTGGCCCAGGCTACCTGCAGCTCAAGGCTGGACTACACCACAACTTCCTGGACACATCATCACCCGTCCTTGCCTGCTTCCTCCACACTTCTCCCCACCCAAGGCTGGTGCCAGAACAGACAGCATTTTCTGAATTAGAAAAGGGCACCCCCTAGGGGTTTGTAGCCCCACAGGCACAGGACTTGGTAGACTGACATATGCTGATATTGGATGAACCTGCAAAATTGACCCCACTCTGACTGCAAGCAAGATGCCCCATGCTGTGTCCCTTATACAAGACACAGCCCTGCACGACTGTTGCTTGGCAGCCCTGTGAACATCCCATCATGGCCAGAATTTTTTTCCAGCAATTCAGGTGTGCAATAAATGTCACAGTACTTTATTTGTCTAAAATCAAATTAAATCTGACTCTAATCCCCCCATTTCCCCAGGCTGGAGGGAAATTCAATCATTATTGAAGCTCTCCTCCCACAGTTTGAACAGTTTCCTGGAGGGTCTTAGGAAATAAAAGGAGTAAGTCCTTTAGATGGATGCTGATGCCCAGGTCTGTGCATGTTGGGGAGAGGAGACACAAGAAGGGTAACATTCCCAGAAAAGTTTGGAGGACCAGCACCACAGACCATGGGGCCAGCATGAGCTGTGTCAAAGGCCAGGACTGTACTGTGAGGTTGGAGGAGGGACCTATGCTTTGTTTAAGGTGATGAGTTCATTCTCATATTCTTGCCCTGAAACATATTCAGAGACAGCTATTTGATCATCCACCCATCCATCCATTCATCCATCCATCATTCAACAAATACACATTGGGTTTCTACTTTGTGCTAGACCCAGGGGATATATTGCTGAAGGAAACAGATGCAGTCCCTACTTAACTAGAGCATGCAGGTAGCAGGGAAACAGATAATATGTAAACAACCAAGTGAATATATTGTTATAAATGGTGATCAATGCTTTAAAAGAAAAAGGAGGATGCTATGCAAGAGAATAACTAGGTAGTTCAGGGCAGCCTTACTGAGGCAATAGGTGAGCCGACACCTAGGATGTGACAAGAAGTGAGACAGGCAGAGTGGGTGTGGAGCCTTCTGACCAGCAGGGCAGCAGGAGGAAGGTTCTGCAGCAGGAAAGAGTCTGGGTATGGATGCATTTTTCTCAAGACTGGGGCCACCGCCTTCATCAGGCTCTCAAATTGACCTTGACATCCACTGACTTTAAGAGCCCTAAGCCTTGTCTGCTTTTATTCTTTTTTTTTTTTTTTTGAGATGGAGTCTCTCTGTTGCCCAGGCTGGAGTGCAGTGGTGCGATCTCAGCTCACTGCAACCTCCACCTCTTGGGTTCAAGTGATTCTCCTGCCTGAGCCTCCCAAGTAGCTGGGATTACAGGTGCCTGTCACCACACCCAGCTCATTTTTGTACTTTTAGTAGAGACAGGGTTTCACCATGTTGTCCAGGCTGGTCTCGAACTCCTGGCCTCAAGTGAACTCCTCGGCCTCTCAAAGTGCTGGGATTAGAGGTGTGAGCCACTGTACCTGGCCTACTTTCATTCTTTATATATATGCACACTCCCGAGGAAGACTGATGTCATGAAGCAAACTCCAGGACTGAAAATCTCAGGGGTAGAGTGCTGTTTCTATGATGTGGCATTTTTACAGGCTCTCTTTCATCCCTTTCTTCTTGCTCGCCCTCCCTCCCCACCTCCCATCCTGACCCCCGCTGAAACACACAGTCACGGGACAGGTCCTCAAGCAGGTACAACTCAAAATGCTAGAGCAATGGAGCAGCAGGATTGTGAGGGAGAAACACAGCTTATAAACTGTCTCCCAACCCAGGCAGGTGCCAGTGAAATGTTTGACAGCTCAGGAGATGGATCGGCAATACGGGTTGGGCAACACTTCCAGGGCAGAACTGAAGCCATCCTTCCTGGGAACGGCCTCATAGATAGCCTGCAAACGCTTGTCAGCCCAGCCTCCAAACGCTGTCCCTTGCCATCTCGGTTTCCTCATGGCTCCACTCCAGGCCTCCAGGCCTCTGGGGGCTCTGTATTGAGCTGGAGTCAGCCTAGGGAGGCTCAGACCCCTGAACACTAGACCCAAAGGAAGACCTCAGGCAGAGGAAATGCCATGAAAGAAATCGCAGCGGGAGAGATGACTTAGCAAGGGTTTCCAACACATGCTTCTCTGGTTCCTTGAGGTGCACTTAAACTACTATTTTAATAAAATACTTAATACAATTTTACAAAGACCACACGCATTGTGTTTTCCATATGCCAGAGACTGTGCCCAATCTACAAACAAGTCAATGCATGTAGATAGATGTCAACCTATATGCATTGACTCATGTAATCCTCAGGACATCTTATAAGTTAGGTGTTATTAGCTCAGTTTAGAGATGAGCACACTGAGGCGGGAGAGGGTGCAGTCAAGGAGCTGAGACACAGCAGAGTGAGGCCATCTGGGCTCTCCAAGAAGCAGGTGCTGAGACAGAGTTGGAAGACAAGGAGCTGAGAGGAGATAATGCCTATGAAAGGAAAGAGGCAGAGGCAGGAAGCTGGAGCCTCAGACAGCTCTGTAGGCTTCACAAGGTTGGATGCAGGAGCTGCAAAGCAAAGGATGCCCATCAGAGTCCCGGGTTGAGTGGAAACTGCCAGACCAGGCTACCACCACCTTGCTTAGGACTAGAGGCTGTTCCAAAAAGAACAGGACCTCCCATCAGAAGTTGACGCAGATCCTGAAGGAGGTAATAGCTAGGCACATTCCTCACAGCTGCACAGAGGGTCCTTTCGTGAAGGGAGATCTGAGCGGTACTTCCCGGTGTCCACCATACAGAGATAGCATTTGAATCCTGTTCTTCTGCAGGCCAAGCAACTAACCCCTACGGGAGCCTGCTGCCACTTCCCTAAAGCCTAAAGCCTGAAATGCAGAAGGAACCTCTGAGAGCCTGCTGTCCACCTGCCTCCCTGTAGAGATGAGCTACAGAAGTTAAGCAACCGGGCCAAGGCCACACAGCAAACCAGTGGTGGGGCTGGGTCTCTTTTCTCAGAGACAGGACACCAACTAGATTCCTGTGCTGTCTTTCTCCAGGTTTGTCCTGGAACTCGGGTCCACAGGCCTGTGATTTGGAAAAGCAGCCATCTGATTCTGGCGCCATCCCCACATGCTCTCAGGGACCCTCTGTCCTGAGAAGCAGGGGAAGATTAGGCAAAATCTGAGTTCTCTCACATCCCCAAGCTCTCTTAGCCAGTTGGAGTAAATGCACTGGGGAGGCTTTGAGGCAAAGGCCAATGGAGGCACACAGGGGAAGGGAATCAGGAGTCAAGGAAGGCTTCCTGGAGGAGGAAACGCTGTCGCTGAGTCTTGAAAGATGAGTAAGTGTCTGAGTGGGGAATGATTGGGCAGGGAGGACAAGCTGAGGTGCAGGACAATGTCAGCAGAGATGTAACAGGAAGAAAGAGTAGCCCACTTTCTGGAAACTGCTGATGGTTTATGCAGCCAGGGTGTCATGTTCACAGCAGAACAACAAGAGGGGCACTGGACAGGTAGGCATGACCAGATAATGAAAGGACTTCGAGGGAAGGGCAATGGGGAGCCAGTGGAGATTGTAGAGAGAGGAAAGACATGGTCAGATTTGTGTTTTGAAAAGCTCTTTCTAGCAGCAGTGAGGAAAGTGCATTAAAAGGAAATAATACTAGAGGCAGGGGGACTTGGAAGGAGCCTGGGGCGGCACCTGAGCAAAGACGAAGGATTCGAACTTACAGCCCAGCAATCCATTGATGGGAGAACCTACCCTGGCACCCTGTCTAGTCCCTGGGTGAGTGATGGGGGCTGCCATCACTGCGAGAGTGATGCAGGAGGAAGACCACACTGTGGAGTTGACGAGACAGTGAATTTACTTGTGGATGAGTTAAAGGTAACAATATATGTGCAACCTCAGATAGGAAGAAACCCCCTAAGAAATTAGGTGTTTATGAAGAGTTTTCATGGCTGAAGGGAGATGTGTGGGACCTATGAAGGGACCAGTGGAAGTTAGAGCCAGAATATTACAAAGTGAAAACATGCAGAGCCAAAAGAAGAGAAACTGATGATTGCAACCATGGAAAAGGCCAACTGTTGCAGATCAGTAGAAGGAGACCCAGCAACGCACTGGGAAGGAATAACCAGATGAAGGAGTGTGGGCCAGACATGGTGGCTCACGCCTGCAATCCCAGCATGTTGGGAGGCTGAGATGGGCAGATCACTTGAGGTCTGCCTGGCAGACCTTGAGGTTTGCCGGGACCAGCCTGGCAAATATGGCAAAACGCGGTCTCTACTGAAAATGCAAAAGTTAGCTGGGCATGGTAGCCCATGCTTGTAATCCCAGCTACTGAGGAGGCTGAGACACGAGAATCTCTTGAGCCTGGGAGGTGGAGTTTGCAGTGAGCCGAGATCACGCAGTGGCGTGATCTCCAGCCTGGGTGATAGAGCAAGACTTCCATCTCAAAAAAAAAAAAAAAAAAAAAAGGAGAGTGACCAAGAAAGCATATCCTGGCTTGGAAATCAGGGAGAGTATGTGATCCAACACCATCACTGCGCTGAGAAAACAGGACCAGCCTGGAGAGTCCTAGTTTGGTGATTTCACAGCAACTGCAGAGAGAACCTGGAGGCTGACAAGATGCAAGGAGGATTAGCAACGTCAAATGCTGGCCTTGCTGTCAACCAGTGCAAGGACATAGCAGCACCTATTGGATTTAGCCATTGTCAGGGAGAGGAAATGGGTGACAGCAATTGAAGTGTCCATGGAATGTGGGAACAGAAGTCTTTGAGGAGTGAGGGAAAGAAAAAGAAGTGAAGACAGTTAAGAATGGCCTTTCTTTCAAGGACCAAGCAAAATAGAAGTTGCTGGAGGATGGGCAGGGCCAAAGAATGTCTTCCCTGTGGGTTTTTTATTTTTATTTTTATTTTATTTTATTATTTATTTATTTATTTATTTGAAATGGAGTCTTGCACTGTCACCCGGGCGTGTGTGCAGTGGCGCGATCTCAGCTTGCTGCAACCTCCGCCTCCCTGGTTCAAGCAATTCTCCTGCCTCAGCCTCCCAAGTAGCTGGGATTACAGGCATGTGCCACCATGACCAGCTTTTTTTTTTTTTAATTTTTAACAGAGACGGGGTTTCACTATGTTGGCCAGGCTGGTTTCAAACTCCTGACCTTGTGATCCACCCGCCTCGACAGAGTCTTGCTCATTTAGCTGCACTCCAGGCTGGAGTACAGTGACCCAATCTTGACTTACTGTAATGTCCACCTCCCGGATTCAAGCGATTTTCCTGCCTCAGCTTCCCAAGTAGCTGGGATTACAGGTGTGTGCCACCATGCCCAGCTAATTTTTGTGTTTTCAGTAGAGATGGGGTTTCACCATGTTGGCCAGGTTGGTCTCAAACTCCCAATGTGCCGGGATTATAGGCGTGAGCCACCACACCCAGCCTTACTCTGTGTTTTTTAAGTCTTTGTATTCATTCCCTTTTTGCATAAATCCATTTCACATAATATTACCTAAGTGAGTAAATGTAATTATATGCATGCTTTTATTTATTTTATTTATAGCCTCTTTCCTTCCCTAACATTATACTCCCAACACTAGACAATTCATGTTAACAACCTACCATGTTTCTTTGCCTATTTTTCTCTGCGTTCATAAAATCCAATCCAGATGTGGAATAGGGTCAGTGTTCTGCAGAAACCACAGTAAGGCTTTTGCTGGTCATGAAAATATTGCAATGTGTCTATATCAGTTGGTAAGTAGCTAATTTCTTGGACATTTAGATCCTCCCTCCCCACCAGCCTATCCTGGGATATCAAATGGTCATGGTTGCTCAATAGTATGACTGCAGTATGTGTGTGTGTGTGTGTCCCTGCACATGAATATGTGTGTGTGTGTCCCTGCACATGAATATGTATGTGTGTGTATATGTTTATATATGCATCTGGGGGGGGGGACACATAAACCTGGGGTCATATTATACATGTCTCTACCTTTTGCTGTTTGACACTCAGCCATGCCTTGTGGAAATCCCTCCTAGTCACCTGATGTGGTTCTTTGTCTTCCTAATGGCTACATAATAATCCATAATGTGGACACCCCATAATATATCCAGCCATTCTTTTTGTTTGTCCAAGTGATTTGGTAATGCATATAGGCCATGAACTGGGACCTAGGAGAGAAAGGATGGAAGAAAGGAGATATTAAAGATGCAGAAGAGAGAAAGGAGGAGGGAGCGAGGCATCCCTGAGAAGGTGGGAAGGAACAGGGAGAGGGACTGCCCATGGCCGGGTGGGATCGTGCCTGCACACAGAGCAGAGTGTACAGCAGCTGAGAACGAGTTGTGCTCCCGCATTCTGACTGCCCATCAGTGCACTCTCCCTCCCATAGCCTGGGTGAGCTTTATAAGTGACAGGAGCTGATTGTGCCACTCTCTCTGCTCAACAACTTCAAGGATAAAGACCATCTCCCTTACCACAGCCATGGATGGCCCAGCTTCTGCTTCCCTCTGCAAACTCAGGCTGTGTAATCTCACCATTGCTTCCTGAGCTCCAGCTGCTCTGGCTTCCTTTCTGCTCTTAAAGTTGCCTTGCTTCCTCCTGCCCCAGGGCCTTTGCACATGCTGTTTTTACCACTGGGCATGCTCTCCCACTGTTCTCCTTTCAGTTAATCTCCTGGGAGGGTCTTGGAAAAATCCTCCAAATATTGCCGGCCACTCTTTTAAGACCACCGTGTAATGGCGTTCATGTGTTATATGAGGTTAATAAGTTCTGACAGTATTCTAAATAAAGTAAACTAAAACCTCCACTTACTTCTAATAAAATGCTTGCATATCTGTGGTGGGAAAGGGGAATTATTCAGTGGCTAAAGGTCTTTTTAGTGGCAGCTCATTTCTGTTTCAGAATTATACTTGCTTGCTTTTCTGATGTATGGATATAGAAATGTCTCTATAAATAGATTAAAGAAAAACCTGTCCATCAACAATCCAAACTGAGGAAGGAAAGCCTGAGACTGAAAGTCATCACAAATCTCTAGATCTCTTCCCCAACAAAGCGAGATGAGGCGTCCCCTCCCCAAACCCTCACTCCTAAACTAGTTCTTCTAGCCAAAGCTCAAGGATAGCCATCTCCATTATTTTTCCCAAAAAGACCCTCATAACTACTGACTGTTTTCTAACACACACACACACACATATGCGCACACACTCACATTCTATCTCTCTCACACACACACAGAGACACACACACACAGATAGTAGCTAGCATTACAGCTATAAGAAGTAAAGTAAGATAAATGACAAAGTGGGTTTTTTTTTTTTCAGTCTTGATATCTGATGGTTTCTGGTTTTTTAGAAACTTACCATAGGAAATGAGCTTGCCTAGAGGTGGTAGCCACAGGGTGGAAGCCCCAGTGTAGCCGAGCCATAAAGCACCTGCATGATGCTCTCTCGTGCCCTGGACCTCAGATCAGCATTATTTCCTTGGGGAAGCCCTTCCCCACCCCCTCCATTGGTCAGGACTTCCTGCCAGGCTCCCTGAAGCTCCCAGGACTTCGTGGCTTATAACAGTTCTTAATAACATGCTTATGGTGTGATAATGTGATTTCTTCTAGTTTCCCTCCCCTTCCAAACTGTAAGCTCGACGAGGTGGGAGCTTTGCCTTTCATATTCATAGCTGTGTTCTTAGCACCTTTCACAATGTCAGACATTATAGTATATGCTCAATAAAGTTTTTGAACTAATACAAAAGGATAAAAGGAGGAAGGAAGGAAGAAAGGAAGAAGAGAAGGAGGAAGGAAAGAGGAAGGAGGAAGGGAGGGAGGAAGAAACAAGGAAGGAAGAAAAGAAGGAGGGAGGGAGGGAGAAGGGAAGAAGAAGGGAAGGAGGCAGGAAGGAAGAAAAGAGGAAGGGAGGGAGGGAGAGCAGGTAGTGAGAAAGGAAGAAGGAAGGAAGGAAGAAGAAAAGAGGGAGGGGAAAGGAAGAAAGAAGGAAGGAAGAAAGAAAGAAAGGAGGAAAGAAGGAGGGAGGGAGAAAGGAAGAAGGGAGGGAGGGAGGGAGGAAGGAAGGAAGGAAGGAAGGAAGGAAGGAAGGAAGGAAAATAGGAAAATAAGGAAATCATGGAAGTCTGTGGCCGACAGAGACCTCCTATCTTCATCACTCACACCCTAGTGTTGCAATCAAGATTTGACCCCTTTGATGGCTGCATGCAGGGAACACGTGGAGAGCTTTTTAGAGATATTGATTCCCAAGCCTCACCCCCAGACACTGATTCAACTGTCATGGCAAGGCCCAGGCAGGGAGCATCATCAGGTATACTGTAAAGACTCCATGGGTGATTTTTACAGGCACATACACACCTGGGGTAGAGGAAACGATGAGTTCCTAGCTCTGTGCATGCTCACAAAGGGGAGAACAAAAGCCTTGTTGGAAGCCTCCTCCTGCACTCACAGGCCCTGAAATCAAAGTTTGAGATGGGAGACTGAAGACTTAAGGCCTGACTCATGCTGAGAACTGGGGTAGAAACCTCACCTCATGTCTGAGTTTCAGTCTTATCTGAGAAATAGAGGTTTCTTTCTTCCCTTCCTAAATCCCATCCATCGTGTTCACCATTCTTTGCTAGTAGGATTGGGAGGTTGCTTTCCTAGCAATCCCAGGCCAAATCAGCCAAGGGCCTTCTGCCCAACCTCACTCTACAGAGCTTTGAGGGAGGGGATCCCCAACTCTGCAGCCTTGACTTGGTGGGTGGGAGGACTAGGTCTTGCCCTGTACTCTTCCTCCTCCTCTTCCTCCTGTTCTTTCCATAGTGAGGGTGGAGGAGGAAAGATCAGATGGGTCTTTCCAAAACACTTATATGCCTGAGGCTCTTTAGGTACATTATTGTATTTTGTCCTCTTCCAGGTAGGAACCATTGTCCTCCCATTTTACAGATTCAAGAAACTGAGGTTCAGAGATGTTTTGATTTGCTCAGAGATGCCCAGTGCAGGAATGAAGAGCCAGTGGGCTTGATCTATGTTGACTTGGAATTACATGAGACTTCCAGGAGTCCATGTGGCCTCCAGAAACAAGCCTGGGCTATCCCCTGAGTCCTCCCCAACCAGGTAGGGCAGTGGCCCAAAAGGGCTCAGAGGCAGGGGCTGTGTCTCAGACAGCACAGTTCAAATTCTGACTCTGCCACTTCCTACCTGGCCAACCCTGGGCAAGGGCCCTCACATTTCTGACAACTCTGAGCATTTTCATCTGAAAGAAAACAAAAAGAAGTTTTTAACTGCAAGAGGAAACAAAAGCAGAGGAAGGGTGTTATAATAAAAATTGCCAATTGCATTATTACATCACAGAAAGTAAAGTAAATTTTCTTTTTTTGAGACAAGGTCTAGCTCTGTCACCCAGGCTGGAGTGCGTGGCACAATCATGGCTCACTGTAGCACTGACCCTGGACTCAGGTGATCGTCCCACAGGTGTGCACCACCACACCTAGCTAATTTTTGTATTTTTTGTAGAGATAGGGTTGCCATCTGGTCTGGAACTCATGAACTCAATGGATCCACCCACCATAGCCTCCCAAAGGGCTGGAACTACAGTGATGAGACACTGTGCTAGGCCTCATTAATTGTTTAAAGCATATTAGCCACCTCACCAAACAAGATATATAGGTGGCAAGTAACTAAATGAAAAGATGCCACATATCATATGCCATTAGGGAATTGCAAATTAAAACAATGAAATACCACTACACACCCATTAGAATGGTCAGAATTCAGAACACTGACACCACCAAATTCTGGCGAGGATGTGGAGCAACAGGATCCCTCCTCATTCATCGCTGGTGGGAATGCAAAATAGTACAGAAACTTTGGAAGATAAATTGGCAATTTCCTACAAAACTAAACATGCTCTTACCATATGATTCAGCAATCACAGTCTTTCATAGTTACTCGAAAGAGTTAAAAACTTATGTCCACATAAAAACCTGCACAGGGATGTTTATAGCAGCTTTATTCATAATTTTCAAAACTAGGAAGCAACCAACACATCCTTCAGTAGGTGAATGGATAAATAAACTGCGACACAACCCGACAATGGAATATTATTCAGCACTAAAAAGGAATGTGTTATCAAGCGATGAAAACACATGTAGGACCCCGCCATGCATGTTATTAAGTGAAAGAAACCAAACTGAAAAGCCCACATACTCTATGATCCCAATTCTATGACATTGTGAAAAAGGCAAAACTGTGGGAACAGTAAAAAGATCACTGGCTTCCCGGGGCTAGGGAGGAGAGAGGGATGAAGAGGCAGAGCACAGAGGATTTTTAGGGCACCAAAACCATTCTGGATGATACTACAGTGGGGGATCCACGACTTTATTCATTTGTCCAAACTCAGAATGTACAAGAGTGAGAGTGAACCTCAGTGAAAACTATGGACTTTGGGTGATCATGATGTATCCAAGCAGCTTCCTCCATTGTAATTCATGTACCACTGTGATGGGGGATTTCGATAACGGAAGCTCAAGCTCCCATATGCATGCGATGGGGCAGGGGAATTAGAGGAAACATCTGTTCCTTCTGCTCAATTTTACTGTCCACTAAAAATGCCCTAAAAAATAAAGTCTATTAAAGAAAAACTTGCATACACATACATACTAATTAGGTCAGCGTTCCCAAGTTTGCCATAACACTTACTATAAAGCCCAAACACCACAGCACAGCACACATGGCCCTGCACCCAGGTCCCACCCTCCACTTTTCCTCCCTACTCTCCAGCCACTCTGGCCTCCTCTGTTCCCCCATTCCCACCAGCCCTTTGCTAGCTGACTTCCCCTCCCTCTTCCTGCAGATCCGTCTCCAGCTGGTTCCTACCCATCATTCCCATCTCAGCTCAAGTGACACCTCCTCAGTGAAGCCTTCTGTGATCACCTTTCTAATACTCCCACACGCACTTACCACCATGCTTTATCACACTG
Organism: Homo sapiens; assembly: GCF_000001405.40. NCBI lineage: Eukaryota > Metazoa > Chordata > Mammalia > Primates > Hominidae > Homo > Homo sapiens. The sequence goes on from NC_000016.10 coordinate 26,806,208, forward strand.
CTTTTATTTTCTCAGTGATATGGAGTTGCTACCAGAAACCCTCTTGCTTGCATATTTATGGGGGCACTTGGTTATCGTCTTTCTTTCTCCTTTGGTGTATAAAGCTGAGGCCTCCTCTATCTTGTTCAGCATTTTATCTTCAGCCTCTAGAAGTGTGTTTGGCTCACAGCTGGTGCTCTATAAATATTTGGGGAAAGAGTGCTTGAAATGAGATCAAGTACGCTGAATGCTTGACAAAGAGCAAGCGCTCAGCCTCACCCACACCAAGGCTGCCCAAAGGCTGCTCTGATGCTTCTTGGCTGTCCTCCCACGGGGTCTAGGATTCTGCCATTGTCATGAAAGCAGCCACAGGCAATACATACATGAATGGGTGTGGCTGTTTTCCAATAAAGCTTTATTTAAGAAAATAGGCTGAGGGCTGGGTTTGGCCCATAGGTCCTAGTTTGCTGATTCCTGATCCAGGACAGTCTCCTCTGGGGTCCCTCTTGTATGAAATGGAAGTTTCAGGGCAGGAACTAGCATTTGCAAAGCAGCTATGTCTCAGTCAAGGCCCCTGAAACGGTGCGTCTCAGCAGGACCCTGGGCGTGAATTACAACAAAGTTACAGTTCATAAACTTTATTGTTCAGCAGGGCTTTGACCCCAACTTTGCTTTCTGCTGATTTTTTCAAAGAGCCTTGGAGGTGGGCTCAGTGCCGTGATCACTGATGCATCAGGGAAAGGGAGCTTGCACGTTTAATTAAGTGTTATTCAAGAAATAAAATTCGGGCCCTCAGCTGACAATGCAGAATATTAAAGCATCAATTTCCTGAAGGAAACCTGCCTTAATGAGATTCTCCAAATAAATGAAAGGTGTGGGGTGAGGAACATATTAATCCCAGCTGCTAATGTCAGCCCCATCAACCCAGAGAGATGTCTTGATCAACAAAAACTGATGGTATCAGTTAACTGTGGGAAAAAAAAAAAAGGGTCTTAGACTCTGCTGAGTCATCTCTAGTCCCAAGGCAGCCAGACTCTTGGAAAGAAGACCCTTCATTCCCATTGAGCCCCTAGAGTGAGGTGAAGCCATAGCAAGTTGTGTCCTTACAACCAAAGGAGGTAATAAGTGATGAGAGCAGAGCTGGTTGAGGACTGGAGTGGAATGCCACAGTGCTCTGCCCTGGTCGTGTCCCAGGCAACCCTTTCATTAGTGACTTGGAGAAATATAAAGACAGAGGGAGATAGTGACCTCATTTGTTGAGTTCAACTTGCTGGAGTTCAATTAATTTATGTAAGATATCTGAAATCCTTAGAACAAAATAAGTGTCTAACAAATGTTTCATTTTCTTGCCTAACCCTTCATCCCCCTCCTTCCCCCCAGAAACCAATGTGAATAAGATGTATTTATTCATCAAATAACATCTTCGTGACTTTTGCCATTTTTAGACTCTGTGTTCTATTAACAATATATTATCTTTAATTTGACTCATTTATTATCTAAAAAAATACATTTTAAAGGATACTTTATATCGCTACTGTAAATGAAAAACTGGTTTTACTTGTCACCATTAAAACGTAGCCATAAAGACAAATGCAATGAAAATGAAACATTGTTATTGTGGCTAAATGTCATTGCTAGATAAAAGCTGTGAGCCAGAGTTTCACTGTCTCTTTGTTAATGAGAGAGATGAACAAAAGTTGGAAAAATGTTAAAAATACACAAGAGCCAACTGAGACTTTATTACACTATCAGCTGTTCAGTGATGTTTAAGGTCATGTCTACGAGCCATGACCTATGCCTTAAGTCAAACTGAATCTGTTACTGTTGCTTACACTCAAAGACCGCCAGTTGATATACAGTCTCTTGATTGACAGCTCTCCCAATATCTCTGGACCTACCACTTCTGCTTCCAAATGCCACAGAAATGCTTCATTCCAGAACAAGAAATAAAACAAAGCTCTGTTCCAAGCACAGCCAGTTAAAAATATAGAGGCTGCTGAGGTCTTTCTTGTCTCAAATAAAAATGGTCCAGAATTCAGTGCAGAAGTGAATCCTTTCTGATTCGTTATCCCCAGATGCAATACCTGGTATCCAGTAGACATCAAATCCATTGGTGTTGGATGGTGGTTGATTAAATCCAGCACTCTGCCCCTCTACTACACAACCAAAAACACCTGCTGCTGTCTGGGAAGAAAGTTTCAGTGTATGTATTTTCCCATCTATTTCTGCACCTAGAGATCAGGGACATTTCCTAGAGTGATTGGAGAGAATGTCAATCTTTATTTTGGGTGGGATGCATCTGCTTTGGGGAAGTTTGATTGAATGTCCAATAGCCACTATTAGTCTTCACTGATTGCTAAATATAAAGAATCAGAAAAGACAATCAGATTGTGAAAAATCTCCCACATTTATTTTTGCAGTGCTGTTAAATCCATTTCTGATTAAAATAATTCATCACTTATCTATAACAAGCAGTACTGGATGGTTATCCATATGTGGAGCTGTCTTAGAAATAGGCACCAATTCAAAATGGTTTTTAATAAAAATACATTATTTTTAGCCAGCAATTTGGTTCCAAGAGCTGCTTGCTGACAAAGGAAAGGGAACTGTTCTGAAAGCCAGTGAATGTTTTTCCAGAAAATAAATTAGGCAGAGAACAGGAGAGGCAGCTAGCTCACAATGTGATACAAGTTCATGGTGCTTACCTTTGTTACAAGTTTCATTTTTCTTAATTTTTGGTGGGAGATGAGGGTGGGCTGTAGCTGTCGTTTTGTTTTTAATGAAGTTAATCAAACAGCCCCTGATAACCCAGGCTGGGTTTATAGTTTCCTTGAAAGTATCATGACTTGGAGAAAATTTTAGAAATAGCACATTATATGCCCACATTCAAAAAGTCCTTGGTGTGGCATTCGAGACCCTTCACAATCTAATCTCAACCCACCATTAGGGAATTTCCCCCAAATCTATGCAGCATTAAATCCTTATCTTTCTTCAGGATAGCAGGCATGATACGTTCTCTCTGAAAATAAAGGATGGAGGCAAGAAAACATTCATTGATGCTTTCATTTGCATAAAGAAAGTCTAGAAGGAGTGTCAGGAGACAAAAGAAAGTGGTTATATGGGGGAGAAGAGACAAGGAGGAGGGTGGGAAGTGAATGGATGATGGACAGCATAGGTGGAGGGAGGTATTTCACTATGCACCTTTTTTTGCCTTCAGATTTTTGGACTATGGGAATGTATCACCCATTCAGAAATGAAAGGTAAGGATGAAAAGGGGGAGGAAGGAAAAAAGGAAGGAAGGAAGGAAGAGGGAGGGAGGAATGAAAGAAGGAAGAAAGGAAGGAAAGAGGGAGGGAGGGAGGAAGGAAGGAGAAAGAAAAAGAAAGGAAAGAGAGAAAGAAAGAAAGACGGATGAAAGGAAGGAAGAAAGAGAGGGGGAGGGAGGAAGGAAGGGAAAGAAGGAAGGAGGGAGGGAGGGAAGGAAGGAAGGAGAGGGAGGAATGAAAGAAGGAAGGAGGGAGGGAGGGAAGGAAGGAAGGAAAGAAAAGATGGCAAAATGCAAGGGAGAAGGAGGAAGGAAGGGAAAGAAGGATAGAAGGAGGGGAGGAAGGAGGGAAGAAAAGAGAGGGAGGGAGGGAAGGAGGGAGGAAGAAAAGAAAGAAAGGAACGAAAGAAAGAGGGCAAGAAGGAAGGAAAGAGAGGGAGGAAGGAAGGAAGGAAGGAAGGAAGGAATGAAGGAAGGAAGGAAGGAAGCAATGAAGGAAGGAAGGAAGGAAGGAAGGAAGGAATGAAGGAAGGAAGGAAGGAATGAAGGAAGGAAGGAATGAAGGAAGGAAGGAAGGAATGAAGGAAGGAAGGAATGAAGGAAGGAAGGAAGGAATGAAGGAAGGAAGGAAGGAATGAAGGAAGGAAGGAATGAAGGAAGGAAGGAATGAAGGAAGGAAGGAAGGAAGGAATACCCATTATCACAGGAACATATTTTCAAGCCTTTGCACTTGCCATTCCCACTTCCTGGGATGACATGCTCAACCTCACACCCACATACACCTTTCCATATTTTAACAAGAAGACTCCTGTGGGTGCTTCAGAACCCAATTTACATATCACCTCTTCTGTGAGTACAACACCTGGGTAGAGTCCTCTGTGCTCCCAAAGCCCCTTGGTTAGGATGTGAACTGCCTTTTGGCAGAACTGCAAATTCCTTATCCTTTGCTGAAGTATCAGATCCTAGCATGCTGCCCAACACATAGTAGATGCTTAATAAATATTTGTTGAGGGAGCAAAAGAATGAATGAATGAGGAGGCATAAGGGGGATGGGTGGCTTAGCGGTAAGAGCATGGACTTTGTGTCAGGCAGACTGGACTAATAAGGGCTGTGTGACCTTGGAAACACAAATCGACCTCTCTGAGACCCAACCCAGCCCCTCAGAGGGTGTGGTAAAGATTCAATATGCTAACTCATGTGCAGTGAACATGCAGTGTTAGCTAAATTTTTTTTTTTCTAAAGAACAAACATTTATTTTCTTATAATTCTGGAGGCCAGAATTCTGAGAGGAAGCTCTTGACAGGGCTGGTTTCTTCTGAGGAGTCTCTCCTTGGTGTGGAGACATCTGTCTGCACCCCTTGTCCTCACTTAGTCATCCCTCTCTGGGTGTCTGTGTCCTCAACTCTCCTTCTTTTCTGTATTTTTTAACTGAAAATAAAAATTGCATACACACACACACACACACACACACACACACATGCACACACACACACATATGTATATGGTGTATGATGTGATGTTTTGAAACACATATACATTGTGGAATGGCTAAATTGAGTCAACTAATGTATGTATTATTTTACATAGATTTTTGTGACAAGAACAATTAAAATCTAGTCCTCTGGCAATTTTCAGGTATACAAAACATTGCTATTAGCTAGAGTCACCATGGGTAGAACTGCTCTCCTGAGTGCTCCTCCCTAAGTGAAATTTTGTGTCCTTTGACCAGCGACTCTCTTCCCCCTGCAGCCCCGGTATCCACCATTCTACTCTCTGCTTCTATGAGCTCGACTTTCCCGAGAGTGAGATCACGCAGTGTTTGTCTTCCTGTGTCTGGCTTATCTCACTTAACATAACGTCCTCCAGTTTCATCCATGTTGTGGCAAATGACAGGATTTCCTTCTTTCTGATTGCTGTATAGTACTCCAAGGTATATATAAAGAACATATAGTTCTGATTATTACATACTCATATATATAATGTTGGGGTTACAATATATATGTAATGTACAGTGTATATATATATATAAAAATATACACACACTATACATACATAGTAGTATATATATACATGCATAGTAGTATATATATACACACTCTGCCATATATAGTAGGGTATATATAGTATATATCACATAGCTGTATACATAGTATATATCACATAGCTGTATACATAGTATATATCACATAGCTGTATACATAGTATATATCACATAGCTGTATACATAGTATATATCACATAGCTGTATACATAGTATATATCACATAGCTGTATACATAGTATATATCACATAGCTGTATACATAGTATATATCACATAGCTGTAGATATAGTATATATCACATAGCTGTAGATATAGTATATATCACATAGCTGTAGATATAGTATATATCACATAGCTGTAGATATAGTATATATCACATAGCTGTAGATATAGTATATATCACATAGCTGTAGATATAGTATATATCACATAGCTGTAGATATAGTATATATCACATAGCTGTAGATATAGTATATATCACATAGCTGTAGATATAGTATATATCACATAGCTGTAGATATAGTATATATCACATAGCTGTAGATATAGTATATATCACATAGCTGTAGATATAGTATATATCACATAGTTGTAGATATAGTATATATCACATAGTTGTAGATATAGTATATATCACATAGTTGTAGATATAGTATATATCACATAGTTGTAGATATAGTATATATCACATAGTTGTAGATATAGTATATATCACATAGTTGTAGATATAGTATATATCACATAGTTGTAGATATAGTATATATCACATAGTTGTAGATATAGTATATATCACATAGTTGTAGATATAGTATATATCACATAGTTGTAGATATAGTATATATCACATAGTTGTAGATATAGTATATATCACATAGTTGTAGATATAGTATATATCACATAGTTGTAGATATAGTATATATCACATAGTTGTAGATATAGTATATATCACATAGTTGTAGATATAGTATATATCACATAGTTATATATATGTATATATATATGGAGACAGTAGGGTATATATGCTCTGTCTCTATATATATGGTAGTATGATATATATATGGTAGTATGATATATATATACACTATATATGGTAGTATGTGTATATATACATATAAATACACATATAAATATGTATAGACATATACATATAAGATAGTATGTGTATATATAGTATATATATAAGATAGTATATGTATAAATATAAGATAGTATGTGTATATATGCATACACACACTACCATATATACTACATATATACTATATATAGTAGTGTGTAGTATATATAGTATGGACATGGTTAATGTGGACATGGATAGTGTGGACATGGTTAGTGTGGATATAGTGTAGACATGGATAATGTGGATATAGTGTGCACATGGATAGTGTGGATATGGATAGTGTGGATATAGTGTGGACATGGATAGTGTGGATACAGTGTGGACATGGATAGTGTGGATATAGTGTGGATATGAATAGTGTGGATGTAGTGTGGACATGGATAGGGTGGATATATTGTGGATATGGATAATGTGGATATGGAGAGTGTGGAGATAGTGTGAACATGGATAATATGGATATAGTGTGGATATCGTTAGTGTGGATATAGTGTGGATATGGATAGCGTGGATATAGGGTGGATATGGATAGTGTGGACATGGATAGTGTGGATACAGTGTGGATATAGTGTGGATATAGTGTGGACATAGTGTGGACATGGAGAGTGTGGATATGGATACTGTGGATATAGGGTGGATATGGATAGTGTGGACATGGATTGTGTGGATATAGTGTGCACATGGATAGTGTGGATATAGTGTGGATATGGATAGTGTGGATGTAGTGTGGACATGGATAGGGTGGATATATTACGGACATGGATAATGTGTATATGGAGAGTGTGGATATAGTGTGGATATCGTTAGTGTGGATATAGTGTGGATATCGTTAGTGTAGATATAGTGTGGATATGGATAGTGTGGATATAGTGTGGACATGGATAGTGTGGATATAGTGTGGACATGGGTAGTGTGGATATAGTGTGCATTTGGGTAGTGTGGACATAGTGTGGACATGGAGAGTGTGGATATGGATACTGTGGATATAGGGTGGATATGGATAGTGTGGACATGGATAGTGTGGATATAGTGTGGACATGGATAGCGTGGATATAGTGTGGACATGGTTAGTGTGGATATAGTATGGACATGGATAGTGTGGATGGAGTGTGGACATGGATAGTGTAGATATAGTGTGGACATGGATAGCATGGATATAGTGTGGTAATGGATAGCGTGGATATAGTGTGGACATGGATAGCATAGACGTGGATAGTGTGGATGTAGTGTGGACGTGGATAGCGTCGATATAGTGTGGACATGGATAGCACAGATATAGTGTGGACATGGATAGCGTGGATGTAGTGTGGACATGGATAGCGTGGATGTAGTGTGGACATAGATAGCGTGGATGTAGTGTGGACATGGATAGTGTGGATGTAGTGTGGACATGGTTAGTGTGGATATAGTGTGGACATGGATAGCGTGGATGTAGTGTGGACATGGATAGCGTGGATATAGTGTGGACATGGATAGTGTGGATAGAGTGTGGACATGGATAGGATGGATATAGTGTGGACATGGATAGTGTGGATATAGTGTGGATATGGATATCCACACTCATCCACATATAGTGTGAATATGGATATCCATCTCGTCCACTGTGAATAGTGCTGCAGTAGGCATGGGAGTGCGGATATCTCTTTGATATGCTGATTTACTTCCCTTTCGATGAATACTCAGTCATGGGATGGCTGGATTATATGTCATCTATACTTAGCTATATTATTGTGATTGGGTTTGTGGTGTGTGTTATCTCACTCTCTGACAATTGCCCCACACTGTCCCTGCCACCAGTTTGGACGTTCTTGGGCACGGGGGCCCTGACTGCTCCATCTCCATTGCATTTCTGCAGTGCCAGCCCCAAGCGAGAAATGGGGAGACAGTGAATGAAGAACCCTCATCAACAGAGAAGGAAGGGGCAGGTAGACAGAGTGGAATCACTGCTGCTGATAACTGGGACCCCAGAAATGCACAGCACCCTTAACTGGGAGTGACCAGAAGCTCAGTCTTGCAGCAAATGCCTCCAGGGGATTCAAAATGATTGAGAGCTGGGCCAGGAGCCATGTTTAGCCTGCCAGTGTGGTGCCCACTCACTTCCTCCTATTGGGAGGTGCCTTGGCCCTCAGCTCACCGCCTCTTTGCCCAGGGAGCCCCATCCTGGCATATCTTTCCCCTCGGTGTCAGCCTGCCCTAGTCCCTGTACATGAGCCTTGCAGGGTCCCGTGTCCCTCTACCTGGGCTTCAATCTTTCACAAATAATATGTGTCTCTCCTGTCGGACCAGCTCTTTGCAGGTATTGCCACATAAATGTTGTTTTCTCCAATTTACCAAGGGGAAAACTAAGTACCAAAGAGGTTAAATGACTCTCACAATTGCACAATTGTTATTAAAGAACAAAGCCAGGGCTGGGAGCAGTGGCTCCCGCCTGTAATCCCAACGCTTTGGGAGGCCAATGCGCGTGAATCGCTTTAACTCAGGAATTTCAGACCAGCCTGGGCAACTGGCAAAACCCTGTCTCTACCAAAAATACAAACATTAGTGGAACATAGTGGTGCATGTCTATAGTTCCTGCTACTTGGGGGCTGAGGTGGGAGGATTGCTAGAGCCTGGGAAGTTGAGGCTGCAGTGAGCAGTGCTACCACCACTGCACTCCAGCCTGGGCAATAGAGCAAGACCTTGTCTCAAAAAAAAAAAAAAGGATAAAGTCAGGACTTAATCATAGGTCTACCTGATTCCAATACAAGGACTTTTAACTCTTATACACCACACACTGCCTTCCCTATGAGAGATATAGCACAGACTCACTGATTATTACACTTATTCCACCATGATAGTGCCTTCAGGTAGCCTGTTTCAACTGGTTATGTAGCCCCAAAAGGCATCTCTTGCCACTTGTTTGAATACTTCTCCAAATATGGCGCTCACTCCCTCACCATCTCTTCTCAAGCTTGCTGTCACTGCACTGGTAGACAAGCTGATGCCCCTTGGATCTTTCCAGCTCTGTTCCAGCTCTGAGGGTCTCTGCTGGCCCCCACCTAGACTCCCACCTGCGGGGCTGAACCTGATATCCAGCTACAGAGGGAAACTTTCCTCTTCCATGCCCTGACACAGTGCTGGGCACACAACTGATGCTTAAAATGGCTGCTTCTGGGTTTTTGCCTAGGTGACCAGACCCCTGCAGGAAGGACTCTCCCTTCATCCCAGACTCTCTCTGATGCACTTGAATATTTCTTTAAATATAACTGTGTTGGTGCCTTCACAACTTACCTTGGGTGGCTGGGAGGGCAGACAACTCTGGATGAAGAGGTATTAATCACCCTGGATATGAGATTCCCATTCTCATTTGCTCTATCCACTCTTTCTTTTATTAAATTGTCACCGCGCATGTACTGTACTGGCACTGAAAACCCAGAAATAAATCAGACAGTCCCTGACCTCAGAGAGATTCCCATGGAATCAGGGTGATACAAAAAGAAACATATAACAAAAATGCAAAGTGGAAGGTGAACCGATCTCACCATAATTAATCAACACATTGCATCGTTCTTCATTGGATGCTGCCTGGCTGTGTACACAGAATGCTTTGAGAGAGAGGATGTCTGGATTTCTGATCACTGTTTTGGCCTTGGACACAGCCTGCACTCACTTAGTGGGTACTCATGGCTGACCTCATGAATGAACAAATGGATGTGAATGAATTAATGTCCTAGGGGTTTATACAACGTGTTGTTGGAACACAGAGGGCAGAAGCTAGCTACTTGGAAAGCAAAGTGTTGAAGGATAAATAGAAGTTCACTTCATGGATTGTGTGACAGTGGGTGTGCATATTCGGGGCGGGAAACTGGGGATGACGAGACAGTGATCCAGCAGAAGGAACTATGTGGACAAAGACAAAGAGATATGGTGAAGACTGGCATGTTTGGGGAATGATGAGTGTTTCACGATGACTGCTGAAAGCACTACAATCCTGTACAAATGCACTGGATTATATGAATGTTGAGGACAGCCACTCGGTCTGAAATATGACTTGCGGGCACTGAAAACCAGACCATGCCAGTTACACACTGCGCCCCGGGAGGGTCTGTGTCCACACCGGCCAGGAGCGAACTTCCCTCCTATCCCCTCTCCCTCTGTCCATCCTGGGTTCCCTGACCTGCAGACGTAACCTCGAGTGACTACCTGCCCTGGGATAGAGACTGTCAGTGCCTCCAGAGCAGACAGGCATGTGCTCAAATTCACGGCACTCTCTGGCAACTTGGCAGGTGATGCGCCCTTTCTGGGGTCTGACAGATCCCCAGGCTGCACATCATCGACCCGTGTGCCTACCCCCGCACACTGTGATTAGCCGGGGTGCGATGACAGCCGGCTGACATTAATTATCTGTGAGTTAGAGGCATCTAGGAGCACAAACAGAGGGCTGTCAGCAAAGCAAAGCAGCGTCATTATTGCTCCTGTGGCTTGCGGCTGGGACCTTGAGCAGTGACATGGGCCTTTCAGGTTCAAGGAGGGGTGGGCATGGCCAGCAGCCCTTCCCAGCCATCTCCAGGGAGGTCCACACACAACCTTTGGGTTAATTTCAGAGAAGGTCAGGCATCCAGTGGTGAGCAATGCGTTACTCATCACTCTGCCACAACGCCCAGTCCATTACCGCATCCTGACAGTTTCACCTCCGAAATAGTTCTCAGATCTGTTCACGTCTCTGCATTTCCACGAATCCAGCCTGGTCTCTCCACACGGCAATTGGCTCCTACCTGGTTCCTCCTCTACTCTGGCCCCCTCTCAGCCATCACACCACTCAGCAGTCAGCGTGGGGCTTTCAAACTCCAAGCCAGGCTGTGTGCTGCTCCGCTCGGAATCCACCATCCCTACAAACCCAGCACGTGGCCACGAAACCTCTGGTTTCTGTTTCCCCCAGATCTCTGCTCCCCCATCACGTTCACTTTCAATGGGTTTCTCCACTGTGCCCCACAGCCTCTGGCCATGTGACTTTTGCACATGCTGTTCCCTCTGACTGGATCACTCTTCTTACCCCAGCCTATGACCTGGGGCTCCTTAAACCTCCTGTCCTTTCCCCTATAAAGCTTCCCTCAACCCACAAAGCACAGCCAGTTCCTTTGTCTTGCAAGGAGGCAACACAGTGTAGTGGCCATAAGCATAAAAGCTGGTGTCGGTTCAAATCCCAGCCCAACCCCTTAATAGAATGGCTGTGTGACTGTGGGCAAGGTTGTTTTGTTTTGTTTTGTTTTGTTTGAGACAGAGTGTCGCTCTATTGCCCAATCCAAGCAAGTTTCTTAACCTCTCTGAGCTTCAGTTCCCACCTCTATAAATGGAGACAACCATAAAATCAACCCTGCAGGGCTGTTTTAGGGACTAGCTGAGTTAAGAGAGTAATAGACCCCTCTTGGGGCACAGCCTAGCACAGGAGTACTATACAAGCATTCACTGTTGCTGTGGATACATTTCTAACTTATCTCTGTTTGTAACCTTATCCTTGTTGGTGTGATCATTTGATTACTTTTGTCTTCTTCCATACACTCTAGGCCAGGGTTTTCCTAACTTCACGGGCATTTGGGATGGGCAACTCTGTTGCAAGAGCTGTCCTGTACATTGCAGGACAATCTCGTCATTGGATGCCAGTAGCACCTCCGTCGTTGTGACAACCATAAATGTCTCCAGACTTGACCTGGTGTCCTGGTACAGACCCCTGCTCTGGACTCTAGAACAGCAAGGAACATCGATCATCTTCTCCAACAACTCTTCCCAGCCCCTAGCACAGTGCCTGGTCTCAGGCAGCTGTTCGTTAAGTGTATTTTAAGTGAACAAAAGCATGAATAAATGAATGCACACCAAAAGGTTCTGTAATATAAGGACCTCAGGAGATATGAAATCAGAAGATCTAGGTTCAAGTTCTGCTTCCACTCCTCCTAGAGGGGTCACCAAAGGCAAATTATTGTCTCCTCAGAGCCTCAGTTTTCCCATCTGTGAAATGGGAGTGGCAATCATTATCATGATCCCCTTCCCATCACAGGGAGTGCGCTAAGGCTCAGATGAACAAACAATGAAGTCCTTTATAAACTGCTGAGTGCTGTGCAGATGAGCAGGTTATAGTGCCTTCCCCCTTTTAACCTGAAAGAATGGCTTTCCTCCTATCAGCCTGCTGCAGCCTGCCTTGTCTGGAAGCGTCTGGGTTGTGACGGGGCATGGGCGTGTAATATATGTGGTACATAAGGAAGATAATATATCCCTTCATCTCCCTTTTAATACGGCTGTAAATATGTCTTATGGGGGAGATAATAGAGATATGGCGCACATAATGGGGATGATGGATCAGACCGATAAGATCTCACACTTATCACGAGGGCAGCTTGTCTGTCATTTCCCACATTATGGAGGGTGTCTTTGGTAGATTGTGGTGTCAAGTGTATTCTGAATTATGGGAAGCCCAGTGCACTTAATTACCTTATGTTTCTAATAAGGCGAGGAGCAGCGTAGTAGCGGGGAGAGAGCTGGGCTCCAGGGTTTTGCTGACCTAAGTTCATTCCCTGGCTGTGTGAGCTCAGGCACAGCATCTGCCCTCTCTGGGCTGCAGTCACCTCATCTGTTCAGTGGCTGTCACGGCACAATGGGACCTTTGAAAAGAATGTCCCTTTAGATGAAGGGCAAGGACAGGGAAAACAAGACAATTCTGTCCCCAGTAAATTCCAAGTACCTGTCAAATGTGCAAAGCGAGGTTGATTTTCAGGAAATGACTCCACCCAGGGGACTCAACGATTTGACTCCTAAAATGAATCAAAGCATATTCTTCTGCTTTTTGCTAGCTCCTTTGGGGTATCGGGCACAGTGGGTAGGACGTGGAGTTCAACCCAACAAACTAGGGGTTTGGCTCAAGTACCCTGGCCTCTCCTTTCATCGCCTCAAAATGTAAATTGGGAGTGATAAGTGCTTCTACGCTGGATGGTCATTGTCATGACCACATGGGAGTAACTGAGGTGTATCAACTGCTCAGCTCAATGCCAGGTCCACAGAAAACACTCAACTGGTGAAAAATATGTGTAAGACGTGGGAAGTCTTTTCCATCTGGTGACAGACTGTACCCTTCCTGTCCTCATGACAGTCCTCAGCCTCTTCCTAACAGAGCATAATGAAAAGCTGCTGGATTTCCCAGCCCTGACACACAGACTTAAAGTTAAATTTGGGAGGTCTCCTCAAAGGCTCAAGCTACCCAAGGTTTGACAGGTCCATGTCTGGGAATATTGCAATAACTCAGGTTGGAGCCTAGAGTTGAGCGAGGACATTCTAACTACAGAGGCCAGGACCCAGGGCTGGCCAGTGAACCTCCAGATGCCTGAGTCCTCTCACTGAAAACCAGATCCCCAAGGAGGGTCCCACACTCACTCACTGCCCCTTGCCACCAAGCCTGAGGCCACACCTCTGAACTCCAGCCCACTGAGCCAGCCTATGCCAGTGCCCCTCCCTGGGATGGCAAACCTGCCCCTCTCTGACCTCCTTTCCCCATCTGTAAAAGGAGATGCTCAGCTGGAAGAATTTCTAAAATGGTATTTAGGCTCCAAAATGCCATCATTTAAGTCTTTTTCGGGTCTCTGGTATATGCCTGACCATTAACCAGGAGTACCAAAGTATCGCACTTTCATGGGATTGAAATTTGATTAGGAACAGTGAAGAAATGCTCAAAGGGTGGCATTCCTGTAGGCAGAGAGGCCCTGGAGCCAGGCAGGCCTCAGCTATGCAAGCTGCCCATGGAGGTGGCAGTTCCTATGTATGCTTCTGCACTGGCGCCAGAAATTCAGTGTAGACTACTGGGTAAAAGTCTGATTCCTGGATTCAGATTAGGGACTGGGCGTGGTGGCTCATGCCTGTATTTCCAGCACATTGGGAGGCAGGCAGGAGGATTGCTTGAGCCCAGGAGTTCAAGACCAACCTGGACAAAATAGCAAGACCCTGTCTCTACAAAAAAAAAAAAAAAACTTTTTAATTAGCCAGGCATCCTGGCACACACCTGTAGTCCCAGTTACTCAGGAGACTGAGGCAAGAGGATCACTTGAGCCAGAGAAGTCGAGACTGCCGTGAGCCATGATCATGCCACTATACTCCAGCCTGGGGGACAGAGCAAGATGCTGTCTCAGAAAAAAAAATAAAAATAAAAGTAAAATAAGTATTATTTATTATACTTAATAATTTTAATTAATAAAAAATATTATTTATATACTTCTTCTTATACTTCACCTGTTATTAATTATAAAACTATTATTTCTGTCATGTTAGCCATTGTTACATCCCCTGCCCTGCAATGGGTGCTCAGTTACTACTGCAATAAAAGATAATAATGCTGTCTACCTCCCAGGGCTCTCCTGAAGATCAAATTAGATGATGCAAGTAAAAAGTGTTTTCACTCAGTGTCTGGCACAATGCTTTGCATTAATGAAGATACACAACCTTCGTAGCAACAATTTTTTCAACAGAGCAAGGTATCCCTATATTGCAAACTCCAGCACGTCAAAATGAACTGGAAATCATGTTAAACTGGACATTGGTCTGAGAGGGAGGTGGGGGTGGCTATGAGAGGGTGACAACAGGAGATTTTTGTTGTTGGATCTTTTCAGTATCTTGGCTGTAGTAGTGGGCACACAAGCCTACATGTGATAAAACTGTACAGCACTTACTATACAGTACACACAAATGCAGGCACACACACAAATGAATACAAAACCAAGAAAATCTCAGTAAGATCAGTAAATCGAATGAGTGTCAATGTCCTTGCTGTGATATTATTCTGTAGTTTTGGAAAATATTACCATTGGGGAAAAGTGGGAAGGCTCTGTGTTATTAATTACAACTGTACATGAATTTAGAGTTATCTCAAAACAGCTAGGCATGATGGCTCATGCCTGTAATCCCAGCTATTTGGGAGGCTGAGGCAGGAGGAACACTTGAAGCCAAGAGTTTGAGACCAGTCTGGGAAACGAAACATAGCAAGACTTTGTCTCTACAAAAGAAAAAATATTAGCTGGGCATGATGGCCCACCCCTGCAGTCCCAGCTACTCGGGAGACTGAGGCAGGATTGCTTGGGGCCAGGAGGTGGAGGCTGCAGTGAGCTGTGATTGTGCCACTGCACTCCAACAAAGGCAACAGAGCAAGACTCTGTTTCAAAAAATATGTATCTCAAAACCAACACAGATTGCTAAGCACCACCCCGAGAGTTTCAGTAGATCTAATGCAGTAGAATTTTCATTTCTAACACATTCCTGAGTAATGCTGATGCTGCTGGTCAGAGACTAGACTTTGAGATCCACTGCCTTAGGGGAAAGGCTAAACTGCTATATCAAGAAGGCCCCGAAGAAGGCTCAAGAAGACAGAAATGTTGCATTCTTGTGATAGCCCCAGTGTGAACAATCCAGATTAGTGGGCAGAACCGGCTCCATAAATTCCTGCAAGGATCTGGGTTCTTTCTATGTATCGCCTCATCATTCCCTTACGTGCATGGTTAGCTGTGTCTGGGAAAAAGGAAGGAGAGGAATTCCAATACAAGAAGCTTCTCTGGAAGCAGGTTAGGAGAAGGTTGCACTCAGCAAAGAAAGCATCTGGGATGGGCTCCATCCAGGAGCATCTCAGAGGAGAAGTGAGAGGCCACAGAGAAGGGATTGGAAGAACTCAGGGACATTTCGACACCTGTGCCACATCTCCTTTGATTCCTCTGTTACAGTCTTTTATTTTCCTTTGGATATGAGAGAAATAATAACTAAAATAAAAATGGCCCAAGGAGTGATTTCTGGAGCAAGTCTTCATGCGCTCTGCCCTGCCTGGGCTCTTCCTAGCAGGTCCCATTGAGTTCCTCCCCTCTCCAGCTCCCTTTCCCTAATTTTCCTCTGCCAGCACCTGGGCTGTCTACTTTCCAGATCCAGGGTCTGGGGAAAGCAAGATCACTCAGCAGGGTGACCCTGAGGCTGCAGGTTCTGGACTGGAGAGTAAGTCCACTTCAGCACAGTAGCTGTAAGGACAGTCAGACCCTTTTCTAGAGTCCACTGGACCCCTCTATTTGCTTTGCAGCGGCTTCCATTGTGCCACTTGTATTCCACAAGTTGCTGAAATATTTTATACACTAAATGAGTTAAGGTCATTAAACTTTCTTGGGAGATAGTTTCATGTGTTTTCTCAGAATCCATAAGCAAGCAAACCACCTAGGCTGTGCACAATTACAGGGAGCCCAGAGAAGCTCCTGGGCAGTGGGCCTGTTTTATTTCCCTTTGGAAATGTTTAACTCAGGTTGCCAAATTCCCTTCCATATGAGTTAGTGACAAATGTCTTAATTAAAGTAAGGATGGTGAGCAGAGCAGCTTCATCTCCCTCTAAAATGAAGGATGGAGCAACAAGATGATACAACCAGCCAGGTGCATTGGATCACACCTATAATCCCAGCACTTTGGGAGGCCAAAGTAGGAGATCTCTTGAGACCAGGAGTTCGAGACCAGCCTGGGCAACATGGTGAAACCCTGTCTCTTCAAAAAATACAAAAAAAAAATAGCTGGGTGTGGTGGTTTGTGCCTGTAGTCCAGCTTCTTGTGAGGCTGAGGTGGGAGGATTGCTCAAGCCCAGCAAGTCGAGGTTGCAATGAGCCATGATCACACCAGTGCAACCTGGGGAACAAAGTGAAACCCTGTCCAAAAAAAAACCAGAAGAAGATACACAACCAATGGTAAATGGGAAAACTGGGTTTTAGTGATGACGATGATGATGATGACGACAATAAAATGAATGGATATAGCACTTGTTGGTTACATAATAGGCACCAGGATCTTACATTGTGTGTATCCCATGATACATAATTGTATGCTACAAATGGAGACTCAGAGAAGGTCACACAGCTAGTAGGTGGTGCTGCCTGGACATTAATTCGGGTTTTGTACTCTTCAACTGTCTTGCAAAGCAACTGTCCAGTGCTAAATTCCAGCTCTCATGTGTATTTTTTTTTGACCCACAGAGTGCATTGACTTTTTGAATGGTTGCCAACACTTAAATATTGGGGTTCTTCATCGCTAATTATTAGCGGAATGTAAATTAAAACCACAATGAGATACCACCTTACTCCTGCAAGAATGGCCATAATTAAAACATCAAAAAAACAATAGATGTTGGCATGGATGTGGTGAAAAGAGAACACCTTTACACTGTTGGTAGGCGTGTAAACCAGTTCAACCACTACAGAAAACAGTATGGAGATGCCTTAAAGAACTAAAAAGAGAACCACTATTCGATCCTGCAACCTCATTCCTGGGTATCTACCAAAAGGAAATGAATTCATTATGTGAAAAAGACACTTTCACACGCATGTTTATAGCAACACAATTCGCAAAGATATGGAACCAACTTAAGTGCTCATCAACCAACAAGTGGATAAAGAGAATGTGGTATAAATACACCATGGAATACTACTCGGCCATAAAAAGGAAGAAAATAATGTCTTTTGCAGCAACTTGGATAGAGCTGGAGGCCATTCTTCTAAGTGAAGTAACTCAGAAATGGAAAACCAAATATTGTATGTTCCCACATATAAGTGGGAGTTAAGCAACAAAGATACAAAGGCATAGAATGATCTAATGGACTTTGGGGATTTCGGAGAGAGAATTCTGAGAGGGAGATGAGGCATAAAAGACTACATGTTAGATACAGTGTACACTGTTCGGGTGATGGGTGCACTAAAATCTCAGAAATTTTCACTTAAAGAACTTATTCATGTAATCAAAAACCACCCACATCCAAAAAACTATTAAAATAAAAATTTAAAAATATGTGCTTTTTTCATATTACTGAAAAAGCATGCCAGTTTCTGGCTTTCCTTGGAAATTCACAACATCTGGCCCTGCCAAGGCCACAATCCCCACATGATAACTATGGTCCAGGGCCGTCCACCTTAGACCTGACTTGTATTCACCATTTCGCCAAAGTTCCTACCTGGGCCATTTCTCTGGTTGGGTCATAGGCTAGCCCACAGGCATTTGCGTTTAACTCTACCACTTCTACAAGGGGCTATACCAGCTGGTGGCCGACCATCTGGCTGTTCAACACTGCAGAGTAACCTTCTTTCAACCCAAGGGTCAGAGACTGGCTTAGGGACCTCGTTGGCCTTCCAGATCCTGGGGAGGGCCTGCCGGGGGTAGGGTGCGGGTTGGGTCTGATGGGAGTCCAGACAACAGGTCCAGAAATCACCACGGCATTTCCTTTAAAAAGCGTGACATGAACTTAAATCAAACGATGAAATTGGTTTGGGAGGGGGCAGGTTCTGCTGGGATAAAACAATCTGCCTGGCATGAACATGATCAATGCCTGCTCAGTGAATTCCCCCAGAAACTGTGAAACTGCATAAAAGATTTGATCAAAGTCTCCATCAGCCACCAAGCTGTAATGACTTCTGTGATTTTTCTTAACCGGATTTTAATTTTTATGTTTATTATTTGGGGACTGATGGAGCAGAGGAAATGCTTTAGCCTCTGAATTCTATTTTCATTCTCCTCCCGTGAAGCACTTTCAGAACTCGGGAAAACTCAATTGCAAAAGAAAAGCATTTGGTTCTCAGTGTTTCATGTTTTGTTCCCGTTCCCCGGGCTTGGAGACAGCTCAGGAACTTAATTAAAATCAATGGAGAAAAAGAATTGAATAAATCACAACATGAATATCTCTGAAAGTCTGCATTATAGTGCAGCAGCATAGAGGTAAGAAAAAAAAAAGATGTTCCATTCCCTCTCTCCCTCTCTCCCTCTGGAAAAGAGAAAAATTAAAATTATCCCTGAGTGTACTTGATAGCTCTCTCCCTTTCTCTCTCTCCTCCTTTCTCTATAACTCCCTCTTTCTCTCTCTCTGTCTCTCTCTTTCTGTCTCTCCTCCACTAAGAGCAGAAATATAAGAAAGAAACTGTCAAGAAGTCGAAGGGTATGTACGGATCTGCCTCTCATTCCCAAGAGAAGTCACTAAAACATATAAACGGGCCGGGCGTGGTGGCTCATGCCTGTAATCCCAGCACTTTGGGAGATCAAGGAGGGCCGACCACTTGAGGCCAGGAGTTCCAGACCAGCATAGCCAACATACTAAAACCCCGTCTCTACTAAAAATACAAAAATTACCCAGGCGTGGCAGCGTGTGCCTATAATCTCAGCTACTCTGGAAGCTGAGGCAGGAGAATCGCTTGAACCTAGGAGGTGGAGGTTGCAGTGAGCCGAGATCACGCCACTGCACTCCAGCCTGGGCAACAGAGCGAGACTCTGTCTCAAAAAATAAAAATAAATAAGTAAATAAATAAATAAATAAATAAAACATATAAACGACCTCCATCCTTAATTGCACAGAAACACTGTGTAATATATTTGGCTTCAAAATACATTTGGCTTCCTCAAGCAACCCTACAAAGGAGTCGCGTTTAGCTCCATTTTGCAAATAGGGATAATCTCCCCCCAGTTTACCTGTGGCTGCAGATGTTCATCCTTCACCTTGAACTTGGCGAGCTTCCCTTCCCAAAATAATCCAGTGATTCTCCGTAGGGCTTGTGGAAAAATCATTTTCAGGGAATCTGAATCACACACAGGAAGGGATGGGAAAGGACTCCATGAGGCCACCAGCCTGACCCCGTGCCTCTCAGCACAATTATACTCAAACCACTCTGTCCCCAAGAGAAGCAAGCTCATTCTTTCACAGCTCCAGAGGAGAAAATTCTCCTCCAGCCTTGAAAGTGCACTTAAGCTTCTAAGATTTCTCATTCTCCACGGAGCAGGGCTTGCTCAAATTTAATCCGAACCCTCCAGTCTGTGGGCTGCATCACGCTCTTAGGGTTAATCTGAGAATGAGTCATGGGCCTTTTTCCTCCCCTCATCCTTCCCTTCCTCTGTATTCCCCAAAGCTCTGCCCCCTTGCCTCCCAACACAGGTAAAGCACTCAACCCAGTGGCTGGTGCAAAGCGTGTGTTTCATGAATATCAAGTCCACCCTTTTGTGTTTTCCTTCCACTGTGCCTAAGCTCCACGTTTCAGATGTGGCTGGCAACCACTGCCTGCTTAGAAAAGCTCACAGTCTAGAAAGAAAGACCGTGTTTAAACAGGTAACTGCAATGCAGAGAGATTAGTGCAATAATAGATCCAAAACCACAGTAAGGTCTCAAGGAAGGACTTGCTCTGCCTTTTGCAGCCCGGGCTCCATCATGTCACCACTTGCTTAAAACCTTCCCATTGCCCTTAGAACAAAGGCTGGATCTCTGAGCCCTGTCTGATCAGAACCTGCATGGTGGTGGTGGCCTCATCTCTCACATCCCCATTCACTCTCTGAGCCCCAGCCACACTGCCTTAAGTATCCTCATGCAAACTATTCCTTCTTCCTGGAGTATTTCTGCCTCCATATTTCATCGGGCCAAATTCTCCTTCTCTGCTTAAATACCAGTTTCTCAGGAAGCCCTTCACTATCCACCCCTCCCAAATGCAGGTACGAGTCCCTCGCTGTACACTCAATCCGTGTAACACAAAACATATTTTCTCACTCACCACGTATGTCATTAATCACTCATTGTCTATCTTTCCTGACAGACAGAAAGCATACCTGGGCAGGGAAGGCTTCATAGAAGAGATGGTATTTTGTTTAGATCTTAAAATAAAATAGACTGATGGGAGAAGGGAGAAGTCAGGTAAAACGTGAACATAAAGGATGCTTCTGGGTTTGGATCATAGCATGTGCATTAGTGAACTATTGCCCCAATAACGCCTCATAACAAATCTCAAACTCAGTGGCCTACAGAAAGAAGCACTGTTTCCGTGCTCACAGGTCTGCAGATTGACTGCATTTCAGCTGATCTAAGCTGCGCATTGCTGACAGCTCTGCCTTGAGATGCAGGTTGACTGTGTTAGCTCCAGGCTCCAGGCTGGCTCATGTCAGCTCCATATGTGTTTGTTCTGGACCCAGACTGAAGGGACCATGACCCCTGAATATCCATTGCTCATGGTGGATCACCTAAGGTCCAGAGGATGATCAAGAACACGCAAAGCCCTTCAACCCTTGACTCAGCATGGGGACTCTATGAGTCTCCCGCCCCCATTCCATTGGCCAAAGCAAGCCACTAGTCCAAGCCCCAAATTGATGGGATTGGAAAATGCTCTCCACCTACACTGGGAGGAACCACAGACTCATATGGCAAAAAGCATGGATATATAGCTTAATACTGGAGAGTGTGAACAATTGCAAGAAGGATTCCATTTCTCACAGCAAGAGTGGGATGAGGAAGATGGAAGACTCCGAGATGGTACCCAGGTTTCTATTTTTGCAAGCGACTGAAATGTATTCCATTCTCTAAGGTGGGAAGCAGGTGGGAGAGCACCTGAGGGCAGGGGAATATGAAGTTTTGTTTTGAGCACGCTGAGTGTGTAGTGCCCAAGGCACACCCATGTAGAAAGGCCTGGCTTCCACTGGCCCCATAGGTTTCAAAGGGAAGGTCTGAGATAAAATTTGGCAATATCAATCGCCAAATTTGGTTGCCAAAGATGACAACCAAAGCTTTGGAGGATGGAACTGTGCAGAGAGTGTGTGTGGGGCCCCTGACATCCCTGACTGGGAGCCCCGTCCCTGCCTTGTTTGCAGGTAGTAATGGCCACGTGACCAAGTTCCAGCTAATAACATGAAAGGAAGGATTTTCCTAGGAAAGACTGAAAGGCTCTTTCAGTAAACAGGCAGATACATGGAAAGAGATGCTAATGTTGCTCCTTATCACTGGCCCTGCCTTAAACACGATAGGATGCCTCCTGCTCCAGCATTTTCTCTCTGAGATTGATAAGCATAAGGAAGAAAGACTAAAAAGGCTAGATGCAGCGGCTGACGCCTGTAATCCTAACACTGTGGGAGGCCAAGGCAGGCGGATCATGAGGTCAGGAGATCGAGACCATCCTGGCTAACACGGTGAAACTCCGTCTCTACGAAAAAATACAAAAAAAATTAGCCGGGCGTGGTGTGCAGGTGGGCACCTGTAGTCCCAGCTACTCGGGAGGCTGAGGCAGGAGAATGGCGTGAACCTGGGAGGCAGATCTTGCAGTGAGCCAAGATCGCACCACTACACTCCAGCCTGGGTGACAGAGCAAGACTCCATCTCAAAAAAATAAAATAAAATAAAATAAAATAATTAGCTGGGTGTGGTGGCTCACACCTGTGCTCCTAGTTACTTGGGAGGCTGGGGCAGGAGTTGGAGTCTGCAGTAAGTTACGGCTGTACAACTGCACTCCAGCCTGGGCAACAGAGCGAGACCCTGTTTCAGAAAAAAAAAAAAAAAAAGACTAATGAGCTAAAGAATGAGAAAAATGTGTAGAAAGAGCCTAGGTTTTTCATGACATCACTAGACAACCCTAAGCCCTCCAGAGGTCATTTCAAGAAAATGAGTATCTTTACAGTTTAAGCCACTATTACTCAAGCAATTTGCCATTCACAGGTAACTATGTTCCTAATTGATACAACAGCTATAGACTAAATGTGGGGAAATAACAACACATAATTAAAGGGTGGGCAAAAGAGAGAAAGTCAGTTAAACAGGCAGGAAAGGAAACAGAGACTGCTATCTTGGAATGTGGAAAGAATATCAAAACATAACCAGGGCCCAATTCTGCAGATAATTTAATTTAGATAATGTGGCCGGCCGGGTGGAGTGGCTCATGCCTGTAATCCCAGCACTTTGAAAGGTCAAGGTGGGTGGATCACCTGAGGTCAGGAGTTCAAGACCAGCCTGGCCATCATGGTGAAACCCCGTCTCTACTAAAAATACAAAAATTAGCCAGGCATGGTGGTGTGTACCTGTAATCC
The DNA here is from genome assembly GCF_000001405.40 of Homo sapiens. NCBI lineage: Eukaryota > Metazoa > Chordata > Mammalia > Primates > Hominidae > Homo > Homo sapiens. The sequence continues at coordinate 26,829,442 of NC_000016.10, forward strand.
CAGCTACTTGGGAGACTGAGGCAGGAGAATCACTTGAACCCAGGAGGCAGAGGCTGCAGTGAGCTGAGATCACACCACTGCACTCTAGCCTGGGCCACAGAGTGAGACTGTGTTTCAAATAAATAAATAAATGAGATAATACCTCAAAATCATCCACTGAATTTCACAAGCAGGAAGCCACTGATGTCCTTGAAGAACCTTTTTTTGCAGGGAGGAGAGAAATGGAGTGAAATATCACAAAGAATAAAGAGTGGGCATTTGGAAAGCATTAGAAGACATTCATCCCCTCTGTCTTTGGACCTTATCCATGACTCAAGGGCAGAGGCTTATGGCCCAGAGCTGCCCATTTAGCCGAATCAAATCCCCCTAACCACAGACATTAGCTCAGAGGTTGACAGAGGCCCTAATTTGATCTAATCAAAGTATAATCTGAGCTTTTTGTTAGGTGACAAGAAGAGATACTTCCTTTTTTAAAAAAATTGTTACATATTTAATTTAGAAATATTGTTTAAATATCAAGGGAAGAAAAGATATTGCTTCCCATACAATGCAGTGAAAGATAAAGAGCAAAAGCTATTCCATAATGTTGAAATATTGTCATTCTGTGATTAACACCCAGTGCATCACCCTAGTATTGCAGTGATTCTTTTTTTTTTTTTTTTTTGAGACAGAGTCTCGCTCTGTCACCCAGGAGCAAGACTCCGTCTCAAGATTTTAACTTAGAAGGATGTAAGGATCAAGCAGTGTTGCCATCCTGCTGGTAGAGACCGAAAATAAATCCAATCCCAAAAAGGTGAGAGGGAGGAGAGGGAGAAACTAGGTCCTGTGACATTGTGTGAGCACCTGAATCCAGCCATACCTGAAGCTAGCTCATATCCTGAACTTAAGAAATTCCCTTGTCATTCTCTTACCATTATAGGCCAGGGTGTCTGCCACTTGTGTGGAAAGATTCCTGAGAAAAAAGAGTGAAATGGAGTAGAGAAAATAGGGGCCAGTGAACGTCCTTTTTACTTTCAAATGCTGGCACTAGCAGGCAATGATTCAATCCCCTCTGCAGCCCTCTCACAGACTCACCCAGTTTTGTCACCATTATTCAGCCAGCAGCTTCCACCTCTGCCTGATGTGATGGGAAAGGAGCGGAGAGGCTGTCTGATGGCTTCAGTCTTTTTTTGTCTGGGCACACTGTGATCTCACACTCCATTCCCCTAGCTGGAGAGATGAGCCATCCTTCTGACTTATCACTCTCTGTTTCTGTTTGCATTTGTTTTCATCACCCTCCAGCAAGATGCTATGAGAGATTGTTCCAAAAAAGTGCATCCTAGGGAAGGCACTGATTTCAGAGTAACCAGTATTCTCTGCTAGGATGCAGCCCTGTCGGGATTATCCACATGGGGCCAGAGCTCTTTGCCAAGAGCTCCTAATAATTCTCTAAGCATGGCCTGCATTGAACCCTGCGTCACAGCAGGGCAGAAGCTGCTGCTGGGGGCTAAGTGGCTGCAGCTGTGCAGGTTAAAGGTTTGCAAGGCAGGGAGCCAATAGATGATTACAGTCTTAGGAGCACTCAATGTACCATTGGTGCTCCACCCATCACCCCAGGACCCTACCATGAGAGAGGCAGCAAGAAGTGCAGGAGGCAGGAACCTAGAAACGCCCTGATGTGAGAGCTTTCTGATATGCAGTCACTTAGTGCAATTGAGATGAGCCCGGGCAAGCAGAGTCTGATCTGTTTTTAGCTTAGCAAGGGAAATCAAAGATACCAGATATGGACCAGAGAGAGAGAAAGGGAGTGAGTATCCTACATCTGTTATGATGTGATTTGGGGCTAGGAGTCAACTCTGAGACTACATACAAAACAGTAAGCCCAGGAAGGGTCAGGGAGGGGAGAGAGAGGGAAGAATACGAAAATCTAAAGTAAGATTCACAGACTCAAATGACCTCAGGCCTAAAACAGGAAAAATAACTGGATGAGCCATGCTGGGAAAAGATCATGGAGAACTGGAGAGCTTAAATCTGCTAACATAAGCAGCTGCTATTCAACTCAAACTAGGTGGAAAGAAACAGTAGTGCTGTGCAGTTGTTCTAGAGAAGTCAAAAGTCTGTAGGATCTTTTTAAAGTGGAATAAGTTACTTTTTAAATAGTGATCACGAATTCAGGTCTTTTTTTTTGTTTTTTAAAAGACAATAAGGACTTCTGGTTTTCAGTTCAGCAAACATGAGGCTTAGAACTCACCACTCCATCCTAACAGCATGTTAGAAGCTGAACAAACAGAAATCAACAGCACTTCATAGATTCATCAGAGAAGTAAGGACACAGGGCAAACTGCTGCCCCAAAACTGGAAAGACATACAGATAGATACAGAAAATCACAGCTTATTAGAGTAGGAACCCATGAGCAAAAACCTTTATAGGAACCAGTGCCAGGGTGGGAAAATCAGAACTGTAGTGAATGAGTTTCTGCAGGCTTAGTGCAGACAAGTCTAAGTCTTAGTTTAGACAAGTCTGAACATTCTGGAGGCATTTGGTCATTGGAGACCCCACACTTGGGTGAGCTTTACCTCTAGGACCCTGACCCGATTCTCACAGTGAATATTAGAGAAAAATCCCCTCTTGCTTCCAATAGAGGGAGGGAGAAATGAACCATCCTGAAATACACCAGAGCATTCTGTTTTTGACAAAGCCTGCATGCAGAAGAAACTTTTTTTTCCCAGAGTGTAACCCTCTGGGGTTTTATCAGAGCCTAAACTGATCTGTGAAAAGGGAAATACCCAACCCTAGCCCCATATAGCCATTCTGGCCCATCAAACGGGTGTGGGGGAGGCTGAGAAGCACTGGTAAGGTTTACAGTCCAGAGGCATTAGGGTCACTAAAAGACTGAAACACAATCATAGGACAACAGAATGCTTTCTCTTCCCCCTACCCTATCACCCCACTTACTAAAGACCTATTACTGCTATGCCTTTTTACTCAATACATCATGTCCACATTTCAACAAGAAAATACAAGGCATACTAAAAGGTAAAAACACAGCTTGAGGAGTCTGAACAAGCATCAGAACCAAAGTCTGATGTAACAGGAATGTTGGAATTATCAGACCAGGATTTTTTAAAACTATTATTAATATGCTAAGGGCTTTGGTGGGAAAAATAGACAACATGCAAGAATAGATGGATAATGTAAACAGAGAGATGGAAATTCTAAGAAAGAGTAAAAAAATACTGGAGACCGTAAACAATGTAACAGAAATGAAGAATGCCTTTGATGGACTCATTAGTAGAATGAATGTGCCTGAGGAAAGAATCTCTGAGCTTGAGGATATGATAATAGAAACTTCCAAAACTGAAATGCAAAGAGAAAAGGGACTAGGAAAAAAAAAACCCAAAACAGAATATCCAAAAACCGTGGGACAACTACAAAAGATATAAATACACGTATTGGGAATACCACAAGAAGAGGGAAAAAAGAAGCAGAAGCAATATTTGAAGGAATAATGACTGAGAATTTCCCCCCAAATGAATGTTAGACACTAAATCATAAATCCAGGAAGGTCAGAGAACACCAGCCTGGATAAATCCCTAAGAAAACTCCATCTGGGTATATCATTTTCAAACTTCAGAAAATTTAAGATAAAGGAAAATCTTGAAACAAGTCAGAGAGAAAAATACAGAGAAGCAAAGATAAGAATTACTACAGAGAAGCAAAGATAAGAATTGCTACAAAGAATTACTGCAGAGAAGCAAAGATAAGAATTAACTACAGAGAAGCAAAGATAAGAATTATTGCCAACCTCTCCTCAGAAACCATGCAAGTAAAAAGAGAGTGGAGCGAAACATTTAAAGTGTTGAGAGGAAAAACACCCCACCAACCTGGAAATCTGTACCCTGCAAAATTATCCTCCAAATGTGAAGGAGAAATAAAGACTTTCTCCGACAAAAAAGTGGGAGAATTTGTTACCAATAGACCTGACTTCCAAGAAATGTTAAAAAAAAAGTTCTTCAGAGAGAAGTAAAATAACACAGGCAAGAAACTCATATTTATATAAAGAAAGGGAGAGCATCAGAGAATCAATAAGTAAAGGTAAAATTAAAACCTCTTTTTAAAATTTTAATTAATTTAACAGCAGTTTGTTCAAAATAATCATAGCAATGTATTTGATGATGTATGCTTGTGTGTGTATACAATTATGCTTAAGTATAAGTGAAATTAATAACAGCAATGATATGAGAAACAGGAAGGATTAGAATGATTTTGTTATTATAAAGTATGTGTCCTATCTGTGAGCCATAAAGTGTTATTTGGAAGTAGACTTGGATTAGGTGTAATGAAACCAGCTCAATACTCCCATAGACTCTTCTTTTAGGTAAACACAGACATTGACCCCTCTGCTGTTAAAACTTGAAACTTCTATTTGTTTTATCTGAGTTCCTTCCTAGGAAAGGACCTTCAGGCCTCTCAAAACAAGTATCAAAGAACTGAAACTCACTAAAGCCCAGTACCAGATGCCTCCTTACCCCTCCCTAGTTCTTGTTTTCTTACACATTGTTACATTTCTTCCCTGCTATATAAACCCCTAGTTTTAGTCAGTCAGGGAGATGGATTTGAGACTGAGCTTTCATCTCCTTGGCTCCAGCACCCAGTTAAAGCCTTCTTCCCTGGCAATACTTGTCATCTCAGTCACTGGCCTTCTGTGTAGTGAGCAGCAGGACCTAGACCAAACCCCTGGTGTTTCAGTAACAGAACTGTATATTTGCAAACTCTAGAGCAACCCCTAAAAAAGGTGAAGAAGAAGGAAGAGGAGGGAGGAAGAGGAGGAAGAGGAGCAATGGGAGGAGGAGGAGGGAAGAAGGAGAAGGAGAGGGAGAAGGAGGAGGAGAAGAAGAAGGAGGGGGAGGGAGAGGAGAAGGAGGGGGAGGGAGAGGAGAAGGAGGAGATAGCAGCAGCAGCATAACTGATATGCTAAGAAAGGAAAGAATATATAATCATATCAAATGCCCAGTTAAAACAACAAAAGGTAGAAAAAGTGTGGAAAACAAAAATAGGAACAAAGAGAAAGGACAACAAACAGAAAACAGTAACAAATATGGTAGCCATTACTCTAACTATATCAGTAATTAAACATCAATGGTCTAAACATGCCAATTAGAATACAGAAATTGTCAGAATAGATAAAAAAAAGACCCTATATATGTTGTCTACAAGAAACCCACTTTAAATATAAAGATGAGTATATATTAAAAGTAAAGGGGTGGAGAAAGATATACTATGCTAACACTAATCAAAAGAAAGTGGGAGTAGCCATACGAATTTAAGACAGAAGATTTCAGAGCAAGGAAAATACCAGAGATGAAGAGATGCATTATATAAAGGGGTCAATATGTTCCAGGAAGAAATAACAACCCTTAATATGTATGCATCCAACAACAGAGCATCAAAATATGTGATGCAAAAACTGATAGAACTTCAGAGAAAATAGATAAATCCACTATTATAGTTGGAGATCTTAACACCCTTCTATCAAAAATGGACAGCTCCAGCAGGCAGAGAAATCAGTAAAAACACAGTTGAACTCAATAGGACCATCAATCAACTGGATATAATAGATGCCTATAAACTACTTAATCCAACAACAGCAGAATACACATTATTCTCAAGCTCACATGAAACACCAAGAGACATGACATTCTGGGCTGTTAAACATACGTTAACAATTATAAAATTTAAAAAGATCATATGATGTCTGCTCTCAGACCACAGTGGAACTCAACTGGAAATTAATAACAGAAAGACAGCTGGAAAATCCCAAAACACTTGGACATTAAGCAACACACTTCTAAATAACACATAGGTAAAATAAAACATCCAAAGGTGTGTCTGGAATTGGTGGGTTCTTGGTCTCACTGACTTCAAGGATGAAGCCACGGACCCTCGTGGTGAGTGTTACAGTTCTTAAAGGTGGCGTGTCCAGAGTTTGTTCCTTCTGATGTTCGGATGTGTTCGGAGTTTCTTCCTTCTGGTGGGTTCGTGGTCTCCCTGGCTCAGGAGTGAAGCTGCAGACCTTCGTGGTGAGTGTTACAGCTCTTAAGGCCGTGCGTCTGGAGTTGTTCATTCCTCCTGGTGGGTTCGTGGTCTCGCTGGCTTCAGGAGTGAAGCTGCAGACCTTCACGGTGTGTGTTACAGCTCATAAAGGCAGCGTGGACCCAAAGAGTGAGCAGCAGCAAGATTTATTGCAAAGAGGGAAAGAACAAAGCTTCCACAGTGCAGAAGGGGACCCCAGCGGGTTGCCACTGCTGGCGCGGATAGCCTGCTTTTATTCTCTTATCTGGCCCCACCCACATCCTGCTGATTGGTTCATTTTACAGAGAGCCGAGTGGTCTGTTTTGACAGGGCGCTGATTGGTGCGTTTACAATCCCTGAGCTAGACACAAAGGTTCTCCAGTCCCCACTAGATTAGCTAGATACAGAGTGTCCACACAAAGGTTCTCCAAGTCCCCACCAGAGTAGCTAGATACAGAGTGTCGATTGGTGTATTTACAATCCCTTTGCTAGACATAAAGGTTCTCCAAGTCCCCACCAGACTCAGGAGCCCAGCTGGCTTCACCCAGTGGATCCTGCACCAGGGCCGCAGGTGGAGCTGCCTGCCAGTCCCGCACCGTGTGCCGCACTCCTCAGCCCTTGGGTGGTCGATGGGACTGGGCGCCATGGAGCAGGGGGCGGCGCTCGTCGGGGAGGCTTGGGCTGCACAGGAGTCCACGGAGGAGGCGGGGAGGCTCAGGCATGGCGGGCTGCAGGTCCCGAGCCCTGCCCGCAGGAAGGCAGCTAAGGCCTGGCGAGAAGTTGAACACAGCAGCTGCTGGCCCAGGTGCTAAGCCCCTCACTGCCCGGGGTCCGCGGGGCTGGCCGGCCACTCCGAGTGCGGGGCCGCCGAGCCCACGCCCACCCGGAACTCGCGCTGGCCTGCAAGCACCACGTGCAGCGCTGGTTGCAGCCCGCACCTCTCCCTCTACACCTCCCCGCAAGCTGAGGGAGCCGGCTCCCGCCTCGGCCAGCCCAGGGAGGGGCTCCCACAGTGCAGCAGCAAACTGAAGGTCTCCTCAAGTGCTGCCAAAGTGGGAGCCCAGGCAGAGGAGGGGCCGAGAGAGAGCGAGGGCTGTGAGGGCTGCCAGCAGGCTGTCACCTCTCAAAGGTAAGTTTAAGAATATTTTAAACTAAATGAAAATGAAAATACAACTTATCAAAATTCATAGGACATAATAAACGCAACACTTAGACGGGAATTTATAGCATTGAATGCATATATTAGAAAAGAAGAAATATATAGGATCAATAAGCTAACATTCCAACTTAAGAAATTAGAAAAATGAATATCAAATGTAATCCAAAATAAGCAGAAGAGATATAATTTTTAAAAAATTAGGGAAGAAATCAATGAAATTAAAAACAGGAAATCAATAGAAAAATCAACCATTAAAAAGCTGGTTATTTGAAAAGATGAATAAAATCTATAAGCCTCTAGCCAGGCTAACTAAAGAGAGAAGACACAAATTACTAACATCAGAAATAAAAAGGGACTATCAGTACAGATCCCATAGACATTAAAATAACAATAGAATATTATTAACAACTTCATGCCCACAAGTTTGATAACTTGAGTAAAATGGACCAATTCCTTGAAAAACACAATCTTCCAAAACTTACACAAGAAGAAACAGACTATCTAAATAGGCTTATATCTATTAAAGAAACTGAATTAATAATTACTAACCATCCAAAACAGAAAGAACTGAGACGAGATGGATGCACTGGTGAATTCTGCCAAACATTTAAGAAAGAAAATAAGCTCATTCACTCCAATCTCTTCCAGAAGACATCCAGAAGATAGAAGCAGAAAGATGTCAATTATGGATGAGGTTGTGTGTGTGTGGAGACATGGATTTATGAGAATCCTCTGTATTTTCCACTCAATTTTTCTCTGAGCCTAAAACTTCTCTTTAAACAGTTTATTAATTTTTAAAAAGCAAAAAAAAAATATGCCACTCAATTGTTTTGGTCTACTGACTGTTATCTGGGGAAGCCCAAAATTTCATTAAGAGATGATTAATGGGGAAACTGGGCCTCCTATCCACCCATCCATCCATAAATTCATTTATTTATTCATTAACTCTGTCAACAGCAATACCAACTACTATCATCTCAACATAGAACACAGTGTAATTAAACAACACATATTTATTAAGTGCCTATGATATTCCAAACACTGTTTCTTAGGGCGTGATGTACAGCAGTTAAGGAAAATCAAAAATCTCTGCCTTATGAAATTCACAATCTGGTGAAGAGACATTGAGTAAACAAACAAATAATTTTAGAACCTATTGGAAGGTGAGGTGGAGTGAGGAGTAGGGTGGAGTAGGAGACACAGTTTTAAACAGAGTTGGAAGGGATTGTTTCAGAAGGTGACATTTAGGGAGACTTAAAGGAGGTGAGGGGAATGTATGAGAATGGCCAGGGAGAGTACTGCAAGCAAAAGGGACAAGAAGAATAAAATCCCTGAGGCAGGGATTTTAATAAATACTGAGCATGTGTAAGTAACAGCCAGGAGGCCGGGAGGACTGGAGTGGAGTAAGTGAGAAGAGTAATGGGATGTGAAGGCAGAGGGGCACATGGAGTCGATTACACACTCCACAGTAAGGACCCTGCCTTTACTAGGAGGGAGCTAAGAGGCCACTGGTTTCAAGCAGATGAGTGAAATGATACGTTTGGTTTATTTATTTATTTATTTAGTGCAATAGGTAGTGATCTCAGTCCACAAACACAGAAAGAAAATGAACATCACTTCATTTTCCATAAGACATCTCTCACTCATCTCTCACAGGAGAGAAATCTCATCTCAGTCCTTACCATGCCTCCTACCTTCATCTGAGGTCACTCTTGAATGAGGACAGTGTGTATAAAGGCCGTGACATGAAGGCCTACCTCTAACTGAATTGTGTCATGGTCAATACAACAATCACCAATGTCCTTTTCATCTGATCTGTAAGAGGTCCTGTGTCGTGAATGGGGTACGGCTTGAGACCCCTGTCCTAGGATCCTATCTTTTTCTGCAAATCATATGTGTTCAGGTAACTCTAGGTGCTGTAACAAATCAATCCAAAATAGTAGTGGCTTAAAGAAATAGAAGATATTTTTTGCTCATGTGATAGTTCAGGACAGGTGATAATGGTTGGTGGGAAACTTATCTCCACGCATGGTGACAGAGGGACTCAAACTTCTTCCATCTTTCACATTCACAACGCTTTCTGTATCCAGAGAGAAGTGAGAAGGGAAGAGAAAAAAAGACACCCATCCACTCCTTAACCACCTTGGTCTAGAATTCACACACATCACTTCTATTTACATTCCACTGGGGACAACTAGTCACATGACCCCACATAGAGGCAAGAGAGGTTCGAATAGGCCAACCAACATTGGGAAAAATCTGGAAGGTAATGAGGTTGAGGTGGCACCAAGGACACTCCACTTAGCCGTGGCTGAGTGTAGATGAGCTACGTTCATGTCAACACACTTGACAGACTATAAATGGATGAACAGCAGGTGGGATCTGTCTCCCCGAGTGTGAATTCCCACTCTGTCCTTTACTTACAGAGTTCCCTAGAGCAAGTCATCCAACCTCTTTGAGCCTGCTTCGCTCATTAGATTCAGCCATACGTAAAGCACATAGAGCACCTAGCACAGTGCCTGGTAGATAAGAAACATTCAGTCAATGGTATGCAACAATTTAGGTGTAAACTGCAGGTACCTGGAATCCAGAACTCTTATTCCATCCAGAGATGTGTACCTATGAGGCCTGACCCTGTTGTAGGCTCTGTTTTAAAATTAGGAGATTCACCGGGCACAGTGGCTCAAGCCTGTAATTCAGCACTTTGGGAGGCTGAGGTGGGTGGATCACCTGAGGTCAGGAGTTTAAGACCAGCCTGGTAAATGTGGCGAAACCCTGTCTCTACTAAAAATACACAAATTGGCCAGCCGTGATGGTGGGCACCTGTAATCCCAGCTAATTGGGAGGCTAAGGCAGGAGAATCACTTGAACCCGGGAGATGGAGGTCACAGTGAGCCGAGATTGTGCCATTGCGCTCCAGCCTGGGCAACAAGAGTGAAACTCTGTCTCAAAAAAATGAAATAAAATGAGGAGCCTGGGCAACAAGAGTGAAACCCTGTCTCAAAAAAATAAAATAAAATGAGGAGATCGTGGTCTATTGACCACATTAGGAGATCATGGTCTTTTGACCACTACACGTATTTGTCTTATTAATACCCCTCTTGTGTGAGCTGGCTTGAGTGGGTCTCTGTTCTGGGAAACCAAATGCTCTCAAACAAAAGAGAAGATCAGAGGATAGAATGGACTTATAAAGCAAGAGCTTACTCTGGGAAGTTAGGGCAGAGGGTGAGAATAGGTGTCTTAATAAATAAAATGTCAGGGAAGTCTGGGAAACATAGCAAGACCCTGTCTTACAAGATAAAATAATTAGTTGGGTATGATGGCATGCACCTGTACTCCCAGCTACTTGGGAGGCTGAGGCAGAAGGAGCACTTGAGCTCAGAAATTAGAGGTTGCAGTGAGCTATGATCACTCCACTGCACTCCAGACTGGGTGACAGAGCAAGCCCCCGTCTCAAAAAAAAAAAATAAAATAAAATAAAAGTCAGGGAAGAAGAGAGAGTAGTAAAATAAAAAGGAGGCTGGGCGCAGTGGCTCACGCCTGTAATTCCAGCACTTTGGGAGGCCAAGGTGGGCAGATCATGAGGTCAGGAGATCAAGAACATCCTGGCAGACACAGTGAAACCCCATCTCTACTAAAAATACAAAAAATTAGCTGGGCATGGTGGCACACACCTGTAGTCCCAGCTACTCGGGAGGCTGAGGCAGGAGAATCGCTTGAACCCAGGAGGTGGAGGTTGCAGTGAGCCGAGATTGTGCCACTGCACTCCAGCCTGGGCAACAAAGAGAGACTCTATCTCAAATAAATAAATTAACTAAATTAAATTAAGTTAAAATGAATAAAAAGGAAGAAGAGAAAGAAAGAAATATGGAGAAAGGATGGATGCAAGGATGCAAAGGAGGGAAAGAGAGTGAAGGGGGAAGGGAGAGAAGATGGAAGATAAGAAGGAAGGAAGGAAGGAAGAAAGCTGGAAGGAAGATCTGGGTTCTGAAGCCTCTTCGAGGATCTACAGATTTCTCTGGCCGGAGCCAAGCATCACTATGATCTGGGCCTGGTCCCAAATGCCCAGTGCTGAGCCACCACTAAGTGGCCTCGAGTGCAGCAGCAAGCCCACTGCATCCACGGCTTAATAAAGGAGCCGTCATTTTATTGTCAAGAGCAAGTGCCAATCTCATCCAAATCAATTAATTCCTTAATCACGCTGTGAATGGAGCAGGATGTGAAGCACCCATGTGGGAGCGATGAATATTAGTCGTATTTAACTACCAAATGCTTTTGATACCATAAAGCATCCTTGAGGTTGCACAATAAAATCCAAAGTTTAACTGGTGGGTAACAAGGCCCCAGGCAATTGTACCTTATTAATGCTGACAACAGGAATATGTATGCAAGGCCTCAGCAGCCCGCTACTTAGAGCAATGCCAGCCACCAGCCCCAGAATCGGGATGTGACAAGCATGCAGCTCATTTGCAGAAAGATTTCGGACCTCTTTCACTACTAGATTTTTCCCTATACCAACATGTAAATAAATGATCTCCCCCACCCAGCTGTACCCCAACAAATGTTTTGGAAAGGGTTGAGGAATTGAGAATAGAGTCTTTTGGATACAGGTAGGCAGACACTGGAGAAAGATTTGATGCAGGCAGATTGGGGCTGCCATGTATGATTGTTCACGTTGTGTACTGCACAAGGCTTCTGATTGAAGGGGGCAAGGAGAGGCTGAAATTCTTGACTCAATTGTCCTCACCAAGCTGTGTGCTTTGGCATGAAGCTATATCTGTCCTGAGAAAGACATATTTTTCTTTTCTCTAATCTGACGCTTCAGCAGGCAAAACTTTTTCTAATTTGTTCAACCATATGGGACACTATTTTTCAATTCATCCACTTGGGAGGGTCATTTTTTTTTTCACTCAGAGGCATATAGGCTAGCAGTGGTCCCTGCAGCAGGTTCAGAATGGCAACCACACCCTTTAGAAAATATCAAAACATTAAATGAGTGTAGGAGCACAAAGCCCAAAGTCTCAATTTCTGCCCTGGCTTGGACCAGTCAAAAATGGAGGCTATTCCTGAGTATAGCAGATTTCTGTGTGTGTTGGGGTGAGGCTGGGAGGTTGGACGGCCTGGCTCCATAAACCCCAAGAGCCTCCAATTTAGACATTGATGCCATTTCAAAGTGAGATTGATTGTAGGTATAGTCCCGAGGATACACTGGCGGGATAGAAAGAAGAAATCACTCATTCAAAGGCTTTAAAATCTGTGTCCCAGGCCAGTCGCGGCGGCTCACTCCTGTAATCCCAGCACTTTGGGACGCCAAGGCAGGCAGATCACAAGGTCAGGGGTTCGAGACCAGCCTGATCAACATGGTGAAACCCTGTCTCTACTACAAATACAACAAATACAAAAATTAGCCGGGCATGATGGTGCATGCCTGTAATCCCAGCTACTCAGGAGGCTGAGGCAGGAGAATCACTTGAACCTGGGAGTTGGAGGTTGCAGTGAGCCGAGTTCGCACCACTGCACTCCAGCCTGGGCAACAGAGCAAGATTCCATCTAAAAAAAAAAAAAAAACCTGTGTCCCAATCCAGACCCTGCATCTGTAACATACCAGGCATTTGGTTTTTAAAATAAATCCTATAATTATCTTGTGAAAAGTATAATTATACCTTACTGTGCTTTTTGCCTGTTAAAAACATCACTTCGTTAAATGTAAACATTTAAAATGCACAATGGTTTTGGTGATTCCACTCTGAAGCATTTCTTTACTTAAAAAGAAAACCCCAGGCAAATGCCTGAAGCTCTCTCCACCTCTGAGGGGTCCTGGGCATTGGAATCACAGAAGCCAAAAGCCTTAACCCCTGCAAGTGTGACCCTGGGCACGTCTTGCTCCTCTGTCACCACCAGGCTAGAATCTCCTTGAGGTCATAATTATGGCTTATTCATCTATGGCACCAAAAATCTATCCCAGTGTCTGACACATAGTAGGAACTAGTAATGCTTTCATGTGCTTACTATATGCTAAAAACTGTAGTAAGTACTGTATGTATATTAACTAATTCATTCCTCATTTTAGCCCCACAAGGGAGCATTACGCTGGTAACTTACCCATTGTTGGTAACTTACCCAGCACTATGCTGGTAACTTACCCATTGTCTCTCAGCCCCTAAAACACTCTCTATAGCATACTCCAGGGGCCAGCACACAGTTTTCTGTAAAGGGCCAGATGGTAAACATTTTAGACTTTGCAGGCCTTAAGGGCTCTGTCAAAACTGCTCAGATCTTCCATGGCAGCACAGAACTCCCATAGACAACATATAAACATATCCACATGGCTGGAGTTTATGGACACTGAAATATGTATGTTGTAGAATTTTTACATCATAAAATATTACGCTCTTTTTAAAAAAATGTAACTATTTAAAAATGTGAGAGCTTTTCTTAAATACTGGGTCATACAAAAACAGGAGTCATGTGGTCTGTGGTGTACTTTGCCAGCCTCTTGCTGGACTCTGTGATTCTGGGGCTGGAGGTCTGCACACTGCATTTCCCAGAATTTCTTGATGCCTGGCTCTCTGCTGGCTTCTGTTACTAGGAGGCACAGCTGAAAGATTGGCAGGAGGAGGGAAGAAGGGTTGTACTCCTGTCTAGCTGCCATCAGTGTCCCTCCAACAGCCAACAGCAGAGAATAGCCAAGGCTCTACCTTCAGCTTCAGTTTCTTTTTTCTTTTTTTTTTTTTTTTGAGACAGAGTCTCACTCTGTTGCCCAGGCTGGAGTGCAGAGGCACGATCTCAGCTCACTGCAAGCTCCGCCTCTCGGGTTCACGCCATTCTCCTGCCTCAGCCTCCCAAGTAGCTGGGATTACAGGTGCCCACCACCACGCCTGGCTAATTTTTTGTATCTTTAGTAGAGACGGGGTCTCACCGTGTTAGCCAAGATGGTCTCGATCTCCTGACCTAGTGATCCGCCTGTCTCGGCCTCCCAAAGTGTTGGGATTACAGGCGTGAGCCCCTGCGCCCAGCCCCCTTCAGCTTCTTTTGCCATCCCCAGCATCAGCCCCTAGTGCCCCAGAGATGTAAACACCAGCCACTTGGTATCTCCAGGGACCTAAGAACCACCTATTGGAGCACCTCCCTTCAAGAGTCAACCACCCACCAGAATACAGAGGGAGCTAAAACAACTCTATAAGAAAAAGTCTAATAATCTGATCAAAACATGAGCAAAAGATCTGAATAGACATTTCTGAAAAGAAGACATACAATTGCAAACAGGCATATGAAAAGGTGCGCAGCATCATTGATCATCAGAGAAATGCAAATCAAAGCTACAGTGAAATATCATCTCACCCCAGTTAAAATGGCTTATATCCAAAAGACAGGCAAGGACAGATGCTGGCAAGGATGTGGAGAAAAGGGAACCCTCGTACGCTGTTAGTCGGAATGCAAATTAGTATGATAAATATGGAGAAAAGTTTGGAGGGCCCTCAAAAAACTAAAAATAGAGCTACCGTAGGATCCAGCAATCCCACTACTGGATTCTATGGTAGCTCTATTTTCAGTTTTTCGAAATCAGTACATCAAAGAGGTATCTGCACTCCTATGTTTGTTGCAGCATTGTTGATGATAGCTAAGATTTGGAAGCAACCTGTGTCCATCAACAGGTGATTGGATAAAGAAAATGTCGCCGGGCATGGTGGCTCACGCCTGTTTTCCCAGCACTTTGGGAGGCCGAGGTCGGGAGTTCGAGACCAGCCTAACCAACATGGTGAAACCCCGTCTCTACTAAAAATACAAAAATTAGCCTGGCATGGCGGCACGTGCCTATAATCCCAGCTGCTCAGGAGGCTGAGGCAGGAGAATCACTTGAACTCGGGAGGTGGGGGTTGCAGTGAGCCAAGATCATGCCACTGTACTCCAGCCTGGGTGACAGAGCAAGACTCTGTCAAAAAAAAAAAAAAAGAAGGAAGGAAGGAAGGAAGAAGGAAAATGTGGTACCTATACACAATGCAGTACTATTGAGTCATAAAAAAGAATGAGATCCAGTGATTTGCAATAACATGGATGAAACTGGAGAATATTGCCTTAAGTAAAATAAGCCAGGCACAAAAAGACATGCATCACATGTTCTCATTTATTTGTGGAATATAAAAGTTAAAACAATTTAATTCATGGACATAGAGAGTAGAAAGGTGGTTACCAGAGGCTGGGAAAGGTAGTAGTGAAATGGGAGGAGGGGAGGATGGTAAATAGGTACAAAAAAATAGAAAGAATGAATAAGATCTATCATTTAATAGCACAATAGGGTGACTATAGTCAATAATAACTGCACATCTTTAAATAACTACAAAAGTGTAATTGAGTTGTTTGTAACTCAAAGGATAAATGCTTGAGGGGATGGATACCCCATTCTCCATCATGTGCTTATTTATTGCACCATATTGTACCCATATTGCATGCCTGTATCAAAGCATCTCATGTATCGCATAAATAAATAAATATATATACACATATATTTACTATGCACCCACAAAAATTAATAATAAAAAGGCCTTATTTAAAGAATAAAAATAAAAATAACGATTCAAGCACTCACTTGTAAGGGACCCCGCTATGAGCTCCTAAGTGCTATAACATGACTTCTTCCCTTTTGTTCCCCAGCACTTCATTGTAGTTGTTTCTTCCTGCATTTCTACTATCTCCCCTTCTTCCCTTTCAGGGTTCTAATGCCTGCATAACCAATGCCCTGCATTTAATTCTTTCTGTTTGAAATATCTAGTATGAGTTTTGATGGAGTTTTCTTAACTAGGTCTCAACTGATCTGTCCCTATTTTATAGACTAGACTGAGGCTCCTAGAAGTTTAGGTTTTATCTAAGTCAGTGTAGCAAGTAAGTCATAAGTATTTTTCCAAAATCACAGAAGAGGGAAAAAATAAAGATATATTGAAGCCCATGACTATCTGACCCCAAATTGTGTAAGATCTTAGCCAGCATAGGCTACAGAAGGAAGAGTTCACTGCTCACACTGCTCCCAGCAAACCCTGCACAGACCCTGCATTCTCATGGTTGAATGAATAAACGAGTAGATGATCTTCTCTTCTCTTTGAACCTAGTGCTGGCCTGGGCATCCAATAAGGCGCAATAGATGATTTGTCAAATTAAAAAATAGGAGAATAAATGTTTTAAAGCAGTAGTTTGCAACCCTGGCTGCATATGAAAATATCCTTAAAAGAAAGTGTGTCCAGGCCCTACTCTAGAGCAAACAACTCAGAATCAGCTGTCCGTATTTTTTATGACTTCCAAGTAATTCTAATAGGGTTGAGATGTACAGCTTTAGGCAAAGCTTAGCTGGGGCCCTGATCTTTCTGGGACACCGTGAGTCTCTCCGAGGAAGATCACTGGAGCTGGGTGTGCTGTGGTCTCCCTAGCAGGCTTCGCTACACATCGCCCCAGGGAGCACCATCACATCTGAAAGTGAAGGTCCCTTTGTTCAGTCAGTATGGAGGTTTTTGTTTTGTTTTGTTTTGTTTTTACCAGGAAATCAAATCAGATTTAGATTCAGTCATATTTGCTGGGTATCTACTATGTGCTATGTGCTATGCTAGACATTGTACACAATTCATCTTAACAGTCACATAAGGTAATCATCATTGAGAGACTGAATGTACAAACAGACAACAACCAAACCCTATAGGACGATGGACTCTCTAACCCACGACCTCTGCAGCAAGTGTTCCAGAACAGTTGGAGGTTACACATCTGGAAAGAAAATTTGTAAGAGAATTAAATGAGATGCACTTTTTTAAAAGCACTTGGTTGACCACTGCTAACTTCCCGATTTTCTGCACCAGATTCTAACTCAGGACCAATCAGAGAAAGCCAAAGATGCTTCTTCCCAAATTAATCCATGAGATGCTTCTAGTTAGCCCGCCTCCAGCCTCCCCAAGTCAACAACCTCCAAAGAGAGCATGCTGGACACCTTCCCTTCTTCGCTATAAAGCTTTCTCTCTGCACGGCCTTCAAGTCAAGCAAATGTGAGTGATGGAGGTGGCTGACTCCCCCTATAGCAAGCGTGAAATACGAAGCTTCTGTTTGTTCTCACTTGGGTGGTCCTTGTTTATCTTCACATAATTATCTATAATATTTTAATTGTGTCAATGTTTTCTTTTACAAATGGTGAAATGTAATATTATAGAAGTAAGGTAACTTGTTTGAGGTTGCACAGCTGGAAGGAGGCACAGCCAGGTTTTGACCCTGGAGAAGCAAATTAGTGTTAAGAGGAGCAGTGCAGTGCAAGGTCAAACGCATGAGCTATGATGGAGTAAGGAAGAATGGTTACAGTCCTGATTAAGACTCTTACGGACTTTGAATGGGTCACTTAATTCTCACTGTGCCTCAGTTTCCTCACATCAGTCATGGAGCTATAATGCCTCACGAGAAGTATAGTGCACAGAGTCCAAGTAAAAACTCTGGGATAAGACTCCTGGATTCAAACCCTGATCGAATTACCAGCAGTGTCCTCAGTATTTTTATCTGTAAAATGAGGATGATTATGCTCCATTTATCACAGCTTTTTTTTTTTTTTTTGATGGAATCTCGCTCTGTCACCAGGCTGGAGTGCAGTGGCGTGATCTCGGCTCACTGAAACCTCTGCCTCCTGGGTTGAAGCAAATCTCCTGCCTCAGCCTCCTGAGTAGCTGGGGCTACAGGCGCCCGCCACCACACCCAGCTAATTTTTGTATTTTTAGTAGAGACGGGGTTTCACCATGTTGGCCAGGATGGTCTCAGTCTCTTGACATCATGATCCGCCCGCCTCGGCCTCCCAAAGTGCTGAGATTACAGGCGTGAGCCACAGTGCCCAGTCCATCACAGCTTTTTTTAAGAGAATTAAATGAGATGCACTTTTTTAAAAGCACTTATGTGACACTATGTATCAGGTCCTGTGATAAGTGTATTACAGGCATTTATTTAATTCTCATAATAATGCTGAGTTACACACCATCACCTCCAGTTTACAGATAAGAAAACGGAAGAAAAAGGAAATTAGGTAACTTACCCAAGGTCCTAAAGCTAGGAAAATGTTGACCTGTGTTGGAATCCCTGTCATCAGTACACAATTCTGCCTCTTTGATAATAAAATATGCAAAGCATTTAGTTCAGTGCCTGACATAATATAAGCTCAAAGGTAGAAGCAATGATTAGTAATTGGTTAGTCTAAATTCAAAACTATTTCTAGTACAGACTAATGACTTCCAGGAAGACAATATATTATAAAATGATCACTTTCAGTAAAAGAGACAGAGAGAAAGAAAGAAAGGGAGAGAGAGTGCACCCATAGATGAGTCTGATTTAAACAAAAGTGTTCAAGAGCTCAATAGGAAAATTAATACATTCATGAGAGGAGTTCACATAAAAGAAATCTAACTAGCTTTTAAATATATGAAAATATGCTAACACTCTTCTAGCATTTTCTTATTTTCTTAAATGAGATACTGGTTTTTTTTTTAGGTTGGCAAAGTTCAAAAAGCTTATCAATCAACACTGAGTGGACCTTCCCTAAGGAATTGTAAAGTTGGCAACAGAGAAAGAATATCCACTTAATAACACTTCTATTCAACATTGTGCAAATGTTCATGAAAGACATAAATTGTGGAAAAGAAGAAGTAAAGCTTTCTCTATTCAAAGATGACATCATTCTACATGTAGAAAATCCAAAAGAATCTGCCCAAAAAACTACTAGAACTAATATGAAAATTTAGCAAAATTGTAAAATACAAGTTTAATATAAAATTCAATTATATTTCTATCTACTACCTACAAAAATTGGAAAATAAAATATAATATTACTTACAATAGCATCAAATACATAAAATGTTTAGGAATTGATTGAATGCTGTGTAAAAACTCTGTGCTAAAATATTGCAAAACATTAAAACATTGCTGAATGAAATTAAACAAGACTTAAATAAATGGAGAGATATACTATATTCATGGATTGAAAGATTTAATTTTGTTAGGATGATAGTCTCCCTACATTGATTTATAAATCTGATGCAGACTCAATCAAAGTCTCAGCAGCCTTTTTTGATAGAAATCAAGTTGATTCTAAAACTTGTGTATAAATGGAAGGGCTCAGAATTTCCAAAACAATTTCAAAAAAGAACAAAGTTGGATGACTTCCATAACCTGACTTCAAAACTTACAATAAAGCTACAATAATCAATAGGGTATGGCATTAGGCAGAAAATTGAAACTGGACCCCATCCTTACACAATGTACAAAAATTAACTCAAGATAAATTAAAGACTTAAGTGTAAAACCCAAGATTATAAAAACCCTAGGAGAAAATCTAGGCAATGCCATTTAGGACATAGGCAAAGGCAAAGATTTCATGATGAAAACACCAAAAGCAATTGCAACAAAAGCAAAAATCGACAATGGAATCTAATTAAACTAAAGAGCTTCTGCACAGCAAAAGAAACTATCATAAAAGTGAACAGACAACCTACAGAATGGGAGAAAATGTTTGCAATCTATCCATCTGACAAAAGTCTAATATCCAGAACCTACAAGGAACGTAAACATATTTACAAGAATAAAACAAACAATCCCATTTAAAAGGGGCAGAGGACATGAACAGACACTTCTCAAAAGAGGATATACATGCAGCCAACAAACATATGGAATAAAAAAAGCTCCTCAACATTACTGATCATTACAGAAATACAAATCAAAACCACAATGAGATACCATCTCAAGCCAGTAAGAACTGCTATTATTAAAAAGTCAAAAAACAACAGATGCTGGAGAAGTTGTGGAGAAAAAGAAATGCTTTCACAGTGTTGGTGGTAGTGTAAATTAGTTCAACCATTGTGGAAGACAGTGTGGCAATTCCTCAAAGACCTAGAGGCAGAAATACCATTTGACCCAGCAATCCCATTACTGGGCATATAACCAAAGGAATAGAAATCATTCTATTATAAGGATATATGCACATGTGTATTTATTGCAGCACTATTTACAATAGCTAAGTCATAGAATCAACCTAAATGTCCATCAGTGATAGACTAGATGAAGAAAATGTAGTACATATACACCATGGAATACTATGCAACCACAAAAAGGAATAAGATCATATCCTTTGCAGGGACATGGATGGAGTTAGAAGCCATCATCCTCAGCAAACTAATGCAGAAACAGAAAAACAAACACTGCATGTTCTCACTTATAAGTGGGAGCTGAATGATGAGAACACATGGACACATGGGCAGGGGGGCGGTTGGGGGGAACAACACACTGGTCACCTGTGGGTGTGGGGAGAACATCAGGAAGAATAGCTAATGGATGCTGGGCTCAATACCTGGGTGATGGCATGATTCGTACAGTAAACCACCGTGGTACACTTTCACCTATGTAACAAACCTGCACATCCTGCACATGTACCCCTGAACTTAAAATAAGAATTGAAGAAAAAGAGAGTATGGCATTGGCATAAGAATCACTGCAAAACAAAATTCAGAAAAGATTCATACTTATACAGTCAGTTGATTTTTTTAACTAAGGTGTCCAAACAATTCAGTGGAGGAAATAAATATCTTTTCATCAGATAGCATTGGAGTAACTGGGTAAACATTTGGAAAAAAAAATGAACTTTGACCTCTACCTCACATCATATATAAAAATTAACTCAAAGTAGACCATAGACATAAACATAAAAGTAAAAATTTTAAAGTTTCAAAAGAAAACAGAAGAATAACTTCACAATTTTGGCAAAGATTTCTTAGGACAGGAAAAGCACTAACCACAAAAAAATTAATTGGAATTCAATATTTTAAAAGGTTGATCATCAAGTGACATCATTTAAAAATAGGAAAATCACAGACTGGGAAAAAATACATACCTGGCAAAAGAGTAGTATCCATAATATATAAAGAACTCCTGCCAATCAATAATACAAAACAAATAATCCAATAAAAATAGGCAAAAGACTCAGACACCGTACAAAAGAAGATGTAAGAATGGCTAATAAGCACATGAAAATGTGCTCAATAGAATTAGTCATAAGGAAAACCCGCATTAAAACACATTTAATACTCATTAAAATAATGAGATAAAACCTCACACCCAATAGAATAATCCAAATTTATAAGGTTGAGAACACCAAATATTAGCAAGCCTGTAGAGCAACCAGAACTCTCATGAATTGCAGTTGGGGACACAGGGAGGGGAACATCACACACTGGGGCCTGTCGGTGGAGCGGGGGGTGCGGGTAGGGGAGGGATAGCATTAAGAGAAATACCTAAGGTAGATAACGGGTTGATGGGTGCAGCAAACCACCATGGCACATGTATACCTATGTAACTAACCTGCACGTTCTGCACATGTATCCCAGAACTTAAAGTATTTAAAAAAGAAAAAGAAAAAGATTAGGCATATAAATTTAACCAAAAAAATAAACAAAATAGTATAGTTACTTTGAAAAACAGTTTGTCAGTCTCTTATATAGTTAAACATACAACTACGCTATGATACAGCTATTCTACTCCTGGGCATGTATACAATATAAATGAAGACATATGTCCACACAAAAAGTTGCTCAAGAATGTCATTGGCAGCTTTGCTTATAATAGTCCCAAAGCAACCAAATATCCATCAAGAGGAAAACAGATAAATAAATCTTAATCTACAGTATTCATGCAATGGAATACTACTCAGTAATGAAAAGGGAGGAACTACTGATATAACATGTACGAAATTCACACCTCTTATGTCAAGCAAAAGAAGTCAGACACAAGAATAAACACTGTGTGATTCCATTTATGTGACATTCAAGAGCAAAATCTATGGCAATAAAAATAAGAGCAGTGATTGATGCCTGGAACAGGTTAAGATTGACTGGGAAGTGGCATGAGAAAACATTCATAAGTAATGAAATTGTTCTCTATCTTGACTGGGGTGTGGATTACATGGCTTTACACGTCTGTCAAACCCCATTACACAATACACTTAAGGTCTGTATATACTACAGTTTGTAAATTTTACCTCAATTTTTTTAAAGCCCTCGAAGTGTTTGACAATAAATTAAATAAAAAATGAGGTAAATTTTAAAGCCCTCAAAGTGTTTGACAATAAAATAAGTAATAAATTGAGGGAAATTGTACCTCAATTTTTTTAAAACCCTCAAAGTGTTTGATTGTGAGGGTGTGTGAAAAAACATTTCTGGTGAGAGTATATATGTGCTACAACCTCTCTGTAGGGAAATTTTGAAAATACCTCTCAAAATACCAATTCACATATGCATTTGGCCCACTGATTGCCCTTCTAAGAGGCAGCCTGCAGATATATCCACACGTTGTAGAAACACACCTAGAAAGATATTCTTGACAAAAACAGTGTGTGGTAGCAAAAGACTGGAAATAACATAACCATCCATCCAGAAAAGGTTAAATAAATTACAGCGCTACATTTTAATAGAATACAATGTGGCTGTTAAAATAATAAGGGACATTGTTATGTACTGATATGAAATGATATTCAAGATACATGATATATCAGTACACACAAAAAAGACATGGAACGGAGCTTATAATATCCTTCCATTGATGGAAACATAAATGTGCTCAAGTAATATATCTTGAAAGGTCCATAAAAAGCAGGATGCAGCTGTTACCTCTGGGGATGGGGGCTGGTCGACTGGGATACTGGAGGCGAAACCCTGAGGAAGAATTATTTGCTATATTATCTTTTTTTATTGTAGGAGGTTTTTTGTTTTGCTTTGTTTCGTGGTTTCTTTTTTTTAACCAAGTGATTACTTAAATCTGGAAAATTTTAAAAGCCAAGAAAAAGACCAACACTGGTGGGGCCAATCCATTTTCTCTGGGACTTGACCCAGACCCCTTTAGCTCCTGTGCCCCATAAATCCTGGGCCTGTCCTGCTTCTCCTATAGTAGTCAGTGTCACTGTTTTTTGTTTGTTTGTTTTTGAGACAGAGTCTTACTCTGTTGCCCAGTCTGGAGTACAGTGGCGCAATCTCGGCTCACTGCAATGTCCATCTCCCAGGCTCAAGTGATTCTCCTGTCTCAGCATCAGAGTAGCTGGGATTACAGGTGTGTGCTACCACGCCTGGCTAATTTTTTTTTTTTTTTTTTTTTTTTTGTATTTTTAGTAGAGACAGGGTTTTGCCATGTTGATCAGGCTGGTCTAGAACTCCTGACCTCAGGTGATCTGCCCACCTCTGCTCCATCATTTTTATCTCCACTGCCTCCCTCCTCAGATCCCACCTCAGTCCCACCAACTGTTTCCCCTTCAGGGCTATCAAGGTATGTGTCCCAGGTGCTTTTCCCACCCAACATCACCCTTCGCTACTCACTATGTGAATTATTGGATTTTCCAGCCTTTTATTTATATTTGGCTTTTCCCAAGCAAAACAGAGCCACCCATAGCCAGAGACTATGTCTAGCCCAGCCAGATATATATGCCCCAAAATGAGACCATGAAATATCCCTGTAATTTTCAGATGCCTTAAGACATACCTCTTAAATATTTAGTGGATTATAAATGACCCACAGCTTTGGTCTAGCTTTTAAATATAACTTCTTCATAAGCCTGCATGGACAGTTTGCCCCCAGCCCCAAATGGGGACATAATTGTGGCTCGCCTGATGAATATGAGAGCAGGTGCGTGGGAATTTCTGTGGAATATTAACGATGTCCTCCTAGGGGCTTTGTACCCACTACAGGGGCAGATTTGCTGCCAGAGACTTCTCTCTGATTCTCCAGTTTCCAGCCTGCTGTACAAAGATTTATGGGGAGAGAATCATAGAACCTGCCCTGAGCCTGAGTTGGCTGCTGATTTTCTGTGTAGCATTGAGCTCACCACATTCCCTATCTGGGCCTCTGGATTCTTCTCTATTGCACTAGATAATTTTTATAGCCCTTGCAGCACTTGTTTTGAGACTTCTGAATATCTGCAATTATAATGATTTATCAAAATATATTTCACAATAAAAGAGAGGAAAATAAGCAATAAGGATTTTTAAAATTTTTTTAAAATAGATCTAAGCTGGGCACTGTGGCTCACACCTGTAATCCCAGCACTTTGGGAAGCCAAGTGGGCAGATCTTTTGAGGCCAGGAGTTCAAGACCAGCCTGGCAAACATGGCGAAACCTCATCTCTACAAAAAATTCAAAAATTAGCTGGGCATGGTGGCACACACGTGTAATCTCAGCTACGTGGGAGGCTGACGCATGAGAATCTCTTGAACCTGGGAGGCGGAGGCTACAGTGAGCTGTGATTGCGCCACTGTACTCCAACATGGGCCACAAAGCGAGACTCTGTCAAAAAAAAAAAAAAAGAGGGGGTCTTAAAAAAAAAAGAAGAACTATCACATTTCTATTCAACCTTGTTATTCCAGCAGCCTTGGTGCTGCCTGGGACCTAGTTAGAAATGCAGGTTCTCAGGCCTCACCCCAGAGCTACATTAAAGAAGCACTCATGCTATTTATCAGCTGACATTTTTCTGAGTCATGTAACTTTCCTGTTGTAACACCCACACACATTTTAAGAAACTTGGATTTTTAATGTTTGTGCAACAGAGAGCCATTGAAAGGTGGTTTTCAAGGAGTAAAGTTATGGTCAAATTTGCATTACAGTGAGATGGCTGAGATGACAGAGGCTTAAAGGAGGTGAGTCTACAAGGAGGACTAAGAAAGCGGTTGGGCGTGGTGGCTTAAGCCTGTAATTCCAGCACTTTGGGAGGCCAAGGCGGGCAGATCACCTGAGGTTGGGAGTTCGAGACCAGCCTGACCAACATGGAGAAACCCCATCTCTACTAAAAATACAAAAAAAGTTAGCCAGGCGTGGTGGTGCATGCCTGTAATCCCAGCTACTCGGGAGGCTGAGGCAGGAGAATTGTTTGAACCCAGGAGGTGGATGTTGCAGTGAGCCCAGATTGAGCCTGGGCAACAAGAGCAAAACTCCATCTCAAAAAAAAGAAAAAGAAAACAATCCAAGAGATAAATCATGAAGGCCTGAACTAAGATAGGAATGATGCAGGTTAGAGAGGAACAGAGAGACTTGGTGAGTATTTGGGCTACAGAATCTTCAGGCCCCATAGTAAATTGCATATGAAGAAGATACAGAGAAATAGACTTTTAGGTTTCAAGATTGGGTACTGTGATGGTGATATACAAAGAGATGGGAGTGAAAGAAGGGAATCTGGTTTGGAGAGAAGGCATATGAGATGTTCAACAGGTAGTGGAGAAGGATCTGGAGCTTGGGAAGGTTGGGCTAGAAATGGAATTCAGGAAATCATCATTATAGAGGTGGAGATAATAGATTAACCCAGAGAGAAGAGAAAAGGAAATGCTTGGAACACCAATATCCAAAAAGTGGCTGTAAAAATGGTGGCTCACAAGAGTCTGAGAAGGAACAACTGCAGGAGAATCACCACAGGTCAGCATCACTGGGGCCAGGGAGGCCACTGCAAGAAAGAAGGCATGGTCAATGCTATCAAAAGCTCCACGAGTTGAGCCAGAGAAGGGTCAGCTGGGTTTAGATAATAGAGGGCTATTGGTGGGATTTTCAAAGTAATTTTAAGAAGCTGATGGAATGAGGCTAGGTGGCAATAAGTTGAGGAATCAGTGGGAAGATGGAGAAGTGGAGACAGTGTCTTGGCTAATTTTAAATGGATTTTCTGTGGTGGTAAGAAGAAGAAGAAGAAGACAGTCACAGTGACTATCAATCCTGGCTGATTATAGAATCACCTGGGGGG
This sequence comes from Homo sapiens, assembly GCF_000001405.40. NCBI lineage: Eukaryota > Metazoa > Chordata > Mammalia > Primates > Hominidae > Homo > Homo sapiens. The sequence continues at coordinate 26,855,416 of NC_000016.10, forward strand.
AGGTTTCAAAACCTGTTGATTCCTGGACTTCCCACCACCACACACTGTTTTAATTGCTCTGTGATGTGGTCCAGGCCTCTGCTCTTAAAGTCTGCTGAGGTGATACTGATGTGCTTTTGAGTTTGAGGATGTTTGAGCATCAGGAACATGCACCATTGAGGAAACGTTGCTATAAAACTCTCATTCCATGGTGGGAGAGATTTCTGAGTACATTGAAGGGGTGATGGTCAATACTAGAGGCAGAGGAGAAATGTGCAGAAGAAATGCAAAACCATCGCTGGAGAAGAATCCCTGAAGGGGCGGAGAAGTGGATATCTGGGATACAGGTGGATTCACCGGACTCACTTTCCCTTCGAATTGGGAAGGAAAGCGGGAGCAGGAGGAGGATGTCGATTCTGATGCAGAAGCAAAAGAAAAAGAGGAGAACTTTCCTGCTGACCACAGTTTCTTTCAACAGAGTAGTGTTAAAAGAACAACTGCAGCCGAATTACATTGAAAGGAGTTTAATTGAGCAACGAACGATTTGTGAGTCAGGCAGCCCCCAGAATCACAGCCGATTCAGAGATACTCCCGGGATGACTTGTGGTCAGAACAAATTTATAGACAAAAAAAAAAAAGTGACGTACAGAAATCAGAAGTGAGGCACAGAAACAGCTGGACTGGTTACAGGTTGGCGCTTGCCTTATTTGAACATAGTTTGAACACTTAGCCGTCTATGAGTGGTTGAAGTATGGCCACAAGGATTGGCCAAAACTCAGCTGCTGTTACAGGTGCATACTCCTAAGTTAGGTTTTCAATCTTGTCTGACCATTAAGCTAGATTACAGTTTGTCCACAGGACTCAAATATAGAAGTACGGAGTCCTTCTCAGGCCAGTTTTAGTTTGCTTTGACAGGAGATAAATTGTGAGTTGGCTAAGAGGGAGGGGCAAATGGGAGCAGTAAGCTTGATAGGAAGAAAGGTTTGTACTCCTGCTGACTGTGCACCTACTGGAGGAGGCATCTTCCACAGAGGCTGGAAACAAGGATTTGCATGCAGATGCCCCAAGGAGGGCAGGGCCTTGCTCTGTGTTTCTCCCTGCTCTACCACCAGGGTTTAATGCAGTGCACTTGATAAATATCGAGACGAAGGCATGTGTGGTGGCACCAGTCTTCAAGATTTTTATTTCATCAGCTCCATTTGGCAGGCCAGGGATAAAAACCTAGAAGCAATTCAGTAGAGCTTGGTTTAGGGTTCAAGGATAACCTAGTAGGGCGTGGAAGATGTGGTCCTGATCACAGAGTATCAGCTTGGCCATGCAGGAGACAGCTTTTTATCTTGCAGGCAAACCGTAGACAGACAGGAGAGATAGATCTGCCCTTCCCAAAGTTCACCTGGGCTGCAAAGAGATTATTTTGGAAGGGGATGAGAGCTATTATAATCATCGAGGTGAGAGAAGGGGGGGATCAGATGATCCTAAGAGACCAGTTGGAGAGTCAGTTTCAACAAGACAAATCCCAAACCATTCTGAGGGATAACTATAAAAGTCAACATTGCCCAAACATGGGCCAGGCCGCTTCAAGGAGCAATGAGCCCCTGGCATTCAATGGGTCTCTGTTTTGGGAGGGAAGATGAGCTAAGGTACCTGCAAGTACATTTTATGAATCTGTGGCAACCAATCAACCACCCTCATGTCCCCTCTCTGCAGGAGACCTCGTGGTCTCCGGTGCATGGGAAACGCCTCTCCTCTGGCTCACCAAATTGCTCTGCTGTATTTAAAAGCCAAAGAGGAAAATAAACCCCAGCCCAAGGAGGAAGCAATGTTGGCATTAAATAAAAGGAATGTTTTTATCCTGCAATGAAAACTCTGTGATCCTGGAACACAATTTGCATAAACAGACAGTTTGGCTATAAACAACCTCACCAGTAACTGGTATTTACATATAGAACAACTCAGTCAAAACCCAATTAAAGGCTCTGATGGATTGGGGATTGTCAAAACATTTAAAAGACTTCACAGCCACCTGGCGATTTATACGCCTCGGTTGGGCCAGGAGTTCCTGATTTCTCCTCCCATCTGCCCTTTCCTTTGCTCCCAGCCTCCTGCAAGACCCCATGGCCCCCGCCCACCCCCCAGTCTGGCAGCCTGGCCTCCAGTCAGTGGGAGATGTCTCTGAGAGAGCCCACTGGCCTTGGGACCTTGGGGAAGACCTAGTGGGGTTAGAAAACAGGGTCCAGGCTGTGGTCCCTGGCTTGCATGTAGAAAACAGGAACAAGAACTCTATGTAGAGTGTGGGCATATGACACCATCAAGAGGCTCAGCCCAGGCAATGCAGGACTTCAGAAGAATCCCAGCAATAATGATGCCTACAGTCAGGCCATCTGTATTACTGTGGTTCCAGGTTCAACCCTTGTAAGCAAGTGGTTGAAGAGCAAGACAGGATGTCAAGATCCCCTCATCCGTGCAGAAGAGATGACTCTTGGTCAGGGATAAAAACTAAGCCAACAGGTTGGGAATACCAGGCATGACTTTAATTGGGTTGTGGGGGAGTGTTATGCTGAACCCCTATCAACTCCAAAGGGGATGGCACCAAGTTCAAGAGGCTGAACAAGAGACCCAGAGCCAGCAAATGAGACATGGGGTTTTATTGAGGGCTTACAGGGCAGAGAGAGCAGTGAGCTGGGCAGAAGATCTGCAACTGCTTGCACAAAGCACATGGTTTATAGAGCATTTCCACTTAGCAGCCTCCCCCAACAACCTCTACCTGGCAACCTTTGCTTAACCCAAAACAATGGGCTCAATTCCCTATATCTGCCATCTGGCCCATGTTCCATGGGACAGGCTAGGGACTCAGAAGTTCCACACAGAGAAGGAATGAATCCCCTGCTTGGCCACTCCCAGATTCCTTATTGTAAACTGCATCCTGGTGCATTTGCCACAGAGGATCACTCTGAGAGTATATGCAAGTTATTGCTCCCAGGTGCCTTTACCATATAGGGAGAATTCATAAGGCAACAGGTTCACCCCAGGGCGGGATGGAGACTGCCAGCCCTTAGGCAATACAATTACCAGGCCTGAGGCTTCCAAAGTGCTCCCACACTGGGCACAATGGGATCAATCAGCTGAGTCTTTGGGAAACTCCAGGTCAGAGGAGCCGGGGGAGTCCAGCGTTGACAGAGCGGAGGCCAGTATCCTGGTGCTAGAAAGGGCTGCAGTAACCACTCTGTTCCTGATGCTCCCTAGGGAAGGATCCTCAACAAGTGTCTTATTTTATTTTATTTTTTCCAAGCAAATGCTTTATTTGCATAGGGACCTGAACCTAGTCCCAAGTCAACACATATAAATGTTCCGCTTTTTTTGGACTGATATTGTGACAACTTCTCCGTTGACTTTGCCATTCGAGTAACATTTTGATCTTTCATGCCCCAATTCACATGAAAATTGTTGGATCCTGTTTCCAAGCTGGGGGGATCCTCTCCCCTCACACTGTCTGGGAAATGTGCTTCCATAAAAAGAAGCTGTACCTGGTGCCCTCATGGCCAAGCAGCACAGAGCAAGCTTTGAAGCACAGATAGAAAGAAGGAAAACAGAGGGGGAGGAAAGAAAAAAGAAAAGAGAGAGAAAGAATGGAAGAAAGGAAGGAAGGGAGGGAAGGAGGAAGAAAAGCAAGAGAAGTGAGGGAAGGGAAAAGAGAAGGAGGAAAAGAAAGCTGCGCAGAAATAGTATGCTAGAAAAGAAGAAAGGACGGTAGGGAGGGTAGGTCCCAGGGTTTCCCAGGAGTGACACCCCAGGACCCCACTGAGGCCTCAGAAAGATTGCAATGAGAGATGACTGGCTGCTGCCCTGGGTGTGGGGAGTGGGAGTTGCAGCAGATGGGCTGCTCTTTGCCACTCCAGAACAAACCAATCTGTCTTGCTGCTGTATAGAATATACTCTACAAACAATTTAAAAATTAGCCAGGCGTGATGGTGTGTGCCTGTAGTCCCAGCTGCTCAGGAGGCTGAGGTGGGAGGATAGCTTGACCCCAGGAGTTTCAGGATGCAGTCCGCCAATATCATGCCACTGCACTCCCATGGACTACTGGGCCTGTCATTCTCAAAAAAAAATTTTTTTTTTTTGAGATGGTGTCTCGCTCTGTCGCCAAGGCTGGAGTGCAGTGGCACGATCTCAGCTCACGGCAAGTTCCGCCTCCCAGGTTCACGCCATTCTCCTGCCTCAGCCTCGCGAGTAGCTGGGACTACAGGCATCCACCACCAAGCCTGGCTAATTTTTTGTATTTTTTTTAGTAGAAACGGGGTTTCACCGTGTTAGACAGGATGGTCTCCATCTCCTGACCTTGTGATCTGCCCGTCTCGGCCTCCCAAAGTGCTGGGATTACAGGAGTGAGCCACCGCGCCCGGCCTCTCAAGATTTTTAAAACCGAGTGAGTACCATTATGCACCAGGCACTATGCTAAGCACTTTATTATGTGTGATCCCTTACACTGATACAGTCACCATGACCTCATTCACACCCATTCGTAGGAAGAAGGACCTGATACAGCAAAACAAATATCATGACCTCAAGGTGGCTTGGTGAGCTGCAACGGTCACTGCAGAAGTACTGTGTTTATACGGCAATAAAACATAATCCCTAACAATTAAGCACTTGCTACATACCCAGCACAATGCAGGGTGCCTTGATTCACTTGATTTTCTAAATTCAAAATATGCCTGAGAAAAACACCATCTCCATTTTACAGTGAGGAAACGGGCTCAGAGAGTTGAAGACAGTGTTTGAGTTGACATGGCTGGAACGTAGTGGAACCAGGAGTCTGTGTGAACACAAAGCCTGCTACATCAGGGCAGGTGCTTCCGGTTTTTCACTATGGGCCATCACATTTTAAAATGTCCTGCCTCAACTGTTGACATCCTAGTTTGGAAAACTAAGCTGACTTCTCCCTACCATATTCCCAGTAAGTTGCTGCCTCAATACTGTTACCAAAATGCCAGGGGTTCTGTGCACAGGAGGCCAGTCACTGGGACAATGAATATTGCCAGGGAAGGCTTTATTCCAGAGTTACAGTGAAGGAGAATGGAAGATCAGTTTCAAATCTGTCTCCCCAACCGACTAAAATTAGGGGTTTATACAGCAGGGAGGAAATGTAACTATGTGTGGGAAAACAGGAATGAGGGAGGGGTAAGGAAGAGGAGGTGGTCCACAGGCATTAGGTAGAGGTGAGGAAGAGGAGGTGGTCAACAGGAATGAGGGAGGGGTAAGAGGGGATGATCAACAGGCATTAGGGAGGGGTAAGGAAGCAATTGTGATGGGTGAGGAGTCTGACATCTCATTGTCCAGATGTGGTGACCTGGTGAGTTTTCATCCCTTGATACTGACTGGGAGGCCTGAGGGTTGGTTTCCTGAGAAAGGAACTCAGATAAGACAAATGTAAGTTTCTCAAGTTTCAAGACTGGGATGATCAATTTCTATATTTATGTCGAAACCATAAACATCATTTCTGTGAGACAATTGGACTGGTTTCAATACTGCCTGTCCTCCTTACTCTTGCATCCTAAACAAATCTACTACAGGTTTTAAATCCCCAAACCACCCACCCAGGCAAAACACGTGGCCCAGAAGATCAAGGATATTGAAGGAAGAAATGTAGATACTCAGACATCTCTTTCTTTCTTCATGTGGGTTCAAATTCTTTGTTACTCAGTGTTGAAAGTCAAACAATTCAACCTTCTATTGCCAGCATTTACTCAACCTCTGGTCCTGCTGAATTCTCTGAGCTCTTCTCCTACATGCCCCACCTTCCATGCTCCAACTGTATCCAACATCTACTTATTCTCTCCAAACCTGCAAACCACATGTGCTTCTCCACCTTTCCTGGGGCCATTCCCTTGGCCAGGTATGCACATTCCTCCCCTTGTCAATGTGATGAACTCCTATGTGTTCCTCAAAATAAGCTCAAGTGCCCCTTCTCCTTTATTAAAACCTTCCAAGATATCCTTAGAGTCGTTTCTATTTACTCCATCTCTGTTACATACATCTTGCTAACAGCCCTATTTACAACTTAGCACATTGTACTAGAATGAGTTATTTGTACAAATATATCCTCCCGTGAATGGAGTTCCTTGAGGGTGAGGTGCCTAATTCATCTTCACGGCCTTGCTTCAAGGTCTTGCACATAGTAGGTGTTCGACAAATGTTCCATGAATGAGTAAATGAATGGGCTTTAACAAAGTCAAGACTCCTAGAAGGTCAAGCCAGTGGATCAAACCAGGACTTCCACCCACTTGTGGATCTCATTGCCATGTCTTAAGTGGTTCCTGGGGACACTTTGTCATTTCCTAGATTTAACATAGTCTCTTATTTCAGGTCTTTTTCCTCTTTTTCTGAGTTTTCTCCACCACTGCTTTTTTGCATCCTGACGCAGGATGTCTCAGTGGATAGACAAGGTCTGTGGAGTCCAACAGAACTTACTAGACCAAGTCTGACACTGGCTTCCTGCATGATCTTGTACAAGTAATCTGCAACTTCCCGAGTAGTGAAATACAGACAGCTGATCTAGCCCTGCAAAGCTGTAGTGTGATGAGTTAACATACATTTGTACACCAAGTTCCAAATTGCTTAGGACATCTTGATGAAGTTCCTTTCACCAAGGTCCCTGAAGGCAAAAGACCCTTAAAATCCATCTAATCTGGGCTGAGCATGGTGACTCATGCCTGTAATCCCAGAACTTTGGAAGGCCAAGGCTGCTTGAGCCCAGGAGTTTGAGGCCAGCCTGGGCAACACAGCAAGACCCCATCTCTACAAAAAAATTTTAAAATTAGCCAGGTGTGGTGTTGTGTGCCTGTAATCCCAGCTTCTCAGGAGGCTGAGGTGGGAGGATAGCTTGAGCCCAGGAGTTTGAGGCTGCAGTCAGCCAATATCACACCACTGCACTCCAGCTTGGGTGACAAAGCAAGACCCTGTCTCCAAAAAAAAAAAAAAAAAGAAAAGAAAAAATCAAATCTAAATCTAATCTAATCTGCAACCATCTGCTGCTTCCATTTGATACCTGGGACAGGTGGTGTTCAGCCTCTCTGGAATATCCCAGCAATGGGGAATCATAACAAAAGTAACCATAGTAACAGCAACATGTTTACAGACCTTTTCATTTATAAAGTACTTTTGTAATTTCTGATTCTTACCAAGAAAGGAGAGCTATAAATTAACGTCCCCTAGTGAGGAGGTTCACTTCGTGCCTAGGGTCACTCAGGGATGAGCTGAGCTGAGCTATGGATCCAGACTTAGTCCGAGGCCACATGCCTTGAACCCTGGCTTCCAGGAGACTTGCAGGGGATGGGAATCTATTCTTTGCTGTGCCTTTTTCTCATGTTTCTCCCTCACAGCATACACAGTGGGAAGATGACAGAATTTCAGATCCAAAAAGCCATCACAGTCATCATTCTCTCTCTTTCCACCACTCAAGTGGAATGACTGTATTGATCAAGATTCTTTTGGTTGTAAGTAACAGAAAGCGCCACTCAAAATGATGTAAGAAAATAACAATAATAACAACAATAACGGTATTAATAGTAACAGTAATAGAGGCTTTTTCTGTTTCATGTAGCTGAAAAGTACAGGGTAGGAATGATTAGGGGTCCAGGCCTAGATAATGTTGTCACATCTCAGCCTCTCTCTTCTCAATTCTCTTTTCCTCTTCATTGGCATCAGTTTTAGCCAGCCCCACCCTTAATGTTGTAATAGCCTGGGCTTACACACATTTCAGCCCTCACAGACACAAGCACCATTAAAGAAAGAGCTGCTCTTCCCCAGTCATTCTAAACAAAGCCCTGTGCTGAGTGAGGGGCATCACCCTGGCCTGGATCAGGAAGAGGGTCCCTACATAAAAAGTGATGGTGATTGGAGGTATTTTAGTTAAATACACCCACCAGCCACACCTGGTTCCTATACCTACCTCTGAACCTGGGGGCATATTCAACCTGATCTCAAGTGTGTGAACTAAAAATGGAGGATGGGTGATATTCCGAGAAGAAAATCTGGCTGCCATGGAGGAAGAGATGCTGGATAAGCAAGATGAGCAAATACCACAGATGTCCTCTTCAATGACTTTTTGGAGCTTCTATTTATATATAGAAACACTATAGCATTAAAAATACCTATCCCCATGCTGGGCATGGTGGCTCACATCTGTAATCACATCTGTAATTTGGCAAGTGATGCCAAAGATGAGGATCACTTGTGCCCAGGAGTTTGAGGCCAGCCAGAAAATATTTAAAAATTAGCCAAGTATGGTGATGCATGCCTGGAGTCTCAGCTACTCAGGAGGCTGAAGTGGGAGGATTGCTTGAGCCCAGGAGTTAGAGGCTGCAGTGAGCTATGATCATGCCACTGCACTCCAGTCTGGGTGACAGAGCAAGACCCTTTCTCAAAAACAAAAAAAGAACCCCTACCCCTCAGAATTGCATCAGATTGGAAACAGGCAAAAAGGATTGCACAGATCCTATTATTGCTATTACAGGTGCTGTGGTTTTCACCTCTTTAAAGGACTCTGTCCCCTGAATCCATGCCACTGCCTCGTGATGGTTCAGGATATGATCACTCACCTACATTGTTTCAACAGCAGCTTCATGGGGCTTCAATCCCCCTAGCTCTCCCTGCTGGGTGGCACCCCTTCAGCGCCTTGCAGCCAGATTAATCTTCCATTTCAGCAGAGTTCAGGGAGCTACAGAGCCCAGTGGTGTTTAACTTGGCTCGCACTCAACCCCATGAATTTAAAGGCCATCTGAGCTGAACTATTCATCTGTTTCTTCTTGACTCCCCCACAGTGAGTACATATACACACCCTCCTTTCAATACACAGCCATCTGAGCTGCTTGCATATTTCTTTCTCAGGAAAGCTCAGAGGGAAAAAGGAAAAAAACTCTATATATATAGATATAAAACCTGAGAATTTGGAACCCTCATTCTATTATCTTATAAAACATCATGTTCATATCATAATTTCAATCCAGAGAAAGGATTTGCTGTGTGAGCTCTGAGATGCATACAAATTGCCCTTCTAAACCTCTGGCTACAATAAGCAAACTTCAGAAGCCAACAGTTTACTTGATAAATACCTAATAAAGCTTAAATAATTATTGAAAGCAGACAAATGGAACAGTGGAACAGCAAGAAATGTTGTGGGGATAAATCACAGGGAAGAAGACAGAGTCCCAGACACTCAGAGGAAAGCAGATCCAGGGAGGGAAAGAGAATCAGAGGCAGGAACTTGGGCCCTAGAGAGAGTCATCCTGGAGAGACTGCCTGGGGATGCCAAGAGATGTACAAGATGGGCTTTGGTGGGGGTTGGGGGAGAACCATTCAATACTCATGTTTAACCTTTCTTGGCTCTTCTGGAAGAAAGAGAGTCGAGGGAGAAAATAATCCACTTTGTCATCTGTCTCTGACTACCCAGCTGTGGAGGGACCTCAGAGATTCAGATATCATACCCAATTAATACCCCAGATATCACACCCCACTTATACCCCAGATATCACACCCCACTTACAAGCTCTACCTCCCGAATCCAATTTTGAGTTTGGAAGAATTGAAATCTTTCTAGGGCACCATTCCATGGACTTGACCCAGAGTCAAGTTCCCTGTTGGACTTCAAGAAGTTATCCCAAACTCTTCATTCATTCACTTATTCATTCACTCATTCAACAAACATTACGTGCCAACTACATGCTATAAACAACAAGCTTTCAGTCTAACCAAGGATGAGTGTGGAGGCATACAATTAAACAAACAATGGTATATGCTGAAAATAGAAGGTTGGGGAGTTCATAGAGTTTATTCTGGTCTGGGAAAGTGTGCATTGGAAAGGCTTCCCACAGAAAACAGCACTTGCACTGAGATCTGCAGTATAAATGGGAGTGGGGGAGAGGTGTTTGGGGCAGCAGGAATAGCAAGTGCAAAGTCCCTGGGGTGTAAGAGGATTTGTTGAGAGAAATCCTGAGCCCTGAGCTCCCACACTGATGCTGACGTGTGGCAACTCCCACTCTCTTAGTGACCTCCCCACAGGAAGAATTTCTGATTCCGAAATTTCTGAGTCCATTACTGATAAGTAGTCATTTACCAAGGTGGATTTCCTGGTGCCCATTTTAGAGATGAGAACACTGAGCCACAGAACTGCGAGGACTGCTTGTTGCCTATAGAGTCATAGATTGTCCTTCTGCTTTGGACCCTGTCCTCCAAACTCCCAGACCTATCTTTGCCTCTCACTGCTTCTCTGCTCCAGCCTGGTGAACTTCCCTAATTATTCAGCATATTTCTAGGAAAAGAAGCATACCTGTCCTGCCATATTTCCAGCTGGGAACCAGAACTCTCCTGGAGTCCCCAGCGATTGCATTCCCAGCAACCAAATGCTTCTCTAATGTCTCTCTGAGTGTTCCGCTATCACTAAATACACACACACACACACACACACACACACACACACACACACATCACAGACAGAGACCATTGGCCTAGACTTCTACTGGCCTTCCACGTTGTACATGGGACTTTCCCCCTCTCTCCTGCCCCCCTGATGTCAACCTCTACAGCTGCATCCACCTTCACAGCTTTATCTCCTAGAGGTGGGAAGAAGGTGCAATCAGAGGTGAGCCTGAAGATAGGATAGACATTCTGCCTCAGAAATACAGAAACTACTTGGGCCCTTATTTATCCATTCTCAAAGTGTGTTAAATAAGCCAACAATACTGTGTGGTGCCACAGTGTTCTTCTCTCCTATAAAACGTACACAGTTCTGACACACCCTGCCTACTGAAAAAGTTCTAAATACTTTACATACCCACACATTTGGGTAACAATTTACAAAGTATGTTTTGAACATCATCACCAGGGTAATATAGAAGACGTTACAATTGGCATTGTCCTGGTCCCAGTGGACAGTCTGGTTTGACATAAGCTTGGCAAGGGCTTTGGTCACAATGCAAGATTGAAGCACTCTCATCTACCCTGGACAGGAGTCTAGAGAGCCTCTCCCAAGCACATACCTAAGGCAAAAGACTGGTTGCAAGGCTGCCCTGGGGAAGAGCAGCCTTTCCTCCTCTTCCTCATCCTCCTCGTCCTCTTCTTCCTCTATATTACCTTCTTTGTTTACTGAGGCTCAATAGGTCTTATTCATTCTGAACCTGTCCCAGGAGGTCTTATTCAGTCTGAACAAGGCTGAGCTTCCCAGTAAGGCCCACAGATTCCAGCAGTGGGTAGAAAGAAACCAAGGATGCATCTGTTCTGCAAACAAAGATGAATGGTGTAAATGCCTCCATTTGCCCCTCTGACAAAGAGTGACAATAAAACAAAGGACAAGGTTAAATGTTTCAGAAGTTACCAGATTCTACCGACCTTCGTCTTTTACAAATAAATTTTGCACAAAAGAGGTGCCGATGCCCCCCGGACCCCCCAACCCCCGCAACATTTGACCCTTTAGAAAGTGCATCTGATGTCATTTCACAAACCCCAGACTCTACCTACAATGAGAACAGTCTCAGCACAAAGAAAGTTTGGGCAGTGCCTGTCAGCAATGTGTGGGCTGCAGACACACAAAACATGCATCCGATGAATATTATCCAGAATGTATTAGCTGATAACACATGAGCCCCAGAATCAATGAGGGAATTATCTCCTCCACACAATGGGCGCCAAAGAAGGAAGTTTTCAATGTCCCTCCAACACAGCCCAGCTATGTCAACCCTGGCATGCGAGACGATTAATGCACAAGTGACTGCACATCCAGATTCCCATTCCTACGATTATGAGCACGGACCATTTTTTCCCCTTTATGGATCCTCAGCACTTAACGTACTCAATGGTTTTTATTTGCATTGATCACATTTTATGGTATGATTAAATTTGTATGGAAGAGAACCAATTAGTTTTGTTTTACACTTATTGAATGCACTTTATAGTCAGAAAAATTAACTCTCCACAGTTAGGTTAATTTATCCAGTGGCGGAGGTTTGAAGGGCCATGCAGGGTCTCATCCCCAGCTGGGAAGAGGTGGTCATGGGGGAGAGGGTCTGGAGGAGTGGATGCCTCTGAGAAAGCGACATAGTGAACTGACTGACTACCCAGGAGATCACTGTGGAAGTGGTGGGGTTTCTCTAGGAGAGTGAGCACAAGGCTTTTTGCTCCATGTAAATTTCAGGAGCCCATCAGGGCTTTGTCTGAAGAGGAAATATTTTCTCCTACAGAATGGAAAAAGCAATGGAGTAGAATTCAGTTCCTAGCACACTCCCTGCCCCAACTCTTTCACTATCCTGCTGTGAGATTGGTACAACCATTTAACTTCTTTGAGCCTCAGTAAACAAAGATGGTAATATGGAGGAGGAAGAGGAGGAAGAGGAAGAAGAAGAGGAGGAAGAGGAACAGAAGGAGGAGGAGGAAAAGGAGGAGGAGGAGGATACTCTCACCATGCGTTTTCTCTGTGACCCCAGAATACTCTCAGCATGTGAAAGGCTGGCTTCCCATTGCCTTTTGCCATGATTGGACGCTTCCTGAGGCCTCAGCGGAAGCAGATGCCAGCACCATGCCTCCTGTAAAGCCGGCAGAACCATGAGCCAACCATGAAGAAGAAGAGGAGGAAGAGAAAGAAGAGGAGGAGGAGGAGGTTAAGTTACCCACATAACTTGCTGTGAGGGTCAAATGTGAGAGGACCGGTGAAAATAATTTATAAACTTTAAAGCATCACTTTTATGCTAGTCTTCCTTTAAATCAAAAATAGAAGCAGCATAACATTGTATCACACAAAAGAAACTTGGAATCAAAAGACCTAAGTTTGAATCTCTATGGCCTCCTGGCTGTGTGACACTGTGGAAGTTACTTAAGTTGCCTCGTCTGTAGAGTGGGGATAATTATCCCAGGTTCTTATGAAACAGTTCAGACAGCAGTGTTTTCCTGACTGCCCTAGTAGATGACGGCTCCTTTATCCTCCATCCTTTCCTCAGCTTCATGTTTCTCCATAGCTCCCGTGTTATTTCACTAGGGCTACTATAACAAAATACCGTAGGCAGAGTGGTTTCAACAACAGAAATTTATTTCCTGCAGTTCTGGAGGCTGGAATCAAAGCTCAAGGTGTCAGCTGGTTTAGTTTCTTCTGAGGCCTCTCTCCAGGACTTGCAGATGGCCATCTTCTCTCGGTGCTTCACACGGTCTTTCCTCGGGGCTTATGAATATGTGAGGTCTCTCCTTGGTGTGTCCAAATTTTATTTTCTTATAAGGACAACAGTCTAATTAGATTAGGGTCCATCCTAATTGCCTCATTTTGTTACAGGAAAGGGGTCCCGATGCAGACCCCAAGAGAGGGTCCTTAGATCTTGCACAAGAAAGAATTCAGGACAAGTCCACGGTGCAAAGCAAAAGCAAGTTTATTAAGAAAATAAAGTAGTGAAAGAACAGCTACTCCCTAGACAGAGGAGGGAGTTCCTGAAAGTAAGAGAAGGGGTGCATCCACCCTAGGTACAATACTTGTTTATATATAGGATAAAAAAGATCATGGGGAGATGTGCTCTGCTACAAGGGTTTGTGACAAAGGTTTAATTTTCTTAATTACTATATTTTGCATGAATCAATATTATTATCTTTAAAGCAAAATTAAGAATGTGCCTGTTCTCAAAATATCAGGATATCAGGACACTCCCAAGTGTGAGTCCATTTACTAAACTTTATCAATCTGTTCCCTTAACCGTAAACATCTAGAGGCTAAGAATACCTAATTTTCTGCCAGGCGCAGTGGCTCATGCCTGTAATCTCAGCACTTTGGGAGGCCAAGGCGGGCGGATCAGTAGGCCAGGAGTTCGAGACCAGCCTGGCCAACATGGTGAAACCTCGCCTCTACTAAAAATACAAAAATTAGCTGGGCATGGTGGCACTCACCTGTAATCTCAGCTACCCAGGAGGCTGAGGCAGGAGAATTGCTTGAACCCGGGAGGAGGAGGTTGCAGTGAGCTGAGATCACACCACTGCGCTCCAGCCAGGGAGACAGAGTGAGACTCCTCTAAAAAAATAAAAAAAAAAAAGAATACCTAACTTTCTGGGAATGCAGCCCCACAAGTCCCAGTCTCATTTTCCTAGCCCTCACTCAAGATGGAGTCGCTCTGGTTCGAACGCCTCTGACAATTTGAACATAATCACCTCTCCAAAGTTCCTGTCTTCAAATACAGTCACATTCTGAGGTACTAGGGGTTAGGGCTTAAACATATGAATTTTCGGGAAGATGCAACTCAGTCCATAAGACCACCTCACATGATAATGACATTTATCTGCAATCATACAGTCTGTCAGAGACTTTGCTTTCTTCACCACATATGCCTAACACTTAAAACAATACCTGGTACATAATAGATGCTCAATAAACATTTGTTGAATGACTTTAATGAACAGTGCTTGATATGGTGACAGTTTCAACATATCCTGATTCCAGTATGAAGACATCTAGCAACAGGCGGTCTGCCACTGATCATCTCGAAAGGCCCCTCTAATCGTTGCCCCAGGATGAGCTTCTGATGCGTTTTCCCTGAGACCTCAAAATTCAGAGAAAGCCCAGAATTTGATTCTGTAATGCTTTAATTCCTAGAGTCATAAAAACCTTAAGCCTTAGGGTTGGAAGGCAACTTAGCAGCATCACTGGATTCAAGTTACAAAGCAGTGAAGGAGACTTTTTTTTTTTTTTTGAGACAAATTTTCGCTCTTGTTGCCCAGGCTGGAGTGCAGTGGCGCGATCTCGGCTCACTGCAACCTCCACCTCCCAGGTTCAAGTGATTCTCCTGCCTCAGCCTCCCGAGTAGCTGGGATTACAGGTGCCCATCACCATGTGCCCAGCTAATTTTTTTGTATTTTTAGTAGAGATGGGGTTTCACCATGTTGGCCAGGCTGGTCTCTAACTCCTGACCTCAGGTGATCCACCTGCTCCCAAAGTGCCTCCCAAAGTGCTGGGATTACAGGCGTAAGCCACCGCACCCGGCCGGGAGACTTCTTTATGGCATTTCTTGATAACCTCACCATGAACAATTCCGGGGACTAGAATCCCTTTACCTCTGGAAGCAGCCAGTTCTATGGCTGGAGGGCTCTGACTATTTAAGCATGTTCTTTTGTGTACACAACAAAGCATAAACAACAGTGTTCTTTTTGGAGCTTGATATGGTTTGGATGCTTGTCCCCTGCAAATCTAATGTTGAAATGTTAGGTGAGGCCTGTTAAGAGGTATTGGATCATGGGGGCAGACCTCTCATGACTGCCTTACCACCATCCCTTTGGTGATGAGTGAGTTTTGGCTTAGTTAGTTCACGCAAGATCTTGTTGTTTAAAAGAGTACGGGACCTCCCCCTTCACTCTCTCGTGCTCCCTCTCTCGCCAGGTGACACACCAGCTTCCCCATCACCTTCCATGATTGGCAGCTTTCTGGGGCCCTCACCAGAAGCAGATGCCAGCACCATGCTTCCTGTGTAACCTGCAGAACCATGAACCAACATAAACCACTGTTCTTTATAAATTACCCAGCTTCAGGTATTTATTTATAGCAAGGCAAAAACAGACTAACACAGAACTGGTTTGTAGTAGTGAAAAATGGAAACAACTATCTCTAAGTAGGCAAATGGAGAGTAAACTGGCTTACCATATGGTAGCGTAGTTTTTGTCAATTCAAATGAATTCATTAGATCTACATGCAACTAAATAAATGCCTCAGAAAGCGTAATATTGATATATACAATATAATACTATGCACGCATACATATATTTATTTATGTATTTCATATATACATACATATTCATTTTTAAATGCTATCTATTGTGTGTGGTAAAAGTACAAAAACATATATATCGGCCTTAGAGTAAGCTTGCCTCTGAGAAAAGAGGGGGAGAGGGGTAAAGGAGGGCAGTCTTCAACTCTATCTGTAACATTTCTTTCCTTAACAAAGACATTCAGAGCGAATACGGCAAGTGTCAACCCCTGTTGCACCTTGAGGGTAGGTACATAGTTAAATGTTATTTTATTTTCTGAACTTCTCCCACACTGGAAGAATGTCTTAATTTTTTTTTTTTCATGTGTTTCAGTGAACAGGGGAATGAATGTGTCATCTTTAGCTGAACTCACATTAGGCCACTGGCCCTAGCTGGAGCCAAATGAAACAGGTTTTCTTCCTCTTTTAAGCCATATCATGGTCTTCTTAGGCAAGGCGGAGATCCCAAGGCTTGTACTATCAATATATAAGGGCCAATATTTTGGCTGAATTGCAGACTTTTACTTATTGAGTCATTCAAGATTTGTAGCCTGCTGCAGTATGAATATTAATATTCTTCTCCTCCAAGCTCATTGTCTAGTGAGAGAAACAGATACATAACCAGATAACTACAGTACAACGTCCGAACTGGAGAGCTTGCACAAAGAGCTTTACATTAGAGGAAGATATGACTAATCTACCTTAGGAGGAAGTGGGGTAGGAGGTAGAAACAGCTCAGCTAGAAAGAGAACCCCTAGGTGAGCTTTTAGGAATGACTAAGGCATTTCCCGGAGGATAAGGCGGGGAAAGGCTCCCAGGCAGAGGCAGGTGACATGAAAAGGAGTGGATCCTTTGGCAAATACAAGGATGTTTTGAATGGCTGTAGCAGGAGCCATGTAATGGGAATATTAGGAGGATGTCACCAGATGATCTTCTAAGGCACTAATGAGTCAGTGGGCTAACTCCTTATTGCTCATGTTGATGTCTTTACACGTGACTACAGTAACATGTGTTCCCTATGCCATTTCTTGTAAGACTTATTAATAGAAAATGTTGTAAATAGGTGGGTATAAAAGCAGCTGGGGGCTGGGTTTATGAATGTATTGAACTTTCCAAACACAACTGTTCCTTAAACTCAGTGAAATCACAACTCACTTGCCTGTGTCATTGGAGTTGCCAATATCTGTTTCCTTATGCAACGAGTGATATCTATGTTTCCTTTTGTGCATAAAATTGTGTTTTTGTGTGCTCTGATCCTTTTTTAAGACTTTACAGGATCCAACAGGGAAACAAACAGAAAATAAATTAGGAGAGACAGGAAGGACTGTATAATAAAAAGCTGTGGACACAAGGCTAAAAACTTGGGGTTTCTACTGTAGGCGTCAGTGAAGTTTCTCTGAACAGGAGAGAGAGTGGGCATAGTTAATCTTTACTGTTTGAATTATTGCTTTGGAAGCAATGTGGAATGAGATCCAGGGGTAGGAAGACCATTGAAGCAGCATTAAAGATAAAGTAGATTACTGATAGGCTTCGGGCAGTACAAGTGGATTATTTAGACTAGGGATAACTCATCTAATGAACAAGCCCTTGGACTGCAGTGGCATAGCACAGCAAAGGTGTATGCTTTGCTCAGTCCAATACAGTTGCTCCTGGCTGTGTATCAATGCCTTGTGCCTGTTTAGGAACCCGGGCTCTTTCCATGTTGTGGCTCTGCCGTCTGCAGTGCTTGCCTCCCAGTTGCACTGTGCACATCTGCTTGAAGCTGGCACACAGGGAAAGAGCATGGGCCAAAAGGTACCAGGCAGTGTCATGGGCCGGGTCTGGAAGAGGCTCTGCTCCCATTCTATTGGAGAAAACTTCGTCATACAGCCACACACGCAAGGGAGGCTGAGAAATGGAGTCTGGTTGTATTTTCAGGAAGGAAAAAAAATGGGTTTGGTAAACAGTTTTTCAGTCTCTGCCACAGTTTTTTGTTTTTTGTTTTTTTTGAGATGGAGTTTCTCTCTTGTTGCCCAGGCTGGAGTGCAATGGCACGATCTCAGCTCACTGCAACCTCTGCCTCCAAGGTTCAAGTGATTCTCCTGCCTCAGCCTCTGGAGTAGCTGGGATTACAGGCACGCGTTACCATGCCTGGCTAATTTTTGTATTTTTAGTAGAGACAGGGTTTCACCATGTTGTCCAGGCTGGTCTTGAACTCCTGACCTCAGGTGATCTGCCCGCCTCGGCCTCCCAAAGTGCTGAGATTACAGGCGTGAGCCACCATGCCTGGCCCTCTGCCACAGTTCTAAACAGTCAGGGCCACATAGGAGGCTGTTCCTTTTTATTATTTATTTATTTATTTATTTATTTATTTATTTATTTTAGAGATAGGGTCTCGCCATGCTGCTCAGGCTGGTCTCAAACTCCTGGCCTCAAGTGATCCTCCCACCTCAGCCTCCTGAGTAGCTGGGATTACAGATGTGAGCTACCACACATGGATGGAAGGTGTTTTTAAAACTATTGAGGGCAGTCACAAGCCCTTTGGATGGATGGAGTTGTCTGCCCGTGGTCAGAAATTCCCAACAAATAAGTTGGACCTTCTCCAGGAAGTGAATTCAGAGGCTACTGCACAGGAAATCTAAAAGGCACCCCCTTACCCAGCACAGTCTCCCAAGAGGAGAGAAACAGCAGCAGAGAGCTGGGAGGGAGCCGATCTGAAGGGTGGGACACAGAGACAAAAGTCTGGCCTGTTACTCAGAGGAGAGGCCCGGAGAGGAGGTGCCCGGCATGTGGATCTGGTCCAAAAATGTGGCAGGTCACACAGACCTGCCACCTTCTTGGACCTGCCAGATTCGGGGAGCTGGAGAAACACAGATGCTAAAGAGCAAAAAGAGACTGAGGATCAAAGGCTGGAAAGTATCCAGTACTTGATCTAAATGGTAAAAGTTTTCAAGACAAGAAAACTGCACTTACCAAGGCTAAACCCTCAGTGACCAAGAAGCATTGCTTGCTTGCTTGTTAATGATAACTAGCATATATTGAGCACTTACAATGTTACAGGCACAGATCTAAGCACTGACAGGTATTATGTCATTTGATTTTCACAATAACTCCAGGAAGTAGACCCTATGATAAATGCTACCTGAGAAATGAGAGAAAGAAGACATTAAAAGTGACTAAACAGGGCCAGGAGTGGTGGCTCACGCCTGTAATCCCAGCACTTTGGAAGGCTGAGGCAGGCGGATCACTTGAGGTCAAGAGTTCAAGACCAGCCAGGCCAACATGGTGAAACCCCATCTCTACTAAAAATACTAAAATTAGCTCGGTGTGGTGGTGAGTGCCTGTAGTCCCAGCTGCTCAGGAGGCTGAGACAGGAGAATTGCTGGAACTGGGGAGGTGGAGGTTGCAGTGAGCAAAGATCACGCCACTGCACTCCAGCCTGGTTGACACAGCGAGACTCTGTCTCAAAAAAAAAAAAAAAAGTGACTAAACAACTTGCCCAAGGTCACACATTTGGAGTCTGACATTCAAATCCAAAGAGTCTAACTCCATAACAACTCTGCTTCCTTGCATCATCCAGGAAAATAGCTGGGAGCTGCACATGCTCTGCCTCCTCGAAGTAATTTCTCCTGGCTGACCTTGACGTTTGACTTCTCAGATTTTGCTACTGTTTTTGGTGCTTTCACATTTTTCATGCTGTGCTCACAGATCTCACCTAATCTACACCACAACCTCAAGGAATTGTCATAACTCTCTTCCCATGTGCATGATGAAGGTAAAGTCCAGAGACAGCCAGTGATGTACCCAGTTACCCAGCTAATGAGCTACACACTTTGAGTCATGGGTCCCTTGCTTCTTGCATCGGGGGGGCTTTCTGACATAAGTGTGTTTCAAAAATTGCAACTGAAACCAGCCCTATTGTCCCCTAGACCTGATGTGTATGGCTTTTTGAATAAACATAGAAATTGTCCCTCCCGGTCTTAAAGCTTGAAACCTACATTTGCCTTATCTGAGTTCCTTCATCAGGAAGCTGACCCTCAGGCCTTCCAGGTAGGATCAAGGAGCTGAAACTCACCACATCACTGCATCTGGACAAGGAGATGCCAGACCCCTCACCCACCATGATTCCTGTTAGCCAACTCCTCTTCCATTCCCCGCCTCATTCCTGTTTCTCGGCATGTAATTACATTTCTCCCTGCTACATAAACCCCTAATTTTAGTCAGTTCAGAGAGACAGGTTTGAGTTTTGGCTCCCATCTCCATGGCTGACATCACTGAATAAAAAGCCTTCTTCCTTGGCAATGCTCACTGTCTTCTTACCAAAACACCAGGGGTTCAGTCTAGGCCCTGCTGCTTACCCCACAGAAAGCCAATCACTGGGGCAACAACTTGAGAAACACGATTTTCTGAAGATTTAAGACCGGTATGGTCAATTCCTACGTTTATCCAAAAGAAACCATAAACATCAGTTCTGTGGGACACTTGGGCCTATTTCAGTTTCAGCGATTGGCATTCTGTGCACCAAGCAACTGGACCTAGACTGAACCCCTGGCATTTCTGTAGCACAATCCCCAACATACAGGCATGGAGA
This sequence comes from Homo sapiens, assembly GCF_000001405.40. Classification (NCBI taxonomy): domain Eukaryota; kingdom Metazoa; phylum Chordata; class Mammalia; order Primates; family Hominidae; genus Homo; species Homo sapiens. Next base: position 26,875,720 of record NC_000016.10, read on the forward strand.
GAGCTGGAGACGACTGTACGCGGGTACCTGGGATGGAAATTATATCATTTTAAGTTGAAATTTCTCCTCCTCCTGTATCAGAAAACCAAGCTGTGGTCCAGGAACTGATCTCTAGAGAGAACCATCTACCTAGAGCTGAAGTAAAGAGTTTCCTTATGTGTCCTGCCAAGGCCTCTTTCAGGCACTGGAGGATTTTCCTTAGAGACAGGGTCTAACTCTGTTGTCCAGGCTGAAGTGCAGTGGTATGATCATAGCTCACTGCAGCCTCAAACTTCTGGGCTCAAGCCATCCTCTTGAGTAACTGGGACTATAGGCATGTGTCACCATGTCTGGTTTTGGATTTTGTTTGTTTGTTTGTTTTTGTTGTTGTTGCTTTTTGCTTTTTGGTTTTTGTTGCTTTTTGCTTTTTGGTAGAGGGTCTCGCTTGGTTTCTCAGGCTGCTCTCAAACTCCTGTCCTGAAGTGATCCTTGTGCTTCAGCCTCCAAAGAGTGCTGGGATTACAGACGTGAGCCACCATGCCTGGCCTTTGTGTTTTTTTATTCCTAAAGATTCCTTTTGCCCCAGAATAATTTCTCCACTCACGAAGCATTTGGGCTGCCAATGTCCAGTATCACAGAAGGAATGTCACAGCTCTGAATCTCTGAACACAAAGACTTCTAAGTCAAAAGACCTTGATGACCCTAAATGGAGACACAGGAAGGTAAGCATTCCCTAGAATCTGCCCTCAAAAACATAGAAAGGCACATTCTCCAGAATAAATAAGCATTGCTCAGGCTTAGGGGAAGGAAGAGAATTGGAGGACAGGAGAGTTTGAGTTTGCTAAGTCAATAAGAAGAGAGGCTGTGTGCCCTCCTCCTAAGGCCAAGTTCAGGGTAGGAGCTGGAGGAGTTGCAGAACCCCAAGATATCTTTGGGGGCTTAAAAGTAGAGAAGACCTGTGTTCTCTATCCCAGGACTAAAGCCTCTGAATGCAGCAAGACCCTAGATCCCCCTGCACTAAGCCAGAGTGGGAGCGGAAAAGCCAGGTGTATGCAGTCTGTGAAGATGCCCCCGTGACAGGCTCACAGAGTTGGCCTTGGACCCTGCATCTAATGAGAACCACAGAATGTTTCCACGGGCACTGGAAGGAGAGACGATGTGAATGAACTAAAGGAGTACTGCAACTGGGCAGTAAGGAAGACAGCAGTGACCTATATGGATGGAAGACAAGACCCGAAGAGATCCCACGTATCAGAGGAGAGACCAACAGAGACAGATGATGACACTGAGACCAAATGTTCCTTCCTCCTCCCAACTCACTGACCCCTGCTGAAGTCTCCAAACTTAGACATGAGCCTAGGCAAAGGGAGACCCCCAAACTGACTGATGTTTGGTGTCCACCAGCTGAGTCAAGCATATTACATAATATTTTAAAATTCTACTTCTTCCACTCCTGATATTTTAAGATGATATTTTTAACTACCATAAACCTGAGACCTCCCATTTTGCTCCCTGACACCCCAGGACCCCAGCTGCACCTCTCCCAGCCATGCCAAGAGATGCCCAGACTGAGCAGGGGCTGGATTTCTGGGGAAATTGACATTCTCACTGAAAGTGACATTCTTATGCTTCCCAGCATTATGTGTCTGCCTGCAACAATAATAGATGGCTCTATCGAAGCAGGCGGCAGAATGACCGGGCCTGGGAGGATCCTGGCGGAGGGGCTCTCTACAGCAGAGGTGCCACTGGCCACCTAGGCCTGCTGTAGACTGACTGCACCAGTCATGGATGGAGATGAATGGATGCCAGGCCTACGAGGTCACAGCTCTGTCCCCAGATGGGTCCCTCTGGTCCCTTTCTCCTCTTCCATAGACCCCGGGCTCTTGCCTGGACCTTAAGGAGAGTGCTGCCTTTCTCAGACCCTCTCTCAGCTTGGGATCCTTCAGTAGGATCCAGTGTCCTCTGTTTCTCTCCTGGCCACCTCCAAAGACAAACCCACTGGCCTTGTCCCTAATTTAAGGGCTCTATGCGTGATCCTTGGGGACAAATGGGGAACAATGCAGCCACAGTGAAGAAAAGAGAGACACAATTATTATCATTATTATAATAATGGTTAATGTTTTTAGTGTGTGAGGCACTCCAGATCATGGGCCAGGTGCTCTACCTGTGTGGTTTCCTTTAACCCTCACTACAGCCCTAGGAGGTAGGCACTATTATTGGCCATAGTTTCTAGATGAAGACATTGAGGCTCAGAAAGGCAGGATCCCATGGTTCATATGTGGTGAAAATAGCATTACTGGGGCCCAGGTTTTTCTGACTCCCCAGCCCATAAACTTAACCACTATACTACATAGAAGGGCTCCAGATGCAGCCGGGGGCGGTGGCTCACCCCTGTAATCCCAGCACTTTGGGAGGTCAAGGAGGGTGGATCATGAGGTTAGGAGTTCAAGACCAGCTAGGCCAACATGATGAAACCCCATCTCTACTAAAAATACAAAAGTTAGCCAAGCATGGTGGTGTGTGCCTGTAATCCCAGCTTCTCAGGAGGCTAAGGCAGGAGGGAGGTGGAGGTTGCAGTGACCTGAGGTCGTGCTGCTGCACTCCAACCTTGGAGACAGAGCTAGACTGCATCTAGAGAAAAAAAAAAGGCTGCAGATGCAGTTCTGTAGGGCTTAGCTTGGAAACACAACCACCTGGCTTGTGACAGCAAAAATGATTCTATATCCCACTGGTGAAGCTACCTCTTCCCAGGGACAAGTTAAGGGATGCAACAAAGCTGTCTCTGAAGACTGTAGGAATCTGTATCTATGGCTAAAAGAATCTGGGAACAGTTGTGCTTGGCAAGCTATTCTTCTCTGCCTATGTGTCCCAGCTGCCAAGATGTCTAAATGAACACCAGGAGCCCAGCTATCCATCAGGCTGTCTCCTCTAAGCTACTAGAAGACTGTGCAGATGTTTGCCTGGATTTAGGGTTAATGATAGCAACATCACTCACCTGGCTTTTATATGCTTACAAAATTATAGGACCAAATATTCTCCACATCTTTCTAAGTGCTTTGCATGAAAGAGATTTATGTCATAGCAGGAGAGAGGTAGGAGCTGATCCCCAAAACAGATTACCAGGAAGCATTTTCTTGAGATAGAACTTGAAGAAGTTAGATCACTGTTCTGTAGGGAACAGTTGGGACAGAGGCTGGTTCTAACCCAGAAAAAAAATTAACCAGGTTGTAGGACTGTTGATGTCCCATCCATCATTTTAAAGTTAATGATAAGACTGAAATCTGAGGCACCAAGCATTTTAACTCTTTCAGGTGAAAATCACAGAAGCCCAACTCGAACTGGCCAAAACAAACTAACAAAAACAAAAATAAGAAAAAAAGAAGGAAGGGAGTAGGTGAGGAAGTAGACTTATCCGCTCATGTAATTGAAAGGCCCATATGTATTTCAGGTGCGGCTGGGTCTAAGAGTTTTAACAATGTCATCAGAAATCGATACCCTCATCCCTCACTTCTTTTTCTCTTGTGCTGTTGCCACTGTCTCCAGAATCTACTCTCATGATAGCAGGGTAGCAAGCAAAATCTCTAGACTCATATCCTCCCAGCTCAGCAACCATCATGGAAAGAGTGTTTCTCTTTCCCAGTAGCTTCTGCAAAAGTTCCAGGACCAATTCATTGGTACAGTTTGGATCACGCACTAATCCCTGAAGCTACGAGTTCCCATGACTCAAAGTGGCCAGCTCTGGGTCTTGGGTTCAATTCTGGAGCCAGAGTGAGGTATTTCCAATAAATGACAGAAAGTGAGTGAGAAATTTGGGATGATTTTTGTGTAGAAAGAAGAGTAGATAATCTACCAGGTGGTCTACTCCACTAAGGACAAGTTGGAGAACCAGGATGGACTGAGGATCTCTCTAATCCAGGAGCTGTACTACATGGTAGCCTGCAGAGCTTCCTAGCATCCTCATGAAGTAGCTTTGATCCTCCCAATATTTTTGCTGTCATTGAGGAAACTGAGGATCCAAGAAGGAGAATAGTTTGATCCGTGAAACATGGGCTTAAGTTCAAACTCACACTGGCTGATTCCACCAAGAGGGCTTCATCCTCCATGCTGTATCCTAAGCTGGAAAGACAATCGAGAATCTAATTTTAAAAGGGTCCCAGCTCCAGAAGAAACACTATTTGGTTGGATCACTGCACACAGATTACTATTCTCTGAGTTTTAGTTTCCACAGCTGTAAGATGAGAATGCTGTCCTAAATTCGTGGTGTTAACAGGTAGCAGAGGAATCTAGTGGTGACACAGTTTTCAGAAACCTGAAAGATATTCTCTCAGCCAACACGATCACACCAAATGTAACTTACTGCTTCCTCTGGATCCAACAGCCATGGAATTATCCATCAATGGCCTTGGTCATTCAGTTTAGTAATCACAATGATGGTAACTCAGTGTGGCCCCAGTGCTTTGGGTACATGATCCCATTTAATCTTTTCTTTTTTTCTTTCTAATTATACAACCTTCCAAACTTACAAAATGTAACATGTCAGACACATATATATACTCTTTTCCAAGATTAAACAGATGTTGACATTTTACCATATTGCTTTAAAACTCTTTGTAAAGAAACAAAATGTTACAGATACTAGTAAACTCCTCCTCCTCAGTTTTCCTTATTCTTTTCTCTACTTCTCTCCTTCCCCAGAGGTAACCTCAATAATGAATGGGTCTGACTGAATCACAGTTATGTTTGTGTTAATTTTTGTACATATATAATATTATATATAAACTATATTATATATGTGTGTACATAGAAATATGCTGTCCATATACATATAATTTTGTGGATTTAAAAATTTTGTATGCAGTATTCTTTTAAAACTTGCTCTCCTCTCAAACTTATTGTTTTTCAGTTTATCTACAGTGATTCATGTGGATCTCATTCACTCATTTAAACTGCAATATCATATCCTGTTGTGCATAAACTACAATTTATTTACCATTCCCCAGTTGAGAGAATGTTGGTTGTTTTCACATTCTTGCAATTACGAACTACAACAATAACCACTCCTGTATAGTTCTCCTTGGGCACATAAGGGAGTGTTTCCAGCACAAACATTCAGAAATGGAATTGGTAGATAATCAGTGTGGATATCTTCAACTGTACTAGGTAATGCCAAATTGCTGTCCAAAGGGGCTTTACCAATTTATACTCTCATCAGAAACATAAATTTCCATTTTCCCATATCCTCACCAACGCTTGTGTTACCAGATTTATTGATTTTGTCAATCTGAAAAGTACAAAATGGTATTTCACTGCCTATATTTTGAATAGACCCAATAGTGGCATTGAGAATTTTTTTTTTTTTTTTTTTTTTTTTTGAGATGGAGTCTCGCTCTGTCACCCAGGCTGGAGTGCAGTGGCGTGATCTCGGCTCACTGCAAGCTCCGCCTCCCGGGTTCACTTCATTCTCCTGCCTCGGCCTCCCGAGTAGCTGGGACTACAGGTGCCCGCCACCACGTCCGGCTAATTTTTTGTATTTTTTTAGTAGAGACAGGATTTCACCGTGTTAGCCAAGATGGTCTCGGTCTCCTGACCTCGTGATCCATCCACCTCGGCCTCCCCAAGTGCTGGGATTACAAGCTTGAGCCACCGCGCCCGGCCGAGAATATTTTTACAGTCTGTGGGATATCAAGCTTTCCTTTCCTTTGAATTACTTTTTTATGTAGTTTGTCATTATTGGATTCTTTGTTTTTTAATGATTTGGGGAGGGTTCTTAATACATCCTAGATACGAATTCCTTAGTAATTACATGGTCTGCAAGAATCTTTCTCAGGTTTTCTGCTCCAAAGGAATAAGATGTATTTTGTCATACAAAAGTTTTCATTTAATGTAGTGATGTCTATCAGACTCTTCTTTGTGGCTCCTGGTGTATTTAAGAACCTTTTCCCCACCACCCTCATAAAAAAGTTTCTCCTAGGCTTTCTTCTGAAGGTTTTACATCATTGATTTTCACATATATAATTTGAATATATCTGGAATATATTTTTCATAAGGTATAAAGTTAAACATCTGAGGTTTTTTCTCTTCATATGGATAGCAAGTTTCCTCAGCACTAATCTTTCACTAATTTAGAATGTCATGTACCAAACTCCCTTATTAAAAGAAGTCCGTGTCTGGATGGATTTGAAACATTGCTCTATCTTTCCATTCCTGTGCTGGTACCACACTGTTTTCATTATGTGTGGCAGTTTCAGTTATTAAGTTACCATGCCTGTGCTCCAAATCCACCCTTCTGCTCTCTGCTTTGTGGTGCTGGGACCGGGACTCTGCAAACCCCATTTCTGCTTTGCAATTTGGGGTTTGGGTTAGGTTTAGAACTGAGGATAGGATTAAGGTTAGGTTGAGGTTAGGGCCCCTGTTAGGCTTTGCCAATAGTGGGCTCTCAAAAGAGATGGAAAGGCTTGGGGGAGAGGAATAAGGACTTGCTCCTTCTTATCTGGTTATAATCCCTATGTGTCTCACTCCACCCTCACATCTTCATCCAGGGAGCACCCGTCTATCATGGCTCAGTAGTTCAACCAGTTGGCAGTTTTCCCAACAGTTGCATAGCCGGCTTCATTATGTCGCCCTCGGAGACTCCACTTGCCAGCTCAGCAATCTCAGAACTCAACACCCTTGTGAGCCCCCACTTCAAAACTCAGTCGCAGTCATGCAGACTCTCCCCTGAGCATTGACTTTTAACAATCCCAGCCACTCTCCTTTCCTCCTCAGTCCCAGAGTTAGTAGACGATGTCTGTCATTACTGCCTCTGTGATCTCGTTGTGTCTTTTTTCACCCTTTATTTACATACTCAACATTTTTATACCCAGTTTGCAGTTCCTTATATTAAATCCTCTCTGTTAAAACAACTGGTGTGGTCTGTCTCTCCTGACTATGCCCTGACTATAGCAGCTTTACAGTAATCTTGACACCTAAGAAGGAAATGTTCTGTCTTTATTTGTCTTCTTCGGAATTGCCTTGGAACTTCTTGGCCCTTACTTTCCCAAATGAATCTCATAGACCCTCCTATCAAGTTCCGCCAAAATAACAACAACAACAGCAATAATAATAGTAAGGATTTGGGCATTTGTATAGCAATTGCATAAAGATATAGATGAATATAACTAACACAGGAACAGAAAACCAAATACCACATGCTCTCACTCATAAGTGGGTGTTGAACAATGAGAACACATTGACTCAGGGAGGGGAACATCACACACCAGTGCCTGTTGGGGGTGGGGGACAAAAGGAGGGAGAGCATTAGGACAAATACCTAATGCATGTGGGGCTTAAAACCTAGATGACAAGTTGATAGGTGCAGCAAACCACCATAGCAAATGCATACCTATGTAACAAACCTGCACGATCAGCACATGTATCCCAGAACTTAGAGTAAAATAAAATTTTTTTAAAAATGTATAGATGAATATATAGAAAATTGCCATCTTAACCGAGATTTTCCTAATGTATGCAACCAACATGAGTTCCCCATTTCAGTGGGTCTTTTCATATGTTTTTCAGTAGGCTGTTATATTTTTCTCCATAAAGTTTAAGCATGTCTCCTGCTAAATAGATCTCTAATGAACTTATAGTTTTTATTACAATGATATTTTTATTGTCTTTATTGTTTTTAATTGTCTTTATTGTTTTTAATTGTTTCTAGCTGGTGTTTAAGAGCCTAATTGATTTTTTTCCTGTACATTGATCATGTATGCAGCAACTTGTTGGACTCATATTTATTATTAATATGGCTGTATACTCTGTAGAATTTTCTATGAAGTTATAGGAACTATGAATAGGGACAGCTTTGTTTCTTCCTTTGCAGTTGTTACACCTGTTATTTCTTTGCGTGTACAGGTGCAGGCACCTGGGCCTGTGGCGTATTACACTGTCATTGTGACTTTAGTTCAATATTGAATAGTAGTATTTCCTTTTCTGTCCAAGATGGAAAAACAGAAACTGGGCTTAACTTCTCCCTTGAAACATCTACAAAAATCATTTCATAATTATGATATTTTAAAATAATTCAAAATTTAAAAAATTATGAAACAATGGTTCTCAAAACATCGGACATTAGGCAAAGAACAATGATGTCTGAGATAAGACGAAACGAGGTGAGCACCGGAATCACTCCAGCTTCCTGCCCAGAGACGGTTCCAAGCTGAAGCACACAAAGGTGACCCAGGCAGAGTGAGTGGCCTTGGTGAATTAAAGAGATGGGGTCTGAGAGTCCAGAAATGCCAGGGTGGCTGGAATTATCCGGACAAGATACCAGAGAAGAGAAAGCTAACCAGAAAGAGAGATATCCAGAGATAGGCATAGGTCCTGAGTGAGTCTTCAGGTAGGTACTGATCAGCTCAGGAATGTGAGAAAACTCCATGAGGTTAAGTAAAGAATCATTGTTAGGGATTACAGGGTACTGGCTGGGCATGGTGGCTCATGCCTGTAATCCCAGCACTTTGGGAAGCTGAGGTGGGAAGACTCAGGAGTTCAAGACCAGACTGGACAACATAGCAAGATCCATTTCAACAAAAATAAACATAAAAATAAATTAACCAGATGTGGTGGCACGTGCTTATAGTCTCAACTATTCAGGAGGCTGAGGTGGAAGAATCATTTGAGTCCAGGAGTTTGATGCTGCAGTGAGCTATGATGGTGCCACTGCCCCCCAGCCTGGGCAACAGAGCAAGACCCTGTCTAAAAAAAAAAAAAGATTATATGGTACAATACTTAAGAATCACATAAGGCCAGGACATACTGACTGTTTCCCACCAGTCATTATGGGAAAACCTCATTATTCACAGAACACTGGACAATGTAATAAAAGGGTTTGCCACAGCGGGGAGGCAATATTAACCTCGAGTAAGTGTGCTCTGGCCTCACCCAACAAAACTTCAATGTGAGACCCAAACAGGTTTCAAGTAATGCAATCACATCCAAGAACAAAGTTCGAGAAAAAAATATATGTCTAGCACACAGCAAAATAAAATTCAAAACCAAAATTGACATTCAATCAAAAATTACCAAGCATCAAAAACACAAGAAAATATAGCCCATAAGTAGGAAAACAATCAATCAAAACTGATACAGAATAGACCCAGTTGATAGAATTAGGAAATAGAAGCCAGAGAAAACTTTGAAGATGTTACTTAGAGACACGGAAAAAATAAAAGACATAAAATCAACTTCTGGAAATGAAAACTAAAATGTCTCAGATGAGAAATACACAGAATGGGATGAATTCACAACAGATAAGATGTGGCAGAAGAAAAGATCAGTGAAATGGAAAACATGGCCATTGAAACTACCCAAAATGAAACACAAAGATCTGAAAATGAGCAGAGCATCAGTAAGCTGTAAGACAACTTTAAGTTCCCTGATGTATGTGAAACTGGAATGAAAAATATTTGAAGAAATTATGGCTGAATTTTAAAATGTATAAACTATTTGAATAAAAATGTTTACCAAAGAAGATATACAAATGACCATAAACACACAAAAAGATGCTTAATTAACAATTAAAGGAAATCAAATTTAAATCATGAGATACTACTTCACATGCACCAAATGGAAACAATTTCAAAAAGACAAATAATAGCAAGTATTGGCAAGCATATGAAGAAACTGGAACCCTTAAACATTGCTGATGGGAATAAATCATGATACAGCCACTATAGAAGAAAGTTTGTTGGGTCCTCAAACATTTAAACATAAATTTAATATAAGACCCATATTTTCCCTCTTTGGTATCTACCAAAGGGAAACAAATGAATCTGGCAGGACAAAACTTATTCACAAATGTTCATAGCAGCATTATTCGTAACAATTAAAAACTTGAAACAACCCAAATGTCCATCAACTAATGAATGGATACCATTCAGAAATAAAAGAGAATGAACTACTTACTGATGCATGCAACAACAGGGATGAACCTCAAAATCACTGGGCTAAGTGAAAGTGTCAAGATTACCTACTGGATGACTCCGTTTATATGAAATGTCCAGAAAAAGGCAAATCCAGAGAATCAGAAAGCAGATCAGTTGCCTGCAGCTAGAGATAGAAATAGGAAGTAACTAAATGGATGTACAGAAATTTTTACTGGGTGATGGAATATTCTAAACTTGAGCTGTTGTGATTATTGCACAATCCTATGAATTTGAAAAAAAAATCAATTGTTCACTAAGAATGGGTGAATTTTATAATACTAAATATAAATTATATATACATATACATTTTATGGTATATGTGCCTCAAGAAAGCTGCTTAAACAAGAGATTGTTAACACAATGAAAAGAAAAGATGCAGATAAAATATTAGCCAATTATACAGCTGATGTTTTGTGAGGCTTTTTTTAGATGAGGTCTAGCCCTGTCACCCAGGCTGGAGGGCAGTGGTGCAATCATAGCTCACTGCAGCCTTGAACTTCTGGGCTTCAGAGATCTTCTTGCCTCCACCTCTCAAGTAGCTGGAACTACAGATAAATGCCACCATGCCTGGCAATATATGCATTTTTGTTTTTAGGGACAAGGTCTTGCTGTGTTGCCCAGGCTGATCTTGAACTCCTGGCCTCAAGTCATTCTCCTGCCTCAGCCTCCCACATAGCTGGGATTACAGGTGCAAGCCACCACATCTGGCATATATTTGATTTTTTAAAGGATTTTTACCCAGAATGTATACAGTAGTTCCCCCTTATCTGAGATTTCAATTTCGACAGTATCAGTTACCCACAGTCAACTTTAGTCCAAAAATATTAAATGAAAAATTCCAGAAATAAGCAATTCATAGGTTTCCAATTGAATGCCATTTTGAGCAATATGATAAAATATTAAGTCATATGGCTCTGTCCAGCTCGGGACATACATCATTTCTTTGTCCAGTGTATCTACCCCGTAGACACTATTTGCCAGTTAGTCACTTAGTAGCCATCTCAGTTATCAGATCAAAAAAACATAGCATATATAGGTTTGCTTCTATCCACTGCTTCCAAGTTCCAAGGCCTCCACTGGGGGTCTTGGAACTTATCATCCTCCTGAGGTAAGGAAAAGATGCTATAATAATAATTTAAAAAACTAATATTAGACAAAAGATTTTAACAGACACTTTAACAAAGAATAAATGCAGCTGGCAAAATAAGTACATGAAAAGATGATCAACATCATTACCCATTAGGGAAATGCACAAGAAAACTACAATGAACCTGGGAGGCGGCAGTTGCAGTGAGCCGAGATCGCGTGACTGCACTCCAGCCTGGGTGATAGAGCGAGACTCCATCAAAAAAAAAAGAAAGAAAGAAAGAGAGAGAGAGAGAGAGAGAGAGAGAGAGAAAGAGAAAGGGAGAAAGAGAAAGGAAGAAAGAAAGAAGGAAAGAAAGAAAGAAAAGAAAGAGAGAGAAAGAAAGAAAGAAAAGAAAGAGAGAGAAAGAAAGAAAGAGAAAGAAAGAAAGAAAGAAAAGAAAGAAAGAAAGAAGGAAAGAAAGAAAGAAAAGAAAGAGAAAGAAAGAAAGAAAGAAAGAAAGAAAGAAAGAAAGAAAGAAAGAAAGAAAGAAAACACAATGAGTTACCACTACATACCTATTAGAATGTCTAAAATATTATAACCTGACCACATTATGTGTTGGCAAGGACATGGTGCCACTGAAATCTTGTACACTGCTAGTGGAAATGTGAAATGGTTCCAAGACATTTGGAAAATTAGCTTGGCAGTTCATAAAGGGTCAAACATACACCTATCTTATGATCCTGCCACTTCACTCCTAAGTATTTATGCAAAAGAAATGAAAGTGTAAGTCTAGACAAGACCTCGTATGCCCACGTTCACAGCAGCTTTATTTAAAGTAGCCAAAAACAGGGAGCAACCCAAATGTCTATCAACAGATAATGGATAAACAAAAGGTGGTATATCCATACAAGGGAATACTACTTTGCAGCAATAAAAAGGAGTGAATTACTGACATATAACACAAATAAATCTTAAAGTAGTTACTTAGAATAAACTAAGGCAGATGCAAAAGATACATATTGTATTATTTGATTACCATTAAATTCTGAAAAAGGAATACTAATCTATTGCAACAGAAAGCAGATTAGTGATTGTCTAGGGACAGGAGGCTGTGTCAGACAAGGAGGCACAGGAGGGAAGATTACCAAAGGCACAAGGATTTTCTCTTTCTGAGTTGTTTCACTTACGATAATGGCCTTCAGTTTCATCCATGTTGATGCAAAATTATGCAATGAATGCATAGTTTCATTCCTTGTTATGATTGAATAGTATTCCATTGTGTATATATACCACATATTCTTTATCCAATCACCTGCTTATGAACACTTATTGCTTGTGTTGATTCCTGTCTTTGCTATTGTGAATAGTGCTGTGATAGACATACTAGTGCAGTTATCTCTTTGATAGAGTGATTTATTTTCCTTTGGCTAGATGCCAATACTGGGATTGCTGGATCCAATGGTAGTTGTATTTTTAGTTCTTTGAGAAATCTCCATACTGCTTTTCATGGAGATTGTACTAATTTTATATTCCTATCAATAGTATGTAAGTCTTCCCTTTTCTACGCACTCTGCGTACACATGGACGTAGAGTTTAGAATGATTGACATTGGGGACTGGGAGGATTGGAGGGTGGGAGGGGAGTAGGTAACAAGAAATTACTTAATGGGCACAATGTACATTATTCCAGTGATACATACATTAAACACCCAGTCTTCACCACTAGGTAATACATCCATGTAAAAAAAAAATGTACCCTTACATTTATACAAATAAAAAGCAAAACAAAACAAAACCCACAAAGAACATGAGAAAACCATTGGGGGTAATGGACATATTCACAATCTTGATTATGGTGATAGTTTCATGGGTATATACACTTGTCAAAACTTATCAAATTGTACAAATTATGTGCTATTTATTAAATATCAATTATACCTCAAAGAAGTTATTTCATAAAATAGCAAAAATAATGGGAGAGAGGCAGAAGTGGAGATATGCTTGTGTTGTCACCAACTCTAAAGAAAATGCTGCTTAAATTTCACCATTATCTATGGTTGCTCTTGGATTTTACTAGATGCCTTTGGATGCAAAATATTACATCTCATACTCTTTTTGTTAAAATTCTTTCTGCCCATCATTTTGTCCTTATCGGGTGTTTTTAAGTAGTTTGGTCTACTCTATTCTCTTGTTGCAAAGTAAGGGATTTCCAGTGCTTAACCTTGAAACAGAAAAGCTTTTTAACTGCTATCGAGAGAAATTTCAGGAAGAAGAAAATGTTTCTTCTATCCCCCAAGAGCTGCAGAAAAAGCAGACAGTATACCTGCATCATAAGCTACTTCAAAGGCAAGATGGTGAGAATATTAACAAATTCATCAGTTTTACTTTCCTATTGGGTGTGAAGAATGCTGTGTAAATATATAATCCTGCTCTGCTTCCTGTTACTGTGAAACTGTGCATGGGAATAGTCACACAAAGGAATCTATTAAGTCATCAGATATTGCCCGTGAAATACAACCTATACCCTAAAATGCCTTCAATTCTAAGCAACTGTTCTGACTTCATAATTCGTTGCACTAGTAGTAAAATTGAAATTGACATCTCTGTTTGCTGAACAGTGCAAATCTTAGGAATTTTCCACGAGAAGCAAAAGGAAGGCTTGGGAATTTCCTTCTTCATGCATAGAAGCATAGAAATGTAATAAATTCCATGACTGTTGATTTCCTCATTCAACTTAAGCATTTGAGAGTTTTTCTCATTAAAGTAGCAGTACTCCAGCAGGTTAAGGAACTTTGTTCTGTTTCAACTCACTAAAAGATTTCTTCTTAATCATGAATATTTCTTGATTTTTATACATTTCGCTGGAGAGTTTATTGAGAGAATCACATGGCTTTCTGTGTTTAATCTCTTAATATAGTAAACTATATTAACTAGATATATTTTTAATTTTTTACTGTTTCTTTTTTTATGAAAAGCTTTTGGAGTACAAGTAGCTTTTGGTTACATGGATAAATTATATACTAGTGAATTTTGAGATTTTAGAGCACCTGTCATCCAAGTATTGTACATTGTACCTAACGTGTAGTTTTTTTTTTCCCTAATCCCCCTTCCACCCTCCTCTTTCTGAGTCTGGAAAGTCTATTATGTCATCTTATGCCTTTGCATACGCATAGCTTAGCTCCCACTTATAAGTGAGAACATATGGTTTTGATTTTCCACTCCTGTGTTACTTCTCTTAGAATAATGCCCTCCAGCTCCATCTAAGTTGCTGCAAAGGCCATTATTTCATTCATTTTAATGTCTGAGTAGTATTCCATGGTGTATATAGACCACATTTTCTTTATCTACTTATTAGTCAATGGGCACTTAAGTTGGTTCCACATCTTTGCAATTGCAAATTGTGTTCCTATAAACATACATGTGCAAGTGTCTTTTGCATATAGTGACTTATTTTCCTTTGGGTAGACTGTCCGTAGTGGGATTGCTGGATCGAACTGTATATCTACTTTCTCCTCTTTAAGGAATCTCCATACTGTTTTCCATAGAGGTTGTACTAATTTACATTCCTCCAGCAATGTAAAAGTGTTCCCTTTTCCCCTCATTCACACCAACACCTACTATTTTTTGACTTTTTAATAATGAACTTCCTTGCTGGAGTAAGGTGGTATCTCATTGTGGTTTTAATTTGCATTTCCCAGATTAGTGATGTTGAGTGTTTTTTCGTATATTTGCATATCTTCTTTTGAGAAATGCCTATTCATGTCATTTGCCCACTTTTTAATGGGATTACTTGCGTTTTTTCCTTAGTAATTTGTTTGTGTTCCTTATAGATTGTGAATACTAGTCCTTCATCAGATTCATAGTTTGCAAATATTTAATTTTTTATGGTATATATTTAAGGTATACACCATGATGTTTTGGTATACTTGTCTTGATAAACATATACATGGTGAAGTGACTACCACCATCAGGCACATTAACATCCCCATCATCTCATAAAGTTACCTTGTGTGTGTGTAGTAAGAGTACCTAAAATCTACTCTCTTGGGAAATTACCAGTATATAATACAATATTGTTAACTGTAGTCTTCATCTTGTACGTTAGCTCTCCACTTGTTCATCTTACATAACTGAAAATTTGTACTTTTTTAAAAAATTGAGACAGGGGCTCACTCTGTCGCCCAGGATGGAGTACAGTGGCGTTATTACAGCTCACTGCAGCCTTGACCTCCTGGGGATCAAGGGATCCTCCCATCTCAACTTCTTGAGTAGCAGGAACCACAGGCACATGCCACCATGCCCAGTTAACTTTTTGTTTCATTTGTTTGTTTGTTTGCTTGTTTTTGTAGAGACTGGGTTTCGCCATGTTGTCCAGGCTGGTCTTAAACTCCTGGACTCAAGTGATCCTCTCGCCTTGGCCCCGAAAGTACTGGGATTATAAGCGTGAAACCACCGTGCCCAGCCTGAAGCTCTGCACATTTTTTTT
Source organism: Homo sapiens (assembly GCF_000001405.40). Taxonomy (NCBI): domain Eukaryota; kingdom Metazoa; phylum Chordata; class Mammalia; order Primates; family Hominidae; genus Homo; species Homo sapiens. The sequence continues at coordinate 26,891,218 of NC_000016.10, forward strand.
AACAGTAAACTATTCTTGTGTTTCTGGAAAAATCTCTAATTAGTTATGCTATACCTATAATACAAGTTGCTGAGTTTTGTTTGCAGTTATCTTACTCAAGATTTTTGCTCATAAGTATAATTTGAATATTATTTTCCTTCACTATAGTATCCTTGTATAATTCTGGTTTCAAGATTCTGTTAGCCTCATAAAAGGTATTGAAGAGTCGTCCTTTTGTTATCTTTTGCAATAGACGTTATTTGTTCCTTAAATGTTTGGTGAAACACATTTATGTTTGGGAGAGTCTTCTAAGAGATTAATTTAAGGCATAATTTTGTCACTACATTAGCTGTATCTCATGATTTTTGACATGAAAAGTTTTATTTTTTATTGTTATACATATTTTTAAATATCCGTTGTGATTTTTTCTTTGATACATGAAGTATCTACACATACATTGTTAAATTACAAAATATATTTTTTTGCTTTCTAATTTTACAGCATTGTGGTTAAAGGATGTGGTATTTATTGGTAATTTAGTTTTACTATGTGGCTGGACCACATACTCAGCTTTTATAAATATTCCATGTGTTTTAGACAAGAATTTTTATATTCTCTAAATATTACCTGCAAAATTCTATATAAATTCATTTGCTCAAAATGTACTACTTTTGTTACTCAAATTTTCTACAGCCTTATAAAGTTTTGTCAGTTTCACTTATCAATTACTAAGACAGGTATGTTAAACTCTCTCATTCTGATTGTAGATTTGTATACTTACCCTTGTAATGTTGTCAATACCTACTTTATACATTTTTAACCTACCTTCTTGGGCTGTGCAAGTCCAGAAAACCTATCTCTTCCTGAAGAATCGATCCTATTACCATTATGTACCAACTCTTTTCATCATTAATAATAAATTTCTCTTTACAAATTTTTTTGTTTTATGTTAATATAGGTACTCTCTGTAAGTATATAAATGTATATATATTATATATAATATAATATATATAAGTATATGTATTATATATAAGAAGATTCCTTTAAGTAAATGCTGATATATATGTATTTTTTTATTTTACATTCGGGGGTATATGTGCAAGTTTGTTACATGCATATATTGTGCAATGCTGAGATTTGGGGCTTCAATTAAATCTATCACCCAAATAGTGAACATAGTATCCTATAAGCAGTTTCTCAACCCTTGCCTCCCTCCCTACTATTTTTTTATTTACTTATTTAATTTAATTTATTTATTTATTTATTTATTTTGAGACGGAGTCTCACTCTGTTGCCCAGGCTGGAGTGCTGTGGTGTGATCTCAGCTCACCGCAACCTCCGCCTCCCAGGTTCAAGTGATTCTCCTGCCTCAGCCTCCTGAGTAGGTGGGACTACAGGGATTTTTTTGTATTTCTAGTAGAGATGGGTTTGTCGTGTTGGCCAGGTTGGTCTCGAACTCCTGACCTCAGGTGATCTGCCCCCCCTTGGCCTCCCAAAGTGCTGGGATTACAGGTGTGAGCCACCGTGCCTGGCCCAATTTTTAATTAATCTTACAAAAGAGGGGTCAGCAAACTAATGTCTAATGGCCAAGTCCCACCACCACATGCTTTTGTAAATAATGTTTTATTGGTACACAAGCACAATCATCATTTATGTATTACCTATGGCTGCTTTCAGACTAAGACAGCAGATTTTAGTAGTTGTGACAAAGACTTTGTGACTGGAAAAGCCCTAAAATATTTATTACATAGCTCTTTCCAGAAAAAGATTCTTGACTGGTGTGATGCAACATTGAATAAATCCAAACGAATATTTATAACATATGGGTAAGACAGGAAGCAATGCCATGGACACCTGTGTACCCAACACCCAGTTTAAGAAACAGAACATCCCAAGTACCTTTGAAGCTGCCCGCAGGTCCCTCCCGGATCTTAGCCTGGCCCCTCTCCCTCAGATCCAGCCCCCTCCTGCTTGTCATTTGAGCTTATCATTCCACTGTTTTCTTTACAATTGTACCACGTTTGTATCGCTAAACGACCTATTGTTTAATTTTCTATGAATTTTGAACTTTAAATAAATAGAATAGTAGCATATTATTCATTGGCAATTTGCCGTTTTTGCTCAATTTATTATGTTTTTGAGATTCCTCCTTGTTGCTGCATGTAGCAGTAAGTTCATTTCCACTGCTGTTTAGAATCTCATTGTATGTACCAAAATGTAATTTTCCCTTCCAAAGCTGATAAGTATTTTCATTCCTTCTGATATTATAAAATGCTCTTCTCTTGTCCTCCCTGTATGTGTCTCATGCTGCACATGAGCAAGCATTTCTCAAGGATATATTCCTAGAGAATTGGTGAATTGCTTGTTCATAGGATATAATTATCTTCACTTTTACCAGAGGAAGCCAAATTGCTTTCCAAAGTGGTTACAAATTCATCCTCCTATCAGAAATGTGTACAATTTGCCATCATGCCTTGGACTTACCAAAAATTGATATTGCCTGTTTTTTTCAGCCAATTAGGCGACGTGATATGATGTCTCATGGTTGTTTTCATTTTTATTTCTCCAAATATTAATAAATTTGACCATAATGTTGCATGGTGAATGACATTTACATTGCCACTTACGTGATGTCTTTTACAAGTTGCTTGTTTATTTTTCAATTTCATTGTTCTCACTTTGTGGCTTGTATTTTAACTCTCTTTTTGTTTATTATTTGTTTTATAGGCATTTGTTTATGTAATCAAATTTATTAATCTTTCCCTTTATAATTTATACCTTTCTTTCTTTCTTTCTTTCTGTAATAGATGGGGTCTTGCTCTGTCACCCAGGATGAAGTACGACGGCACAATTATAGTTCACTGTAGTCTCAAATTTCTGGGCTCAAGCAATCCTCCCGAGTAGCTGGGACTACAGTCATGTGCCACCATGCTGGGCTAATTTTTGCTTTTTTACTTTTATGTATATATGGGGTCTCACTATGTTGCCCCAGGCTGGTTTCAAACTCCTGGCCTCAAGTAATCCTCCCTCTTCAGCCTCCCAGAGTGCTGGGACTACAAGCATGAGTCACTGTGCCCAGCCGATTTGTACTTTTCAAGTATTGCCTTAAAAATATAGTTCACTGCCGGGAGGTGGAGCTGGCAGTGAGCCGAGATTGTGCCACTACACTCTAGCCTGGGCGACAGAGCGAGACTCCGTCTCAGAAAAAAATATGGTTCACTGATGCAAATCACAAATAAATTAGCAATACTGTCTTCTAAAAGATTTTATGTTTGCCTTTCACATTTAAATATTTAATCTACCTGGAATTGATTTTTGTGTATAGTGTGAGGTAGGGATACTGGTTGTCCATCCATATGTAACACTATCTTAATAAGCATAGAGTCATTATAATTTTAACCAATATAGCTTTATACTAGTTTTTAATGATAAGACATTTCCCCTTTTTTTCTGCTTTATGAGTATCTTAGATATTCTTATCTCTTTATTTTTTCATAAAATTTAGTACTGTGTTAACACCCAATTCTACAAAGAAAACAAAACCTGTTGGAATCTTAAAAAGAATAGCATTGACTCTTTAGATCAACTTGGGAAGAAGTGACAGCTTTACGAAGCTGAGTCTTCTTATCCATACACATAAAATATCCCTTTATGTCTCCTTTAACTTCTTTCAGTAAAATTTAATAATTTTCTCCTTATAGGTCTTGCAAATCTTTAGATTTAGTTTTATTTACATATAATGTTATAAATGGTTTATATTTTATTATATTTTCTACCCATTGGTGGCTGCTTACAAGAAATGCAATTTATTTTTGTATATTAAATATTTGTGCAAGAACTATGCTAAATTCTCTTACTAATTTTAATAATTTATCTGTAAGTTCTTTTGAATTTTCTGTGTAAATAATTATATAATCTGGGAACATTGACAGCTTTTTTCTTCTTCTCTAACTTACAGCTTTTATTTATTTTCTTACATTACTGGCTAGGACTGCCAGTACAATATTAAATAAAAGTAGTGACAGTAGATACCATTTCCTCATTCTTGGTCTTAAAGCAGATGCTTTCCTCAATTTTCTATTAAATTTGATATTTCTGAGAGGATTTTTACATCAGTCTAGGGGAAATTCTCTTTTATTCTTCTTTTGCTAAGAATTTTTGTCAGCTTTTTCTACATTTAGTGAAATTATTACAAGCTATTTCTCCTTTAACCTGTTTATAGGGTAAATTAAATTTATTGATTATCTAATATGATCCAAATTCACATCCTTAGAATATACTCAACTTGGACATCATGTGTTTTCTGTTTCAAGCATTGCTGGACACTTTTTTAGTAACAACTTGCTTGGGTTTTTTTTCATCTATGTTTATAAATAAAATTGGCCTAAAAAGTCTTACTTACTTTCTTTTTTTTTTTTTTTTGATTCGGACTCTCGCGCTTGTTGCCCAGGCCGGAGTGCATCAGCATGATCTTGGCTCACTGCAACCTCCGCCTCCCGGGTTCAAGTGATTCTCCTGTCTCAGCCTTTTGAGTAGCTGGGATTACAGGCACCCGCCACCATGCCCGGCTAATTTTTGTACTTTTTAGTAGAGACGGGGTTTCACCATGTTGGCCAGGCTGGTCTAGAACTCCTGACCTCAAGTGATCTGCCCACTTCGGCCTTCCAAAGTGCTGGGATTACAGGCGTTAGCCACCATGCCTAGCCTAAAATCTTACTTTCTTATACTGTCCTTGTTAGCTTTTGATGTCAATGTTCTGTCTCGTGAATTGAGTAGGAAATGTTTCCTCTTCTGCACTCAGTAATAATTTTCAGAAAAGAAAAATCCAAGACTGATGTTTTACTTTCTCAGCTTGGGGATATTCTGGATAAATTTGAATATCAAATGTAGGTAAGTAACAGGAGGGCTGTGTTTTGAAGTTACACAGGGTTTTTTCCACCCAGAGACTGAGCATGAACAGACAAACTTCCTGTCTCCTCCCTTGACTGGGATTGGGGGGTGGATTTTTCTCCATCTACCCTTTCTCAGAAGAAGCAGTCTTTCAAGGGTTCTATTTTTTTGTGAGTGAAGGCTCAGTCCCTCCCAGTATCCTACACTCTGTGGTTAAAGATTTTGTCTCTGCCCTCAGTGCATACTAATAAAACCTGCTTCCCCAGATTGTAAAATTGACGAACACACACACACACACACACGCTCGACATGGACACGCTGCCCACTTTCATGTCTATTCTCCCAGTTTTCTATCAATTAAAGAATATCTCTTTCTTTTTTGCAAGCTCATCTGGGCATTTAAAATTATAACTACACTATTTCCAGCATTTCTAGATATTTCTAGTGGGGGGATTTGTAGGTTTCTGATTCATCACGTTGTCAGTGCCACAAATTCTCCCTCAGTGACTCATTACAATAACTTCATGATACAGGGATCAACACCCCAAATTTGCAGATGAAAAAGATGACCTGAAAGACACCAAGCTCTTTATCTGAGGTCACTCACCTAGTGAATATCAGGACCAGGATTTGAGCCAAAGAGTGCCAAAGAATGCTGAAGTCTGTGTTCCTAAACACAAATCCAAATTTCTATTTGTCTTGAGTTGCTTGAGATCCAAGATTACACATTTTTTACCCATTTACCAGGAAATTATAATAGAAGGGCTATAATTCTGTGGTGCAGTCATAAGCCCAATCACAGATGCAGCCCAAGAGGACAATCCTCTCTTTTACCCTGTACCCAGGACCCTGATCCCCTTGCTTACTAACTGGTTAAAAAATAATAATTTTTTAAAAGTTACTAGCCAAAGCACAGTAAAATTACTAGGCAAAACACCAACAAGAAAATAAAATAGCAGCAAATAAGACAAAGCATTAACTTTCGATATATAAATTATTCACAAAAATCAATTTTTAGAAACCTACCTAATGGAGAAATGAACAAAGCAGATGGGCATAAAATTCACAAAAGAAAAAATATGAATGTGCAACCTCAGTATTAACTTTTTTAAAATTCAGCAGACCTAAATGTAAGAGCTAAATATATCAACAATTAGAAGAAAACATTAGAGTAAATCTTTCTGACTTTGGGTGATGCAATGGTTGGTTTCTTAGTTATGACCGCAAAAACACAAGAGAAATAAGAAAAAAAAAAGATACATTGGACTTAATCAAAATTAAAAACTTTGTGCTGCAAATAATATTACCAAAAAATGAAAAAGGCAGTTCACAATTTGAGAGAAGATACTTGTAAATCATATATCTGATAAGGAATTCATATCTAAAACATATCAAGAACTCAAACTCAAAATGAAAAGAGAGATAACCTTTTTCAAAATGACCAAAGGATCTGAATAGCCATTTCTCAAAGAAGATACATGTACAGATAATAAGGACATGAAAAGATGCTCAACATCATTAGCCACCAGGGAAATGCAAATCAAAGCCAAAATGAAGCCAGGCACAGTGGCTCACGCCTGTAATCCCAGTGCTTTTGGAGGCCGAGGTGGTCAGATCACTTGAGCTCAAGAGTTCAAGACCAGCCTGACCAAAATGGTGAAACCCTGTCTCTACTAAAATTATAAAAATTAGCCTGGCATGGTGGCAGGTGCCTGTAATCCCAGCTACTCGGGAGGCTGAGGCAGGAGAATTGCTTGAACTGGGGAGGCAGAGGTTACAGTGAGCCAAGATCGCACCATTGCACCCCAGCCTGGATGACACAGCAAAACTCTGTCTCAAAAAAAAAAAAAAAAAAAAAAACCACAATGAGATACCATTTCTCTCCCGGTAAAATGACCATAATAAAGGAAAGACAGATGGGCACTAAGTTTTAGCAAAGATGTGGAGGAATAAGGACCCTCATTCATTGTTGGTGGGAATGTGAAGTATGTGAAGTAGTGGAATGGCTTTGGAAGATAGTCCAGCAGGTCTCCAAAAAGTTAAATACATAGACTTACTGAGGTAAGAGGTGGAACTGAACTCCAGAGGTGGGGCTCGGACACTGCACAAAAATGAGAGCTGGTTAAAACAGGGCAGGGGTGAAAGCAGCTTTCCTTAAGACATGCCCACATGTGTCCCAGGTCAGTTTACCATTGCCATGGCATTGCCCAGAAGTTACTGCCCTTTTCCATAGCAAACACCCTACAGACTCAAAAGTTACCACCCTTTTCCTAGAAATTTCTGCATAAACCATACCTCAATTTGCATGTAATTAAAAATGGGTGTAAATATGAGTGCAGCCCTGCCTTTTAGCTGTTACTCTGGACACACCACCTATGGGGTAGCCCTGCTCAGCAAGAAACAGTCCCTCTGCTGCTGCTGTGCACTGTGGCTTCAATAAAAGTTGCTGTTTAACACCACTGGCTCACCCTTGAATTCTTTTTTTTTAATTATTATTTATTTGTATTTTAAGTTCCAGGGTACATGTGCAGGATGTATGGGTTTGTTATGCAGCTAAATGTGTGCCATGGTGGTTTGCTGCACCTATCAACCCATCACGTAGGTATTAAGCCCAGCATGCATTAGTTATTTTTCCTAATGTCCTCCCTTCCCCAACACCATCACCCAGCAGGCTCCAGTACCCTTGAATTCTTTCCTGGGTGTAGCCAAGAGCCCTCCCAGGCTAAGCCTCAATTTTGGAGTTCATCTGCTCTGCATCATTACAGTACGCTCCAGCAGTTCAACTCCTAGGTGTATACCCAAAAGAAATGAAAACATACATCCACAGAAAAACTCCTACACAAATGTTCATAGCAATGTTATTCATAATAGCCAAAAAGGGGAAACAACATAATATCCATCAACAGAAGAATGGATAAACGATGTGGTCTATCCATACATTGGAATCACATTCAGCTTTACAAGGAATAAACAAGATCCACGTGCTATAACATCGGTGAACCTTGAAAACATTATGCTAAGTGAAAAAAAAAAGACAAGACCACAAATTGTATGATTTCAGAATATACGTAAAGTGGACTTTATACAAAATGTTCAAAATCAGCAAATATGAAGATGCAGAAAGTGGATTAGTGACTGTCTTGGAAGGAGGGGAGGAAACAAGTGACTCTCACGGTTACAGAGTTTCTTTTGGGGAGATGAAAATGTTGTAAAATTAGATTATAGTGATGGTTGCACAATCTTCTGGATATACTGAACACTGAAGCAAACATGTTAAATGGGTAAATTATATCTCAATGAAGTTGTTTATAAAAAGAAGCAAAGAAAAATAAGGAGACACTTTTCTTTGACTAGTCAAGTTGCCAACCTTTCTACTTGCAAATGATGCTAATACCATGTCTTGGCAAGGGTGGAAGAAAATCAGCACTAGTAGAAGTACACTTTTGTGTACTTTAATTTAAGATGCATATTTTCTGGCAATTTTAAGCATATATCAAAATCCTGAAAATAGGAATAACCTTTGCTCCAGTAATTTGTCTTCTAAAAAATAAAGCCTAAGGAGGTATATCTACAAATATATGCAAAGCTTTATAAATTACAATGCTGATTACATGGTTCTTTTTAATAGTAAAACAAGAAACACCCCAAATACACAACAATGGAAAAATGAAGACATTGTTATACAAATATGTTACAAAATACTATTCGTCCATTAAAAATTATGTCATAAAAGGCAAGAAATCATCACAATCGTTCATAATATGTAAAAGAGCAAGCTACAAAGCAATATGTAGAGAATAATTCTATAATTCTACTATTGTAAAAATATTATTAAAAATACATACTTTGAAATATTAATAGTGGCTGAGCATAGTGGCTCATGTCTGTAATTCTACCATTTTGGGAGGCCCAGGTGGGAGGATTTCTTGAGCCCACAAGTTTGAGACCAGCCTGGGCAACATAGTGAGATCTCTACAAAACATAAAATAAAGATTAGCTGGGCATGGTGGCACAGGCGTATGGTCCCAACTACTCAGGAGGCTGAGATGGGAAGATGGCTTGCACCCAAGAGTTTGAAGCTGCAGTGAGTCGTGAGCATGCCTTTGCACTCCAGCCTGGGAAACAGGGTGAGACCCCATTTCAAATTTATATATGTATATATATATAAAATAAAATTATATATATATAAAAATATGTATATATAAATAAAATTTTATATATATATAATTAAATATATAAAGACATTTCTCAAATATATATTGTCTCAATATATATATAGACATTTCTCAAAGAAGACATATGTATGGCCAGTAAGTATATCCCAGTCTCATCAGTTTGGGAGGTGGACGGGACGGATGCACTTTCATCTCCCAATCCAATGAGGCCAATGGCACCCACTCCCATTATCAATGTCAGGGGTTCATGTGCAACATGGACCAGCACTCATCCAGGTCACAATGATTGGTTCAGGGATGGTCATATAACCCAGTTCAGTCCTGGAGATGTGATTTCTGAGAATTTTGATACATGATTGGAAAAAAGTCACTGTCCTTCAACTGTGGTTATACTATATATGTGTATTATATTATATATATATATATATGTATATATATAGTTATTTTCTTCATATGATAATAGAAAATCATTTTTAATTTCACTTTGTTCTTTATTCTAATTTTTCATAGAGAACATGTACTGGGCTTTTAATGACAGAGAAAGTAGAATTTTAATGTGATTTAGATTTCTCACTTTCTTTGCCATTCTCTTCCAAAATGCAATGATTGATGGCTTGTAAGATTTGAAAACCAAAGACCTCTGAGTTTCATCATTTCTAAGGTGCTTTCTATTGCTCAGACTATGACTCTGATATTCCATGCTTAGACTATTTCTTTTTCCAGTCTACCTAGGTGCCTCTCAGAGACAGATTCTTCCTATTTTCTTGTAAACTCTGTGGCCTCCCACTTTCAGAGAGGGAGAAGTCGCACTCTTGAAAAATAAGGTTATCAGTGGTTGAGAGAACAAGACATTGTGAGATGAGGTGAGGCAAACCCTGCAGAGACCTGGAAACGATTTTTCTCTTCCAAAATATAATTAATCAATTATGTCCAAAGAAGTGAAATCAATATTTTTATAAATGAGATGTTCATACGCCAAGAAGGCATTGTTGTGGCGGTCACCTCATCTTTCACTTGCTAATCCAATGTAAATTACGGGCTGTTTAGCTGATGTTTTCAGCATTTGCCAACCAAACTTTTTTATCCACTTTGGCATTCTGGTCACAACTTTCCAATTCTTTTGTCCAGCTCCCGGCAGATGCAAGGTGCCAAGGTCTCTTAATAAACAATACACCACTAAGAACAAAATCTTGTATTCACTGGCTGCCCTCCTCTCCCAGGCCTTTGTAATTGTGTCACATTGAACTTCCCAGCATCCTCTAGGACACAGGAAAATGATGCGCAACTGGGGACACTGGCAAGGCTTAGATAAATTGCAACTTGATTGAATCCTTTTAATGCAAGAAACATTTATTAAATGCCTACTGTGCACCACGACTCCTCCAGGCACTAGAGCTACAAAGATAAATCTCAGAGTCACTGCCCTCTGGGACTCACAATTCAGTGAAGGAGACAGGCAGGGAATAAGCAGTTGCATTGCATCATCATAGTCTCTGAGATGTAGATCTAAGCATGGCATTATGGGAACACAGAGGAAGGAACAATGAAGAACAGTTCCTCACAATTCTTGAAGGGTGGGAAACTGCTCAGCAAGCAGACAAGGATAAGAAGGTGTTCTGGCAAGAGAAAGGAAGCAGAAGAAAGAATATGGCATTCAAGGAATGGGAAGAGAGAAAGTTCCAGAGAGGTAGACCAGGGCCTGGTTATGGCAGGCTCCATTTGTGTGCCCCTTCCATGGACATCTATTGTTCTGCCTACCCTGTAGCCATCTCTCCTTCTAGTACAGCATTCCAGTTTCCAGTCCTTCCATCCAGTCCTTCCATCTCCTAATCTTATGAGGCTGCTGGCACCCACTCTCATTATCAACATCAGGGCTTCATAAGCAACATGGCCAACCCTCACCCTGGTCACAGTGATTGGTTCAGAAAGTCACATGACCCACTTCAGTCCTGGAGATGTGAATTCTGGGACTTCTGATAGACAATTGGCAAAAAAGCCACTGCTGTGGTTATTTGGCTGCTAGGGAGAACAAACAGGGCATGCCAGCAGGTACCTGAGGGGAGTGACTGCCTGAGCAGGAAGCCAAGTCAAAGCAAAGTCAAGCTGAAAAAGGAACAGAAAGGTAACCCTACTGACATTATTTTGTAAGCTAAAGGGGAAAAAATCTTCTTTTGACTTCAATCAATTTGATTCTTGTCTTTTAATTAATGCTATAAGAGTTATCAATGAATTAATGCACCATTCCAGTATTTGGGGAATTAAGCCTGTAGAAAATAAGCCAGGATCTAGTTAAAGAGGGCCTTTGAGATGACTTGAGATGGTGAAATTGAGATCCAAGGGTATTAAGGGGCTTACCTCAAATCACATTTAAATTAGTTGCAGACCTTGGAAAAAACCAGGTCTTGTGAAGCTGGGATAAGTGTTCTTTGCTTTCCAGCACTCCATCCTAAAAGATCCATACTAACAACAGCAATAATGACACCTGCCACTGCATGCAGGCACTGTTAAAGCCCTTTACATACACTAACTCATTTAATTCTCTGAACTACTTCGTAACTTAGAGATTATTCAGAGAAGTAAGAACTTTTGGACCATTTGCAACCAGTCCAAATTTTGCACCATTTGAACCATTTGCAACCAGTTGAGTTCACCGTCTGGAAGAGTGATGGGTAGGGGTGAATTTAAGCTCAATCCAGGATATTCTGGTGGAAGGATGGATGGGTGAGTGGTATATGGATGGACAACCGGGAGATCTGAGGGTGAAACTGCAGCTCAGGTGAACAGAGCCTCACAACTCTGTCAGAGAATTGGAAGTCACTCTTCAGGGAGTGGGACTCCACAAGGGGTTTAGGGATATAGAGAATAGGGTCCATGGAGAAGATCAGGTGTCAGTCAGAATTATCAAGGTTTAAGTCTTGGTTAAGGAAGCATAGGCAGAAATGTAGTCAGGGGCAGAGGCTAACATAGTGACCTTAGCCACTGCCAATGCATTGACTTGGGTAAGGTCAAGTGCTGATCCCTGACCCAGTCCTTGGAAATAAACTCACTTTCTCACTGTAGTGCATTATAGGAGCTCCTAGTAGCTCCATGTATGCCCAACTTAAATGTGGATCAGTCTTCCAGCCATTTGCCTGCATCATCTTCTCCAATTTAACCTCTACCGGTTATCCTAACAACTCAGTTAGCTTTCTACCCAAACCTGCCCCTACCTCTTAATTAAAAACACATGTAAACTCACATTTTTCACACTTCATTATTCTCCTTGAAATTGGACTTAGATATTTGCCCACTTGGCCTTGGCACTGTGATGGCAAATAATTGCATCTTCCAGTAAATTTGAAAAGAATGGCAGAAATGAGTGCATAAATGGACCTCCATGGAGCTTACCAAGGGCCTGATACATAGCAAATCTTCAGAGTGTCTGTTGTCTTAAATGATGTACTAGAGAGAGTGGATAGATAGTTGGATGGATGGGTGGATGGATGGATGGCTAGAAGGATGGATGGACGGGTGGATGGGTGGATGGACGGGATGGATGGATGGATGGCATATGGATGAGTGAAAGGCAAAAATCCTTGGCTATTATTTTACCCTTTAAGTTCTCTGGCATAGTACTTCTTTTATTTTTTTCAAGAAATATACTGTCTATCCTACTCAGTACAGACCAGCAAAAGAAAGATTAAATAATTACCCCAATATTAATAGTAATTACTTTATGAATTAATAATTAATTTCAACTGGATAGTTACTTTATGTAATTAATAGTAATTACTTTATGAATTAATAATTTCAACTGGATAGTTACTGTGAAGAGCGTCAAGGTGCTAAGGGAACATATATAATAGTAGTCTGGAAAATCAGGTAAGATGTTCCCAAGGATATGTCAGTAAGCCAAGACCTAAGGTGAAACTATATGTCTAGAACATGCTAAAAAGCTTTATATGCATTATTTTATTTAACCATCCCAATATTCCTATGACAACACTTGACACGCCCACTTAATAGATAAGGATACTGCAGGTGAGAAATGCAATCTCACTTATCCACAGCCATATAGCTAATAAGCGATGGACCCAGGATTCAAACCCCAGTCTATCTTCAAAACTTATCCTCATTCCACTAGACAGCATTGACTATAAGGAGTCTTACTCTCATGACTTAAGCATTGGTCAGGAGGAGAAATTCTGCTATCTATTGTTTAGGCCAGACACTGAGTTCAGAGAGCTGTTCATTAAGACTAGAGACATTTGTCCATGGGATGACCTGTAGGTTTCTAAAGTGGCCCTGCCTGTATGGGCCTAACCTGAATTCTTCTGGACTAATTATAGACCTCGCCTGGACCCCACACCTTGCCTTGCTGGAGCCCTTCATTTATTTGTCTGTGTTGTTTAACCAACCCATAGATTCTCCATGCATACTTGCCGCTACTTAGACACAGAGACTCTGCTGCAATGAGGATTCAATATCAGATACCAGTCTGCATCCTAAATAATTCTCACTCACAGATCAGCCTTGGGGTCTCCCTTGCATCCACATCTCTCATCTTAATATGAATGGCTAGGGCATGCCCTGTGTCTAAATAAGAAGGATCACCAGGAGAGCTAGCCTCACCCAGAGGCAAGAGGCTAACATGGACATCTCTCAAAACCAGGTGGGTGATACAGCATAAACCACACCTGAGCTTGTCCTGTTTATACATCCATCTGATTTGGGATTCGGGGAAGTGGCCTTCTGCTGCTAATATCCACCACAGGAATACTACAGAGTAGAAAGGACCCACATCTCATTCTCCTTGAACTCAAGGACCAGTTTTGCCTCTTGCCAATGGAGAGACCTTTTGCTTCCTTCTCTAAGCCTCTCCTAGCTGAGGACGAAAGATGAAACTTTTCCTTATTCATTCATTTATGCCTCACTAAATAGAGAAGTTACCAGTACCCCTATTTCAAAGATATTAATGTATAAGTTGGGGGCATATATAAGAAAGTTTTGTCTTTCTTTGTAATAAATAATAGTAAATAATAATTTAATTTAATAATAATTAATCCACTTTCCCTCTCCAGTTACAGGATTTCCTGAGAAAATCTCTCCCACTCTGACAGTATTGATTGCTCTTTACACCATGATGATACCTGTAGATAAAATTGATTTCTACTTGTTCAGCATCCACACATAACATTCTCCCTCTCCGCCTTCACAACATTTTGTTCAAAAGCCCATTGTTAATGCATGAATCCATGTGACCCACAGGAATCTGGCATCATCCCCAACTCCGGGTATGGAATCTAATTTCTCAGCCAACCATTGCACACATTTCAACAGTGACTGTGGTTACATGACTTAAGCTGGTTAATCAGACTGAAGGGAATGGCTGTAGTGATTACTGGGAGAGGGGTGTTGCTCTCTTCTGCTGAATGTGGAAGTGCATTGCCCAGATGGCAACTGGCATCCCTAAGATGAAGCCTCAACAATGGAGGGCAGAGAATAGGGATGGTATGGATTTGGGGACTTTGTTGATATACGTCATTGAGCCACTGGAACCATCAACCCTAGAACTTGCTCTACCTCTAGAATTACTGTTTCATGAGATGGGAAATCTGGTTGTTTGTGCCAGTTTGATTGTTTTTTTTCTTTAATGTGGAGCTGCAAACATCTGAATGATGCTTTTTAAATTTTGTCCCCAGGCCAGTAGAGGTGGCTCACATCTGTAATCACAGCATTTTGGGAGGCTGAGCCAGGTGGATCACCTGAGGTCAGGAGTTCAAGACCAGCTTGACCAACATGGTGAAACCCCATCTCTGCAAAAATACAAAAATTAGCCAGGCATGGTGGCGGGCACCAGTAATCCCAGCTACTCAGGAGGCTGAGGCAGCAGAATTGCTTGAACCAGGGAGGTGGTTGCAGTGAGTCGAGATCGTGCCATTGCACTCCAGCCTGAGTGATAGAGTGAGACTCCATCTCAAAAAAAAAAAAAAGAAAAGTTTTCTCTCCAGCTCAGACCTGTTCCCTGAGTTTCAGACTCTGTGTTGGATCATCCCATCAGCATAAAACATGTTGAAACAGCTCTCATAGTAACAGAAATGACCGAGACTTCACTTCTCACCTTCCCCTTATAGGAAAATGCTTTAAGCATGCTGTCTGTACTCCTTGTCTCCACTTTCAAATTCATTCTCTTCTATATCTTCTCAAATCAATCATCTCAAGCTTCCCCCACTACTAACCACCACCTCCATCAACCACCACATCTTCTACCAAACTGCTCTGCAAGATGTTACTCAGCAGGCCCTTCCCTCCTTCTTAAAATACTGTGTTTTCCATGCTCTTGGCACACTATGCGCCTGGCTTTCCTCCTGCTCAAAGCTTCTCTGTCTTCTTTGCAGGCTTTCCTCCTGCTTCCTAATACTACATATTGGAACACCCGAGCATTTGCTTCTCAGCCCTCTCTTCTACACTCACTGCCTAGGTGCTCTCACCTAGCCCTATGTCTTCAAAGATTATCTAGAAGCCAGTGATTCTCAACTTCCTCCCTGAAGTTCTGCATACTATTGCCTGCTTATCTCCACCCGGATGCATCACAGGTAACATAACCAAAAGGGACTTGATATGATTCCCTAAACCGATTTCTCTGACAGATTTCCCACCTCAGTCGGCAACCCCTTCACTCCGTTGCTCAGGTCAAAGAGCCGATACTCATCCCCGACTCCTCGTTTTTACAGTCTGCATGCAATACTACAGCCAGTCCTGCTGGGTCTACAAGCAAACCACATCCTGAATCTTCCCACCTCCCATCACCTCCACTGCTATTTCCAAATCACCAGCAATAGCCTCCTAATTTGACTCACGGCTTCCACTCTTCGTTTCCTTTTGTGAGTCCTCCAGCCAGCAGCCAGAGTAACCTTCTAAAAAGGTAAAAATGTGAATCTTTTCACCCCTTTGTTCAAAACGACCTATGAATCCCTCTTCACCTCCCCACTCGCCAGCGCCCCACCACATGCACACCATTTCAGTCTTGGCCACTATCATTCTACTCTCTGTCTCCATGATATTAGCTGTTCTAAGCTCCCACATATGAATCAGAACGGCAATATCTGTCTTTCTGTGACTGGCTCATTTCACTTGCCCTATTAACCTCTAGTTCCATCCATGTTGCTGCAAATGACAGAATGTCATGCTTTTTATGGCTGAATAGTATTCCATTGTGTGTGTGTGTGTGTGTGTGTGTATACCTTTTCTTTATCCATTCATCTATTGATAAACATTAAGTTGGTTCCATATCTTTGCTATTGTGAATAGTGCTGCAATAAATATGATAGAAGAAATAAGTTCTAATGTTTGACAACAGAGTAGGGTGACTGTAGTCAACAGTGTATTGCATATTTTTAAATAGCTAGAAAAAAAAGGCTTGAAATGTTCCCAACACATAGAAATGATAAATGTCAAGGTGATGGTTATCCTGAACACTCTAACTTGATTATTACACATTCTATGCACATAACAAAATATCCTATGTGCCTCATATATTTCTACAAATGTTATTAGCAATTTTTAAAAAATAAAATAAAAGATAACACCTAAATCTAAGCACACTTCTTTAAAAAAAAAAAAAAAAGTCCGGGCGCAGTGGCTCACGTCTGTAATCCCAGCACTTTGGGAGGCTGAGGTGGGCGGATCACGAGGTCAAGAGTTCGAGACAGTCCTGGCTAACACGGTGAAACCCCGTCTCTACTAAGAATACAAAAAATTAGCTGGGCATGGTGGCAGGCACCTGTAGTCCCAGCTACTCGGGAGGCTGAGGCAGGAGAATGGCGTGGACCCAGGAGGTGGAGCTTGCAGTGAGCTGAGACCGCTCCACTGCACTCCAGCCTGGGAGACAGAGCAAGACTCTGTCTCAAAAAAGAAAAAAAAAAAAAAACAGTGATCAACCTCTTCCTTTTTCTCATCCATCCCTCCCCCACAGCCTCTGGTAACCATCATTCTACTCTCTGCTTCGGTGAGTTTGACTTTTTTAGATTCCATATGTAAGTGAGGTCATGCAGTATTTCTCTTTCTGTGCCTGGCCTATTTCACTTCCCATAACGTCTTCCAGGCTTATCCACATTGTCGCAAGTGACAGAATTTCGCAGTTTTCAAGACTGAATGGTGTTCTTTTGTGGATATACATTTCCTTGATCGGTTCATCAATAGATGAGCATTTGGGTTGCTTCTATATCTTAGCCATTGTGAATGATGCTGCAGTGAACAGCATTGTACAGGATGGTGATAAAATCAATAATCATGTATTATATATTTTAATTTGCTAAAACAGTAAATTTTAAATGTTCTCGTTACAAAACAATTGTAAGGAAATCAGATGACAGGTATGTTAATTAGCGTGATTAAATCATTCACCAGTGTAAATATGTATCAAAACAGTGTGCCACAAGTAATGCAATTAAAATTAAAAATCAAATACAGTTAATAAAAATTAAATACATTTTAAATGCATAAATATGGACCATCAATGGCTACCCATTACATTCAGAACAAAGCCCATGGCCAAGGCGCTCACTTTGTGTCCTGGTCTCTGACTACCTCTCTGCCACACAGGCCTTCCTGCAGTCCTGCCGTCAATCTACGCTTGTTTCTCTCTTGGCTCCTTCTGCCTAGAATGCTCTTCCCCCAGATGCTGACATAGCTGGCTCCCTCCATTCAAGTCACAACACAAATGTCACCTCCTTAAAGACAACACAGGCAAATTCCAGCTCATCCCCTCGCTTACCGTCCCCTTACTCTGTTTGCGTTTGTTGACATTTCCTTCCTGGCACTTATCCCTACCTGACATGTTAGAATTCTGCTGTTTATTATCTGTGCCATGAGAGTGGGTGTCTCGTGAGGGCGGACACTTTATCTGCTAGGAGGCTTGTTGCCTGCGACAGAACAAGGCACGGGGCACACTGTAATACTGATGGATTGATTGAATGAATGACTAACCCACTCATGTGGTTTGGATATTTGTCCCCACCTAAATCTCATGTTGAGATGCCCCAACGTTGGAGGTGTGACCTGGTGGGAGGTGTTTTTATCATAGAAAGGGATCTCTCACGGCTTGGCGCTGTCCACGCAGCAATGAGAGAGTTCTCGAGAGATCTGGTCATTTCAAAGAGCGTGGCACTTCCCACCCACTCTTGCTCCTGCTTTCCCCACGTGACGGCTCCCCCTTCACCTTCTGCCAGAAGTCAAAGCTCCCTGAGGCCTCCCCAGATGCCAAGCAGATGCTGGTGCCTTTCTTGTGCAGCCTGCGGAACCATGAGCCAATGAAACCTCCTTTCTTTATAAATTACCCAGTTTCAGGTATTTCTTTATCAGGAACAGCCTAATACACCAACTTACTAATACAAATCTTCACTCAGAGAATGCATCCCCATGTAACCCCAGCTCAGTAAGGCCCCAACCAAACCCTCCACTCTGCTACCGTGTAGCTCTGTTCACACTGTCTCTGTCCCCTGACTGGCTTTGTGCTGCCAAGCTCCTGCGGTTTCCACTCCCAACCGGCAGTCCCCTGTTGCTTTGTCAGAGGGTTGGCTGCACACAGGCTACTGGAAACCACTATTCCTGGATGTGCACAGGGCCAGAGTGCCTAGGGATTTATGTCCCCACTGGGGACAGTTTTTAACCAATGACTGCCAGTTGCAGGAATATAAATACTTCAGGCCTCATGCCCAGATAGAGACAGCTCTGGGGTGTGACCTGCGCTGTCTCCAGGGCTGCCCTGTGGGTCTAAGCCACAGATCTTTCAATTTGCTGCACCACTGCATTTTCTCTTTCCCTTCCCTGTCCTACTGTCCCCCTTCCCTGTCCTACTGTCCCACTTCCCTGCCAGTGTTTCCTGGGTTTGCTTCCTACTAAAGCGCTTCCACGAATCCTCCTCTCCAAACTGACCTCTCCTTCTCAAATCTCCTCCCATCATCCCCATCTCAGGGAATGGTGCCTGTACTCAGTCGGTGATCTAAGCAGTGACAAAGCGATCCTATCCTTCTTCTCTATCTAACCCTACCCAACAGCACCCCCTGTCCTGACCCCTGTTCATTTGAGTCCATTTTTCTCTATCCCCACTGTCACTGCCCCGGTTCAGGCTGTCCCTAAACATGTTCTTGACTTATTGAAGCCTTGTCATTGCAGGAATGAAAACATTCTGCAAGCAGCTCTCTCTCATCTCACTAATCAGAGCAATCTCACGTAGCACTTAAAATCCTCCATGAGATCACATCCACCCTCCCTCATTCATTTTACACCAACATTTCTACTTATAGTTCATTGCTGGCTACTATCATTTGCATTTTACTGCAATAGATTTCTTACTTTGCATGATGAGAACCTATCAACTATCTACATTAGGCCAGGCACAAGGCTAAGCACTGGTGACACAGTAATATAAAAGGCACAGCTTCAGACTTTAAGAAGCTCATTCTTGAGATGCAAATCAAAACCACAATGAGCTACCATCTCACACGAGTGAGAATGGTTATTATTAAAAAGTCAAAAACTAACAGATGTCAGCAAGGTTGCAGAGAAAGGGAACACTTATACACTGTTGGTGGGAGTGCAAATTAGTTCAGCCCCTGTGGAAGGCAGTTTGGAAATTTCTCAGAGAACTAAAAATAGAATTACCATTCCACCCAGCAACCCCATACCAGGGTATATACCCAAAGAAAAATGAATCATTCTACCAAAAAGACATCTGCACTCCCCTGTTTATCACAGCACGATTCACAATAGCAAAGGTATGAAGTGAACCCAGGGGCCCAACAATGCTGGATTGGATAAACACAGTGTAGTATACATATAGCATGGAATACTATGCAGCCATACAAAAGAATGAAATTATGTCTTTTGCAGCAACATGGATATAGCTAGAGGCCATTATTCCAAGCAAATTAACACAGAAACAGAAAACCAAATACCACATGTTCTCACTTATAAGAGGGAGCTAAACATTGAGTACACATGGACACAAAGATGGGAATAATAGACACTGGGGATCTCAAAAGAGGGGAGGGAGGAAAGGAGATAAACTACCTATCAGGTATTGTGTTCACTATTTGAGTGACAGGATCAAGAAGCCCAAATTTCAGCATCACTCATCATACCCATGTATCAAACCTTCACATGTAACCCCTGAGTCTAAAATTTTTTTAAAAAACTAGATATAAGAAGGAGGAGGAAGAGGAGGAGGAGGAGGAGGAGGAAAAGCAACAGCTGTTTCTTTAGGGAAAAACACAGACATGAAAATACTTGCACTGCAATAGTTAAAGTTACCACAGGATGCTGTGTGCAGGGTGCTTTAGGAACACAGAATTAGTCATGGTGGCTAATTCTGGGGATTCCACGTGAGCCTAGGCTATATTGCATCTGTCTTTAAATCCCAAACACAACTGGTCAGATGCAGTGGCTCATACCTGTAATCCCAGCACTCTGGGGGGCCGAGGCTGGAAGATCACTTGAGTCCAGGAGTTCAAGATCATGAACCCCAAACACAGTGCCTAACACATAGTAGGCTCATGATTGATTAATGGATTTTGCCTGCTGAGTCAAGTAGAAGTATTCCCAGAAGTGACATTTCTGTTGGGTTTTTAAAAATGAGAAGAGATGGCCAGGCACAGTGGCTCACACCTGTAATCCCAGCACTTTGGGAGGCCTAGGCAAGTGGATCACTTTGAGGTCAGGAGTTCGAGATCAGCCTGGCCAACATGGTAAAACCCCATTTCTACTAAAAATACAAAAATTAGCCAGGCTTGATGGTGTGCACCTGTAGTCCCAGCTACTCAGAAGGCTGAGGCAGGACAATCACTTGAACCCGGGAAGCAGAGGTTGCAGTGAGTAGAGATCGCCTTACTGCACTCCAGCCTGGGCCACAGAGTGAGAGCCTTTCTCAGAAACAAAAAAGAAAACAAAAACAAAAAAAAAAGAGAGAGAGAGAGAAGAGAGGAAAAGAGTTTTCTGGGAAGATGTCAGAGTATGTGCAAAGACCTGAGGAAATGAAAGAATTAGGTGATTTTTTGTTTGTTTGTTTGTGTGTCTGTTTGTTTTTTGAGACAGAGTCTCGCTCTTGTCACCCAGCCTGGAGTGCAATGACACAATCTCTACTCACTGCAACCTCCGCCTCTCAGGTTCAAGTTGCCTCAGCCTCCCGAATAGCTGGGATTGCAGGCGGGCATCACTACACTCGGCTAATATTTGTATTTTTAGTAGAGACAGAGTTTCACCATGTTGACCAAGCTGGTCTCAAACTCCTGACCTCAAGAGGTCCGCCTGCCTTGGCCTCCCAAAGTGCTGGGATTACAGGCATGAGCCACTGCGCTCAGCTTGGTTTTTTTGTTGTTGCTGTTGTTGTTGTTTTTGTTCTGTTTGTTTGTTTTGTTTAAAGCAAATTGCTCAGGATATTTGGAGACTCGCAGGCATGGTTAAGAGTAACTCAGGAAATTCAGAACTAATGCTGAAGGAAGATCAGTACAGAATGCATAAGTCTAGATTGGTTCCTAAGGCAGGAGGGAGTCATGGAAAGTTTTTGAACCCTCCCACTGGTTAGGCTCCCAGGAAAACAAGACCATTAACATCTGTACAGTCTCCAGTCATATAAATGACTGTTTAAAGGTCCACTGGTAGCTCATACTCTTTTAGCCTAAATATCTGTATCCCTGGTCTTACGCAGCCACTGTTCCATTGCAGCCGAATCTTGGATCCTTTAAAATCCATCACATGAAGCTGCCATCAGGGTTAGTTGTCACTAAGTGAAGTCATCATTTGGCCAGATCTCTACTCCAAATGGACAGAAAATAAGTTCTGTTATCAGGTCAGACCAAACCACTATACCCATCATTGGGGGAGAAGTTTTTACTTGTGTGTATGTGCATGTACATATGCCTGTGACCACGTATTTGGGTGTATGGGTACAGGATGGGTGGGATGTCTGAGTGCCTGCGCATGTGAATGTGGCGCGTGTGTGTGCACGTTCCTGGTGCATTGCACTTGTGCATAAATATTTACTATGTGTGTATCTGCATGTGGACATGCTTGTGTCTGCATGTGTGTGTGCCCAAGCAGAAGCATGCCCGTGTGTACAAGCCTCCACATGTGGCACACACATCTTCAACCTAGCATGTTTTGTTTATTTTTTATTTTATATTTTTTTTTGGAGATGGAGTCTCACTCTGTCAGCCAGGCTGGAGTGCAGTGCCGCGATCTCGGCTCACTGTAACCACTGCCTCCCGGGTTCAAGGAATTCTCCTGCCTCAACCTCCCGAGTAGCTGGGACTACTGGCTCACGCCACCACGCCCGGCTCATTTTTTGTATTTTTTTGTAGAGATGGGATTTCACCATGTTGCCCAGGCTAGTCTCAAACTCCTGAGCTCAGGCAATCCACCCACCCGGGCCTCCCAAAGTGCTAGGATTACAGGCGTGAGCCACTGCACCCAGCTCAACCTAGCATGTTTTGTTGGTGAGGTGCCTAGAGCCTGTGTGTGCCACAGCCAGCCCCGTCCCTTCCTGCTGCACGGCTTCTGTTTGCTCATTAACATGGTCTGCATTGGTTACGCCTGTAGCAACAAGCCTCTGTAGAGAGTGTTAAATATCGCAACGGTTTATTGCTTAATATTTTTCATGCTAATAGCAGGCTAATTCACAGGGATTCAGGGCAGTGTATAAAACACCTTCTGCTGACTGCTCATTTTGTGCCAAGAAAGGACTTGCCAACCAGCAGCCCCTGTCCAGGGCCTCTTTGACTCAGTATGCGATGCCACACTGCCCCCCATTTGGTCTTTCCTGAATGCATTTGCAGCCAAGCTGGGTGCATGGGAAACGGCAATATTGGCATTTCTCTGCTGAGTGAATGGTGGGAGAACGGAAGCTGGAGCTACACTCTGTGGGATCAGTGGATCGAAACTAATTTTAGAAGGGGAAAAAAAAGAGCTGATCTGACAAGAATACCTGGTAAAGACTGCAGTCAAATCATGTTCATGTTTTGGTTGGCCACAGATTCACTGCTCTGGCTGTGGCAAAAAGCTATTTGACCATCACCAGTAAAAAATCATGTGCCTCTCACCTAGAAAACCTCTTACAGCCACAATTTATTTCCTGAGCATTTACTATGTGCTGGCACTGCACTAAGATTTGCATAAGAAGTTCCTTTTTTTTTTTTTTTTTTAGACGGAGTTTCGCTGTGTCACCCAGGCTGGAGTGCAGTGGTGCGATCTTGGCTCACTGCAACCTCCGCCTCCCGGGTTCAAGTGATTCTCCTGCCTCAGCCTCCCGAGTAGCTGGGACTACAGGCACCTGCAACCACGCCAGCTATTTTGTGTGTGTGTGTGTGTGTGTGTGTGTGTGTGTGTTTAGTAGAGACAGGGTTTCACCATGTTGGCCAGGATGGTCTTGATCTCCTGACCTCGTGATCCGCCTGCCTCGGCCTCCCAAAGTGCTGGGATTACAGGTTTGAGCCACTGTGCCTAGCCAGAATTTCCTCATTTAATCCTCAACAATAACTCTTTCAGGCAAATAGTCATGTCTCCATATTAGTGATGAAGAAATTGAAGTTCAGAGAGTTTAAAAGACCCTGACAATCAGCTAGTGACAGTGCTCAGAGCCAACCCCTGGGTCTTCTGACTCCACACCCCAAACACATTACTAATATTCTGCACTGAAGAGGCTGCATATCTGAGCCCAAATTGATCTCATTGATCTCATAGATGTGTTTTGTTTGGCTCACAGAGGTTTTTTTTTATTTTTAGTACTTATTAATATTTAAAAATTGAACAATTACTGATAAAAATTGAGTGTTCCCAACTTTCTTTAAAAATTAGACTGTCTGTTAACACTGAGTTTCAATTCCTGCTTGGCAACCCTTGACCAGAGCTGAGTTTCAGCTGCCTCTTCTATGCAGAGCATGTTGTCTTCAGTTTGCCACACTCCTCACCCCTCCCTATTACCACACCCAGCCCTTTTTATTTATTTATCTTACTGACTCAGCACCTGCCACAACTTTTGAGATCTTTCTTGCAAAGGAAAATCTCCCCTTTTTTAAAGGTGGAAATGAGCCGCAGAAATGATTTCTGTAGATACATATTGTTGGATATTTGCTTAGAGATGGTTACATGATTGAGTTGATGTTTTTAACCAGACAATACAAACCAGAAAAGCAAAGTAGTGGTGAGCAGATTTTAGGGCTACAGAGAGAAGCAAATGATGGAGAAAATATTTACAAATACATATATGTATGAGTTATAATTTTCCCTGCATTCAACATGAAAAGTGTATTATTAAGTCTCATGTAAATATGCAGATAGTCTAAAGACTTAAATCACCTAGTGATTAAACTAAGTTAGAATGGCTAATATCTGGGATATTTGCAAAGCAGCAACATGAAAAATCTTTCTAACTTTTCGCTCTGAATTTCTATGTTGAGTATTTTTGGACTTCAGCAGGCCTCATGTGGCCCAAGGGTAGAAAGGCTGGTCTGAAACCTGCAGCCAAGGGCATAGCCCTGTCTCAGTCAAGGCTGGAAAAATCACCCCATGGCAAGATGGTGCATTGCTTAAGCTTGACGCTGGATGAACATCTTGGGAGAAAAGAAGGGCTCCAGTGGCCTCAGCCTCTATGAGTAAGAACTTCTCTCAGGTTTCTGTGGCTAGAAGATGAGAAAAGGAATGCCTACAGGTCTGAGGGTAATGGCAGGCCCCGCCACTCAGCACAGCAATTGTTACTGTGTAGGAATGTGGTTCCAGCAGTGCTAGAGAGCTTCCAGCTTCTCACAAATGCAGAAATCTCCATTTTACAGGAACTCCCCAAATTATTAAAAGCCAATACATAAAGCATTCCTTGAGGAGTTACTTTGTAAATAATAACAGCTACCTCCTTTGCAGGCCAGGCATGAACTGCATGGGACATGATCATTTAAAAGCCCCACTGTGGCTCACACCTGTAATCCCAGCACTTTGGGAGACTGAGTTGGGCACATCATTTGAGGTCAGGAGTTCAAGACCAGCCTGACCAACATGGTGAAACCCCGTCTCTACTAAAAATACACGAAAATTATCTGGTCATGGTCGTGGGCACCTGTAGTCCCACCTACTCGAGAGGCTGAGGCAGGAGAATCACTTGAACCTGGGAGGCGGAGGTTGAGATGAGATCATGCCACTGCATTCCAGCCTGGGTGACAGAGACATTCTGTCTCAAAAAAATAAAAATAAAATAAAATAAAAGCTCCCATTAAGCAGCCCTTATGCTGTTCCGAGATCTTTACACATATTAACTCACTCATTTGCTCCTCCTAATAACCTTGTGCACTAGGTGCCATTACTGTCATTTCCATTTGACAGAGAAGGAAGATGAGGCATAGAGAGATGACATCACATAGCTAGGAAGTGGCAGAGCTGGGATTTGAACCCAGGAACTCCAGCTCCTAGCTCTGACCCTCAATCACTCTATGGCACCACTCCAGTGAATTTTCACAGCAACCCTTTGAGGTGAGTCTTATTGTCATCCCCATTTAAGAGAAGAAGAAACTGAGGCCAGCGAGGAATGGCCACTTGCCTGAGGTCACAGGGGTCCATCTAACTCCATTGTTGGGGTCTTACTGAACAAGCCTCCTAGTCCTTGCACTAGGCAAGGGGAAAGTGGGGTGAGCTATTAGAGAAGAGTGAAGGAAACATTTTCTAAGAATCCAAATGTCATTTTTTTTTCTCTGATAAGAAAAAGGCTACTCTAGCTGTCAGACTAGAAGCTGTAACCTTTATGTTTACAAAGCAAAAAGGGCAATTAAATGAGACAAAATAAATCTTCTCGGGCTTCCGTCAATGGACCTTGCAGGTCTTCGGTCTGAGGGCTGATTGACAGGACACATTACATTCTGGAGCGGACTCAGCCTCTGACATTTCTTTGATGCAGTACTGAAGCATGAGGCTGGTTTCTTAAAGTCCCCTGCCTTCCATGCTGCAGGGATCGCCAAGATGGAGGGGCAGAAGGAAGGGCATGTGCAGTGCTTGGCTGAGACAGGGAAGTGATGGCCACATTCACAGTGAAGACAACAATCATTATCTCCATGACACTGTGGCAAGTGGCAGCCATTATGGCTTTCTCTGTGCCCAGCACTGTGCTAGAGAATGTCAGCCACATCACTGTCCCTAAGGTGTGTCCTTTTGTGGTTGCCATCTGTCAGGTGCCAGGGCTTGTGATGAATTCTGCACAGCATCACACAGAATGGCTTTATTGGAGATGACAAAACCAAGATCAGAAAGAGGGGACAAGATGTGTCATTCTCTTATCACTCTCAGATAGAGATGTGCTCAGTGGACCCTCTCTGGAGTATGTTCCAGGGAAAGACCTCACTCCATTAATTACTCTCTTTTTTTCTTTTTTTTTAAATTATACTTTAAGTTCTGGGATACATGTGCAGAATTTGCAGGTTTGTTACATATATGTGTCATGGTGGTTTGCTGCACCCATCAACCCATCATCTATATTAGGTATTTCTTCTAATGCTATCCCTCCCCTAGCCCCCCACCCTCCTGACAAGCCCTGGTGTGTGATGTTCCCCTCCCTGTGTCCATGTGTTCTCACTGTTCAACTCCCACTTACAAGTAAGAACATGTGGTGTTTGGTTTTCTGTTCTTGTGTTAGTTTGCTGAGAATGATGGTTTCCAGCTTCATCCATGTCCCTGCAAAGGACATAAACTCATCCTTTTATACAGCTGCACAGTATTCCATGGTGTATATGTGCCACATTTTCTTTATCCAGTCTATCATTGATGGGCATTTGGACTGGTTCCCAGTCTCTGCTATTGTGAACAGTGCTGCAATAAACATACGCGTGCATGTGCCTTTATAGTAGAATGATTTATAATCCTTTGGGTGTATACCCAGTAATGGGATTGCTGGCTTCAGTGGTATTTCTGGTTCTAGATCCTTGAGGATTCGCCACACTGGTAAGTGTGACAGCAGCCTTGACAAGGGAGAAATACAGCCTGACATCAGGCATTCTGGAGTCATCTGGGAAAGGCCCTGGAAAGCTGGGCTTGGGAAAAGCTCCTCCTTCTGGGACGAGAAACCCACATACTCCATCAGAAGGTGAGCTTGGCCCCAGCTCCTCCCTCTGGGCAAGGAAATTCCCCAGTCCTCACTGATTTATTCTCCAGGGTCCATTTTAAACAGTTGTCCTTGGATTCTCAATGATCTCATCTAATCCTTGTGACAGTCCTTCCTAGTTGACACTAGCAGTTCCTATTTTCCATGCTATTCTGCAAAAATAAATAAATAAATAAAACTCAGTTTTTCATTCACATCTCTATGTCTAATCATGAGCATTAGAGATGTGAGATGCAGAACTGAGCAAGAGTTGAACAACTTAGGTTTCAAATGCACGGGACCACTTATATGTGAATGTTTTTCAACCAAATGCGGATGAAAACACAGTATTCCCTGGATGTGAAAGCTGGTTTGGCTGTATCCCCACCCAAATCTCATCTCAAATTGTAGCTCTCACAATTCCCAAGTGTCGTGGAAGGGACCCAATGGGAAGTAATTGAATCATGGGGGTGGGTTTTTCCCATGCTGTTCTCATGATAGTGAATAAGTCTCACGAGACCTGATGGTTTTATAAAGAGGAGCTCCCTGCACAAGCTCTCTATTTGCTTGCCACTATCCATGTAAGACATGACTTGCTCCTCCTTGCCTTCCACCATGATTGTGAGGCCTCCCCAGCCACGTGGAACTGTGAGTCCATTAAATCTTTTCCCTTTATAAATTACCCAGTCTCAGGTATCTCTTTATTACCAGCATGAGAACAGACAGTACATCCACACATACAGAGGGCAGACTTTTCCTATATGCAGTTCTTCAGGGCCAGCTGCAGGTCTTGAGCATGCTGGGATTTGGGTATACACAAGTGATCCTGGAACCAATCCTCTGAATATACTGAGGAATGACTGCAACTGCACAGGGATTAGAATTTGATCCTGATGATTGACTAATCAAATGATCAATGGTTAAATGCTTCTGCCATCTAGAGAAGCACTGTAACACTTAGGCTCAGGGTCAGAGGAGCCTGGGATCCATTCCTGGGTTCTGCATGAATGCGTGTGTGACTCTAGGTAAGCCACTTAATGTTCTGTGCCTCAGTTTCCTCCTCTGTAAATTGCAAATCATATCAGAACCTATCTCATGGGGAAATTGTGAGAAGTAAGATGAGATGGTGTGTGTAAAGTGCATCACAGCACACCTGACATGTAGGTAATATCACTTCCTGCTATTCTGGATGTTGTTGATGCTGATGGAGATGATATTAACCATGGTGATGATGCTGATGACAAAAATAGTGAAGTTGGTGTCCTTCTGCTATCCCATACCACATTCTCTGAGAAAGAACTTGAGCTGGGAAGATGTCTAACAGCTGGTGTTTTGCATTTTCTCAGTAAGACAGGCAATAAAGCCATTTCAGTTGCTAGGCCTGTGGGGTAAGTATGGGGCTTGAAGACAGTTGATTTGGGAAAGTGGAATGAGCTGAGCAGGCACCAGCCTCCTTTCCTGGTTTCCTTTGAGAGCCAGAATTACTGCGGGAACCAGACTGGAATTACTGCTTTTGTAGGACTACTCCTCATACCTGCTGCTGGTGTGGGTTAACAAGCTACCTTGAACCAGCCTAATTACACCCAGCCCTCTCTCTCTTTCAAATGCGACAGATATTCAGGGCAGCACCAAAATCCACCTACCTATGTCCCTGTCACTTCATTGTCTCAGGTTTAGAGGCCAGGAGACAAGATTTCTATAATCCAAGAAGACGAATATTTAGGACTTTAAGTCTGCCTTCTGGCATGTGGTCCATCCAGATGTTTTCTGCCTCGCGGTTCCCTAAAGTAGACCCCATTTGTCATGAAATTGGTAAAGGGCAGGAAGAAGGTGGGACCACCAGTGCATACTTCTAAATCATGGCTGCAGATTCCATTGTGTCCCTCCCTGTTGGAAAGGAGAAGAAAAATGAATAGGAATCTAACACCACTACCCAATGTCTGCTCCAAAGAAGCTATTGTGCTTAGAGGTACTAAAACAGAAGTCAGAAGACCTGGGTTTGACTGTTTGCTTCTCCATGACCTCCTGGATGACCTGGGGCAAATCACTTCCACCCAAAGCTTGCCTTCCTCATGCTCAAAATAGGGTAAAAGTCCCAGTTCTAACCATTTTACTAGGTCGTAATGAACATTAAATGAGATAAAGGATGGTGTGCTGGACATCCAAAAGCTGTAAAGTACTGTGAAAATGCCGTTTAGTAATAGAATGATCTCTCCAGCAGTTACTTAAGGAGGAGAGAGAAACCCATTAGGGAGAAATCCTCCTCACCTAGCAGTCAAGCACAGTCTCAGAAATTCCTATATCTGTACTAAAGTTTCCACCCAACATAAAATAGCACCTTGGGTAATTCCAGGAAAAATATGAGGAACAGGAGGAGGAGGAGAATGATAATGAAGAGTGGTGAGATGAGGTAATGTAACTGTATCAGTTCAGATGTTTTCAGCAGCAAGTAATTGACTCAAAATGGCTTAAATAATGAGACAATTTATATTCTCAAATAAATGCATACCTAGTGGAGACAGAAGGAAGGCCTCAGGTAAACTATGAGACAGGGCTCAACAATACCATCAAAACCCCACGTGTTTTCCATCTTACCCTCTGCCATCCTCAACATACGTAGGTTTCCACAATGAAATACCACCTTACCCCGGTCAGCATGGCCATTATTAAATTAAAAAAAAAAAGAAAACAGATATTGGCATGAATGTGGTGAAAAGGAAATGCTTATCCACTGTTGGTAGGAATGTAAATTAGTACAACTTCTGTGGACATTTCACAAAGAGCTAAAAGTAGATCTACCATTCAGTCCAGCAATCCCACTACTGGGTATCTACCCAAAGGGAAAGATATCATTATGTAAAAAAGACAGCTGCACGTGTATGTTTATTTCAGCACAACTCACAATTGCAAGGACATGGAATCAAACTAAGTGCCCATCAACCAATGGGTAGATAAAAAAATTGTGGTATATATATATATATATTATGGATATAGATATATAATAGAATACTGTTAAGCCATAAAAAAAGAATGAAATAATATCTTTTGAAGCAACTTGGTTGGAACTGGAGGCCATTATCCTAAATGAAGTAACTCAGGAAGGGAAAACCAAACATCACACATTCTCACTTCTAAGTGGGAGCTAAGCTATGGGTACACAAAAGCAGACAAAGTGATATAATGGAAAAGGGAGCCTCAGAATCGGGGAGGCTGGGAGGGAAGTGAGGGATGAAAACTCACCTATTGGGTACAAG
The DNA here is from genome assembly GCF_000001405.40 of Homo sapiens. Lineage (NCBI taxonomy): Eukaryota > Metazoa > Chordata > Mammalia > Primates > Hominidae > Homo > Homo sapiens. Next base: position 26,921,604 of record NC_000016.10, read on the forward strand.
TCACACTGTTTGGGTGATGGGTACACTAAAAGCCCAGACTTCACCATGACAAAATTCATCCATGTAACTAAAACCATGTGTATCCCTAAAGCTATTGAAATGCAATTTTAAAATAAAAAAATAAAATGAAATTATATGTACCCAAAGGAAAATATTCTATTATAAAGATACGTGGATGTGTATGTTCATTGCAGCAATATTCACAATAGCAAAGACATAGAATCAACCCAAATGCCCATCAATGATAGATTAGATAAAGAAAATGTGGTACGTATACACCACGGAATACTATGCAGCCATAAAAAGGAACAAGATTATGTCCTTTGCAGGAACAGAGATGGAGCTAGAAGCTGTTATTCTCAGCAAACTGACACAGAAATGGAAAACCAAACACCTCATGTTCTCACTTATAAGTGGGAGCTGAACTATGAGAACACATGGACACAGGGAGGGGAACAACACACACTGGGCCTGTAGAGGGCAGGGAGTGGGAAGAAGGGGAGCATCAGGAAGAATGGCTAATGGATGCCGGGTTTAATACCTGGGTGATGGGTTGATCTGTGCAGCAAACCACCACAGCACACATTTACTTCTGTAACAAACCTGCACATCCTTCACGTGTACCCAGGAACTTAAAATAAAAGTTGAATAAAAAGAAATTAACAATAAATAAATAAAATAAAATAAATAGCCAAAATATGCATATATACATACCCATAAATGTATATATATGGGTACAGGGTATATACATACACATATATGGGTATTACATGTTTGGGTATGTTCACCTGCCTCCTCATGAACTCAAGATAGCATCACAGGTTCTAAGCTGCATGTCCTGTACACCATAGGAAAAAGAATGAAGAGAATATAGGAAAAATAGCTAACCTCTACTATGTCTCTTTCTATGTCTCCTTGGAAGGGATACCTTTTACCATGTCTGCTTGTAAGTGAGGAAGCTTTTCCCAGGAGAACGCAGCAACTCTCCCTCATATGTTTCATTGGCCAGAACTGGGTTCTTGTTCACTGACAAAGGGAAAGGAATTCCCAAGTCTGATCTTGACCTGTGTTGTTCAATGCCATACCTACTAGTCGCATGTGACTATTTTTTAAATTGAAATATAACTTACATACTGAAAAAATACATTATGTTAAAATGTACAATTTCACATTTTTTGTATATTCACAAGGTTGTGCAACTGTTACCACTATCTAATTCTTGAACATTTTCATTGTCCCAAAAAGAAACCCTATACCCGTTCCCTCTTTCTCCCCAGCTCCTTGTGATCGCTAATGTTATTTTTTGTTTCTGTGGATTTGTTTATTCTAGACATTTCATGTAATTGGATTCTTGTAACATGTGTTTTTATGTCTGGTTTATTTCATTTGGCATAGTTTTTCCAAGGTTCATCCATGTTGTAGCATGTATAGGTACTAATTTCTTTTTATATTCTATTATATAGATAAACTACCTTTTAAATATGTCACATTGATCAGCTAATAGACATTTAGGTTGTTTCTGTTTTTTATCTTTTATGGATAGTGCTGCTGTGAACATTCACATATGAGATTTTGTGTGACTATGTTTTCAAGTCTCTCGGGTATATACCTCACAGTGGATTACTGGATTTGCTGAATCATGTGGCACCTCTATATCTAACTTTTGGAGGAACTGCCACACTGTTTTCCAAAGCAGCTGCACCATTTTACATTCCCACCAGCAATGTATGAAGGTTCCAATTCTCTACATCCCTGCCAATACTTGTCCATCTTTATGTTTTTATTTTTTTAGCCACTGATTCTCATTCTGTCACCCAGGCTAAAGTGCAGTCACACGATCCTAGTTCACTGCAGCCTCAATCTCCCAAGCTCAAGCAATCCTCCTACCTCAGCCTCCCGAGTAGTTGGAACTACAGGCACACGTCATCACACCCGGCTAGTTTAAAAAAAATTTTTTTGTAGAGATGGGGTCTCCTTATGTTACCCTGGCTGGTTTCAAATTCATGGGCTCAAATGATCCTCCTGCCTCAGCTCCCCAAAGTGCTGGGATTACAGGTGTGAGCCATTGTACCCAGCCCTCCATATTTTTTATTATAGCCAATGTTATTGTTTAATTTTAAATAATTTAAGTTAATTAAAATTAAAAAAAAATTTATTTTTAATTCATCAGGTGGCTAGTGGAATGTCAGGGTTTAATTCCACTAGCCACATTTCAAGTACTCAAGGGACTGGTTTCTGTCTCACCTGTCTTGAAGCTCAGACAGAAATAGGGGGATAGTTTGGATCACAGGCTAGAAGTTTTAAAAGGCAGTGGTGACTATCAAGACACGTAAAGCAAACTGCAGGCCCATGGACAGCTAGGGCAAGAGACTACAGGCAGAGGACTACAACAGAACACCTAAAGCCCTGAGAAGAAGCTTGGGTGAGACTCTTTGGGAAACTAAGACATTAAAAAGCTGCTGGAGCTGGGTGTTGTGGCTCACGCCTATAATCGCAGCACTTTGGGAGCCTGAAGGGGGCAGATCTCTTGAGCCCAGGAGTTAAAGACTAGCCTGGGCAACGTAGCAAAACCCCATCTCTAAAAAAATACGTAAATGAAAAATAAAGAAATAAAAGCTGCTAGGAGAAATTGAGGGGAAAAGAACACACAAAAATCCAGACAGAACACATGCCGAGAATAGACCTGAGAAGACTGTAAACCTTCACCCAGGGTTGATCTCAAGGCTCAGGGAGCCACTAATTAATAAAGATCTTCTTTGCTGGTGTGCAAAGACTGGAAGGGTTGCTGTTTTTCAAATGCCCAATTGTATTACCCCATTTCATTGACTCACAGTTCTGCATGGCTGGGGAAGCCTCAGGAAACTTACAACCAGACAGAAGGGGAAGCAACCACATCCTTCTTCACATGGTGGCAGGAAAGAAAAGTGCCAAGGAAATGGGGGAAATGTCCCTTATAAAACCGTCAGATCTCTTGAGAACTCACTCACTATCACAAGAACAGCATGGGAAAACTACCTCCACGATGTAATCACCTCCCACAAGGTCCCTCCTCCAACACGTAAAGATTACAATTTGGATTACAATTCAAGATGAGATTTCGGTGGGGATACAGAGCCAGACTATATCACCAATATTCAACAAAAGACCACAAAGCATACAAAGAAAGAGGGAAGCATGGCCCATTCAAAGGAACAAAATTTGTCTCCAGAAACAGTCTCTGAAGAAACAAATGCATTGGACTTACTAAATAAAAACTTTTAAACAACTGCCTTAAATATGCTCAAAGAACAAAAGGAACAAGGACAAAGAACTGAAGAAAATCAGGAAAAACATATCTGAACAAAAGGAAAATATTTACAAAGTGATAAAAATAACAAAATAGATCCAAAAAGAAATCCTGGACTGAAAAATAGAGTAACTAAATTGAAAAAATCACTAGAAGAATTCAACAGCAGGTTCAAATAGGCAAGAAAAAAATTCAGCGAACTGAAGATGAGTCATTTGAAATTATCAAATCTGACAAGCAAAAAGGAAAAAGAATAAAGGAAAGTGAACAGACCAGAAAGTACTTACAGGACACCATCAAGTGGACCAATGTGCACATAATATGCATGTTATGGGAGTTTCAGAAGGACAAAAGAAAAAGTAGAAGAGAACTTATTAGAAGAAATAATGTCTGAACACTATTCACAATAGCAAACACATGGAATCAACTTAAATGCCCATCAGTGGTAGACTGGATAAAGAAATGTGGTACATATACACCATGGAATACTATGCAGTCATAAAAAAGAAAAAGATCATGTTATTTGCAGGAACATAGATGGAGCTGGAGGCCATTATCCTTAGCAAACTAACACAGGAACAGAAAATCAAATACCACATGTTCTCAAAAGTGGGATCTAAGTGATGAGAACACGTGGACACATAGAGGGGAACAACACACACTAGGCTCTACCAGAGGATGGAGGGTAGGAGAAGGGAGAAGATCAGAAAAAATAACTGATGGATACTAGGCTTAATACCTGGGTGGCAAAATCATCTGTACAACAAACTCTTGTGACATGCGTTTTCCTATATAACAAACCTGCACACCTACCCCTGAACTTAAAATAAAAGTTAAATTCAGAAAAAAAGAAATATAATTTATTTTAAAAAATAAAAACAAATTTTAAAAGTATATAATGGCTGAAAACTTCCTAGATTTAAGGAAAGAAATGGATATACAAATACAAGAAGCTTAATAACCTTTTAAATAAAGGACCCACACCAAGATACATTATAACCAAACTGTTTAAAGATAAAGAGAGAATCTTGGAAGCTGCAAGATAAAAGTGACTCATCATATAAGAGATCCCCATGCAACTGTCAGCAGACTTCTCAGCAGAAACCTTGCAGGCTAGAGGGCAGTGGAACCATATATTTAAGTGCCCAAAGGGAAAAAAAAAAAACTCAACTAAGGTGTTATATCTGGCAAACTGTCCTTCAAAAATAAGAGAAAAATTAGGACATTACCACTAGCACTGCACTACGAGAAACACTAAAGGGAGTCCCTCAAGTTGAAATAAAAGGACACTTCACAGTAACTCAAAGCTATATGAAAATATCAAGTTCTCTGGTAAAGGTAAATACATGGACAAATATAAAAAAGAGGATTATTATAATTTTGGTTTGTAACTCCACTTTTTATTTTCTACAAGATTTAAAACACAAATGCATAGAAATAACTATAAATCTATGTTAATGAGTATACAATATATAAGATGCAATGCATGATATCAATAACACAAAATGGGGGATGTGAAGTTGTAAAAAAGTAGGGGTTTTATATGCGACTGATGTTAAACAGGTATAAATTTGAAATAAATTATCATGATAGGATTTTATATGTAATCCCCAGGGTAACCACAAAGAAAATAGCTATAGAACATACACAACAGTAAATGAGAAGAAAATCAAAACATGTCTGCTATGGTATGAACATGTGCCCCAAAATGCATGGGTTGGAAACACAGTTCCCAATGCAACAGTGTTGGTAGGTGGGGCCTCAGGGGAGGTGTTTAGGTCATGAGGGTTCTGCTATTGCTATAAAAAAGGGCTTGCAGGAGTGAGTTTACTTACTGTCTTCTGTTCTTCTGCCATGTGAGGACAAAGAGCTTCCCAAACTAAAAGAGAGATAATCAAAGCAGAGTAATCAATGGACCCTGGAGCTTGTGTGACCTGAAGCCTACCTCCTGACATCACTAACACAGTAATAGCAAAACCAAGTGATAAGAGTCTGCATGGTATGTCTGGGGGAAGCTGGAATCATCAGATTGTGAAAGATTCTCTTGTCTAGCTTGGCTATTGAGCGCTTGCTAGACCTCAAGGGGTCACTCAGGCAGAGATAATGAACACTTCATCATCTGTCTTCCTCATGATTGGTTGACATGGTTTGGCTGTGTCTCCACCTAAATCTCATTTTGAATTGTAGTTCCATAATTCCCATGTGTCATGGGAGGGACCTGGTAGGAGGTAAATGAATCATGGGGGGGAGGTTTTTTCCCATGCTGTTCTCGTGACAGTGAATAAGTCTCATGAAATCTGATGGTTTTGTAAAGGGCAGTTCCCCTGGACACAATCTCTTGCCTGCTGCCATGTAAGACATGCCCTTGCTCCTCTTTAGCTTTCCGCCGTGATTGTGAGGTCTCTCCAGCCATGTGAAACTGTGAGCCCATTAAATCTCTTTTTCTTTATAAATTACCCAGTCTTGGGTATGTCTGTATTAGCAGTGTGAGAACAGACTAATACACTGGTCAAGCAGTGGATGGGCTTCTTGGGGACCAGTTGGCTTCCCTAAATCCCTTGACACCATGTAAGATCTCAGAACATGAGATAATCTCAGGGACCTACTTTACAGGAATTCCTAAAATGGTTACATTAAAGTTGAAATTAAAGAGCTCACGTTCAGGAATCAAGTTAAGCAAAAAATAAGTTAGCTTTCTTGCACATTTGAGTTCATGGGTTGGAATTTGTACCTGCCATATGATTAAATCGCTACTATCTTTCCTCTTTGTCCCAGAATAAATACCAATCTCTTAGCTCATTATTAAAACTCCCTCAACAGTCTGGCTTCTATCCCTCCCAGGCTGATGTCTCACCACTCCCAATTGTTAACACACCTTCCAGGGCTGGGCACAGTAGCTCAGGCTGTAATCCCAGCACTTTGGAAGGCTGAGGCAGGAGGACTGCTTGAGCCCAGGAGGTCAAGGCTGCAGTGAGCTATGATCATGCCACTGCACTCCAGCCTGGGTGACAGAGCAAGACCCTGTCTCAAAAAAGAAAGGAAGAGAGAAAGAAAGAGAGAAAGAAAGAAAAGGAAGGAAGGAAGGAAGGAAGGAAGGAAGGAAGGAAAGAAGGAAGGAAGGAAAAGAAAGAAAGTAAAAGAAAGAAGGAAGGAAGGAAGGAAAAAAGAGAAGAAAAGAAAGAAGGAAGGAAGGCAAGAAGGAAGGAAGGAAGAGAAAAAAGGAAGGAAGGAAGGAAAGAAAGAGAGAAAGAGAGAGAAAGAAAGAAAGAAAAGGAAGGAAGGAAGAAATGAAGGAAGGAAAGAAAAGAAAGAAAGAGGAAAAGAAAGAAGGAAAGAAGGAAGGAAAAAAGAGAAGAAAAGAAAGAAGGAAGGAAGGAAGGCAAGAAGGAAGGAAGGAAAGAAAGAAAGAACAGAAAGAAAGAGAGAAGGAAAGAAAGAAAGAAAGAAAGAAAGAAAGAAAGAAAGAAAGAAAGAAAGAAAGAAAGAAAGGAAAGAGAGAGAGAGAGAAAGAAAGAAAGAAAGAAAGAAAGAAAGAAAGAAAGAAAGAAAGAAAGAAAGAAAGAAAGAAAGAAAAAGAGAGAGAGACCAGGCGCGGTGGCTCACGCCTGTAATCCCAGCACTTTGGGAGGCAGAGACGGGTGGATCGCGAGGTCAGGAGATTGAGACCATCCTGGTTAACACAGTGAAACCCCGTATCTACTAAAAATACAAAAAAATTAGCCAGGCGTGGTGGCAGGCGCCTGTAGTCCCAGCTACTCGCGAGGCTGAGGCAGGAGAATGGCGTGAACCCACGAGGTGGAGCTTGCAGTGAGCCAAGATCGCGCCACTGCACTCCAGCCTGGGTGACAGAGCGAGACTCCGTCTTAAAAAAAAAAAAAAAGAAAGAAAGAGGAAGGAAGAAGGAAGACCTTCCAGCAATACTAAATTATTTGTATCCCCCAGAGGTTCAAGTCATGCTCCCTCCTACCTCCAAGCCAAGCCTTTGTGCACATTATTTCTTTTGGCTGGAATGCCCTTACACACTGAGGCCACTCTGAGAATTTCCATTGTCTTTCAAAAATCAGCTTGAGAATGACACCAACCCATGACCCAGGATGATTTAGGGGCTCCTCTTCGATGCTCATACAATTGACACCGTTGTCATATCATATACTAGGGTCTATTGCAATCGTTGGTTTACACAGCCATCCCCACCACTCCATTATGAGCCTTCATTACAGGAATATTTTTCTCATTTCTTTCATCCTATGTCCAGCATCCCATGAGCCAACACGGCTCCTCACCAATGTTGGAGGAATAAATAAGTGAATAAAATGAATGACATCTCCATGTGCCTTAAGATAGCAATTTGCTAATCTATGAAAGCAGGCTAGATAATAATAGCTCAACATTCTGTGACACCGTGAATTTGCATTTGGTTGATAGAGTCATTAATGGAGATTCAAAGTAAAATTTTTTTAAAATCCCATTCAATAGTGGGCAAAGGATGTGAACAGACGTTTCTCAAAAGAAGGCGTAGATGTGACCAAGAAGCATATGAAAAAGAAAAGCTCAATATCACTGATCATTAGAGAAAAACACATCAGAACCGCAATGAGATACCACCTCACGCCAGTCAGACTGGCTATTACAAAGTCAAAAAATAACAGATGCTGGCGAGGTTGCAGAGAAAAGGGAACGCTTATACACTGTTGATGGGAGTGTAAATCAGTTCAACCATTATGGAAAGCAGTGTGAGGATTTCACAAGGGGCTAAAATCGAAACTCCCGTTCAACCCAGTAATCCCATTACTGGGTATATACTGAAAGCGGTACCTGTGCAGGTTTGTTATATAGGTAAACTCGTGTCTGGGGGTTTGTTGTACAGATTGTTTCATCACGCAGGTACTCAGCCTAGTACCCAATAGTTATTTTTTGTGATCCTCTCCCTCCTGCCACCCTCCACCTTCAAGTAGGCTCCGGTGCCCATTGCTTTCCTCTATGTCTCCATGTGTTCTCATCATTTGGCTCCCACTTATGAGTGACAACATGCAGTATTTGGTTTTCTGTTCCTGTGTTAGTTTGCTAAGGATAATGGCCTCCAGCTCCATCCATTTTCCTGCAAAGGACATGATATTCTTTTTTATGGCTGCATAGTATTCCATGGTGTATATGGACCATGTTTTCTTTATCCAGTCTGCCACTGATGGGCATTTAGATTGATTCCATGTCTTTGCTATTGTGAATAGTGCTGCACATATGTAAGTATGTGACTTTACGGCAGAGTGATTTATATTCCCTTTGGACAGACCATTGTTTAATTTCAACTGTCACCAGTGCTAGAAAAGAAGGGTACAGGTTGCTATGAGAACATACAATTTGGTCTGGAACATCTCCTTGAGGAACTTACAATGAAGCTGGAAACATAATGTTGAGCAAGGCTTAGCCAGGTGAGAAAAGGGAAGAGGAGCGAGACCACAGAAGCTGCCCGCGCAAAGTCCCTGGGGCTGGAAAGAGGTTGACAGAGTCAGTAGCCTGGTGAGCCATGGAAAGAGGACTAGGCTGGGAGGTGTATTTAAATCAGTATACTCCAGATGAGAAGTTTAAAAAATTCTGTATCTTATTTTATTAGAGATAGAAAATCTCTGTAAAGCAGCCAAGACTTTTATTTTACCCTTTCTACCCTATTCTCATATAATTCAGACGTCAAATAGCCATTTCCTACCCTGCCTCAAGGCACCTCACCTGGAGCATCCCTGAAACTCTGTCAATTACAGCAGTCCACTTATTAATTCCTCCACCGGCAGGGTTTCCCCCGAAAGGCAGGCCCAGGCACCTTGGGGGACTGAATGTGAAGTTGAGCTATTATAACACACTGCCAGACGCTGCTGGACTATTTGAGACCACTGATGAGATCTTGCTGTTCCATGAGCAGTTAATCTGCAATATCTGAAGGTCTTTCTCGTTCAAAGGGGGTGAGGTATGTTTAAAAAAAAAAGAAAAACACCCTGCCACTCAAACTTTTTCCAAGCTTGCTGTCACAGTGGGCTCTGTCCCTCTCTCTATTGATACAGTTTGAACACTGTCAACAGTACCAGCAAGACCACCCCCCTCCACCCGGCTGCCGTAGCGACCTCCATTATTTATGACAGAGCGTGAAATTGATTGTGGTTGAAAGATCCACACTAGAATCAAATGAACTCCTCAATTATTGCTGCATGAATAAATCCCTGCTTCCAGATTTCCCCTGGGGAGCAGGCATCTAACCCCACTTTCGAGGTAACAGGTATTTCCAGATGAAAAATACAGGTGACTCTATTGTAATGATTGTCAAGTTATAAGATTCCCAGGGTGAAGTGATTCTTTCTCTCCCTCTCCATCCTTCTTCCTTTAACAATTTAGAAGAAAACGTGTTCTAACAATCTTCTCATTGTGTGCCTACGCGGCCTTCTCCTGGCTGCTGGGTACATGACAGATATTTCCATACTGTGGGCTTTGGTCATTTCCAATCCTTTTTCACAGGAAATATGCAGTGAGTGTTAATGGGGTTATAGAAAGATTAATAGAGCTTTCAGAGTCTTCGGGCCTGGCTGGTATTTCTTCTACAAAAAGCCAACAGCTCAGGAAAATTTAATGATGAGGCTTAATCCATTAAGACAACAAAAAGACAACCTCCACCCATCTCCAGCTTAATCTTATTTCTCTTCCTGATCATACAAAGGCTTCCTGGCTAGGGGAGAGAGGGACAGAACTCAGGGGAGCTGAAGGCTTATTGCATACCAGGCCCTGAGCTGGGCACATTCACAAATATCGATGATCAAAAACCAATGATCATGGGCCATATTTGACCCACAGATGCATTCTGCTTGGTATGCCCAATGGTTTGGGAAAATACGAGTTTGTAAATTTTACACACAAAACCTAGCTTTCCTTGAAATGCCAGGAGATCTGGCCAGATGGTACCATGTAGCCCCAGTGAGTGGGAGCTGAGGAGTGTTGCCTCCTTTTGGTGGCAAAGGGCAAGGACCCTCTAATATGCCTTAGTCACTGTTCAGCCCAGTTCATTAATTTAGCTAACCAGGCCCTATAGGGATTTGATCGTGTGTGCCCTGACACTTGCCATGTCACTGAGGTTGACACTGCTACCAAGTAATTTCCCATAGTAGCTGTGACCACATGCTGTCCCAGTGCAAGGAAGAGAAGACTGAGGCGAGGCTGTCTTTGAATGTATATACTTCATGGTAACTTCTAACAGCCAGAACCATGTCTGCAGCCTAACTAAAAATTAAAAGTCTGTCTTTATTTTTTTTTTATTACAACATTTTATCACTGCCTTCTACTTCCAGACTCTCCTCTCTCTCTAATGGCCCACATCTCACAGACTGGTTTGGAATTGCTGGGATAGAGAAACCAGAAAAAGAAAGTAAAGGAACTACATTCACAAGACTTTGGGCACATGCATGCCTGCTATGAGGCCCAGGGGACTAATCAAGTTATCTGGAGAGAAGGATGGATGCAACCTGACATTGTGATCTTCATCCATCAATTCGGAGGTCCCATTCTCACCATTCACATCCAGAAATCTTTCCACTTTCTTGATGAATGTTGGCATTTTGTGCTGTGCAGTACCTTCTATCCATGCAGGAAATGGTGAGGTTTCCAGCTGTCTCTAGATCTTAGTATCTATGACCAAAGGTTTCACTTGCATCCTGCCTTGTGATTATTATCAATGGATTCACCTACTAACCATATTGCACAAGACCATGTGGTGTTATTTTCTCTATGTCATGCCAATCATCAGTTTCAAGAACAAAAGCATGGTAAAGTCAGATCAATTAAAATCCACCATGAAGTCAAATACACGATTCATATACAAAAGACAAGTAGGCAACGTTGTAATTGCCAGTCACTCATGTAGACATGAGTTTTTTAAACATGTCCAGGTGAATTTGCTCTTACATAGCCCTCTGGATCATGTGTTTTCAAAGGAGACTGATTATAGTGACTATCCATGGCTGGACTAAGGACTCAGGCACAGGCAATGACCATCATATGTGGGCTGCTGGGCAGGTGCCTTGGAAAGAATCCTGTCCAATAGGGGCATTCCATGACATATGGTGGCATCCCGAGTCAATCAAACCCTCTCTTCTGAGCCAGTTAATACTAAAGGAGCAAAGAGGAAACATGTCACTGGACTTCAGACTGTCACATCTAGTGGTACAAATCTCTTGTACCTGTTCTAGGTGAAGCCTGTCATGCATCTGTCTCTAACAATAGCTGAGATCCAAGAGAACAGTGCAGCTCAAGGTGTGAGATCCCGCTTTCTACTTTTCCCTTAATCAGCCTATAAATGCCAGTTTTACCACCCACTGAACTTAAGTTCTCCTAAATCTTGGCACTCTGAGTCTTACCTGCTTTGCCCAGCAGTGAGTTTGGTCTTTCCCCTGATTTCTCCTACCCAAATGTCTCTGAGAAGTGTCAAAGATCCCGACACTTGTCTATACGTCAGTCCTGCTCCCGTTCTCCATCTGCTAGTGAAGCAGGAATCACAGAAGTCCTGGAACCCAGAACCCAGATGATGCAGTTTCTGGCCTGGTGACAGCCTATGGAGGCTTCAACTGCCCTTAATGTCTCAAGAGCTCTTGATCCTGCCACCAGGTGGAGAAGGAAATCTGCAAACTTCACCAGTTAAGCCAGCCAAGACCTCACAGTTTAAGCCTAGCAGCTGCTTCACCAATAGCTATGGTTCCTCCAACTTAGTGGCTCTGTTGCAACTGACATAAATTCAACTAAGTGAGTGAGAAGGAGAACACTGCCTACCATCAAATACGGTTGTGATGGATCCTCCAGCAAATGGTTCAAATTAGAAGCAACAGAGTCAGTTATTCATAGAGCAATTATTTCAGTACAGACACTCATGCACACACACAGACACACACACACCACACACACACAAACACAGAGAGAGCATCATTTTCCCAAGGAGAGGTCTTGACCAGCAGCACCAGCTAGGTGAAGATGGCAACAGCCATCCAGTGCTCCAAGAGTAAACACACCCTTCCTAAAGTGTTCCAGTTATTTAGTGAGCCACCAGCATAGTAGTGCTACCAGGTTTCAAGTGTGTCATGTTCTCCAGCTTTCTGGAAGAGGATAGCCAGATTAGATGTTTGCTGGAAGAGATTTACAACCCCAAGAAACCTGGTTGGGCCCAGGCTTTCCAAGGTGACATCAACACAGCTCTTTCACTGTCTTCCCCTGCCTCTCTCTTGGGACCTCAAAAACATTTTAAAAGGCCAGGAGGGGGAATGACACCATTCCATTCCTACACTCTGATGCCCCAAAATTTCCAACTCAAACCTACAAATGCCCATGGATATTACCTCTAGCACCAAGAAGTTACCTGTCTACCAAGAAATTTACAAAGAAATTCACAACCCCAACCATACTGTGGATTAAACTTCCACTACAGAAAGTAATCAGCATGTTCTTTTCTTTGCTCCCTTATTGATTTGACTAAAATATATATAGTATATGCCTTACATATTTATATTCTATGGATTTTCTTCCAAACCAAGAACTCTCCATTCTAGTTCTCATCCTGTCATCCACAAGTCTTCCCAAGGGTAGATGGGCAACAGAAAAAAATACTTCCATCAATTTTCTAACTTTTCTTATACATCACTCCCCTTATCTTGCCCCCCAACTACTATGAAGACCTAAGCACCAGAGGGCTTTTTTTTTCCTTTTTGAATACAAGGTCTCATTCTGTCACCAAGGCTGGAGTGATGCAGTGGCTCTGTCATAGCTCACTGCAGCCTTGAACTCCTGGGCTCAAGCAATTCTCCTGCCTCAGTCTCTCAAGTAGCTGGGACTACAGGCACATGCCATCATGCCTGGCTAATTTATTTTATTTTGTAGAGACAGGGTCTCACTTTGTTGCCCAGGCTGGTCTTGAACTCCTGGCTTCAAGCAATCCTCTCACCTCAGCCTCCCAAAGTGCTGAGATTATAGGTGTGAGCCACCATGCCTGGCCCAGAGTGTCCTTAATGATATTTCTTAAGAGTTTGCTTCTGCCCTGGAATTGGATGATGTTCTCTTCTTCAAAGCTGATGTTTCTCACACTTTGGGAGGCCGAGGTGGGTGGATTACGAGGTCAGGAGATCGAGACCATCCTGGCTAACACGGTGAAACTCCGTCTCTACTAAAAATACAAAAAATTAGCCGGGCGAGATGGCGGGCACCTGTAGTCCCAGCTACTCGGGAGGCTGAGGCACGAGAATGGCGTGAACCCAGGAGGCGGAGCTTGCAGTGAGCCGAGATCGCGCCACTGCACTCCAGCCTGGGTGACAGAGCGAGACTCCATCGCAAAAAAAAAAAAAAACCTGATGCTTCTCTTCTTCAATTCTTTTGCCACATTTCAACAAATACTCACCAATTTCTACTCCATGACAGCCCCATAAAACTGCTGCCTCTGCTACTAACTAGCTGTGTGACTGTGGGCAAGTTATTTAACCTCTCTGTGCTTAATTACATCTTATGTAAAATGGGGGTAAAAAGAGCAACTATCATAAGATGGTTATGGGTATTGAGTACATCATTATATGTAAAGTGCTTAGAACAGCACCTAGCACACATGTAGGTGCTTTTTAAGTGTTTTCATCCTTTTGCTTTTTAGGAGCTCATAGTCAAGTGCAGAAGAGGGAGGGATACAGAGTTGTGCATGAAGTCAAGGAAACCTGAGGGGGGCTCCCAACCCAGCCTTGGAGGAAGGGGAGAAGGTGGATCTGTGAAGGAATCTTAGATCCTACAGAAGTGACTCAAACTGAATCCTTAAACAAGAGTAGGACTAAGTCAGGAGGATGGTGCTAGGAAGTGCATTTTTGGCAGGGGGAACAGCTGTGTAAAAAAGCTCAGAGGCAGGGAGGGGCCTGGAGAGCTCCTGGAATGACAAAACGCAGCCTGGCAGGAACACAGAGTTTCCTGTGGGGAGTTGGGAAGAAGGGAAAAGTCCGGAGTTGCTATGGGACCCAGACTGTGAAGGGCTCTGTACGCCATGCTTCATGCCTGGCTCTTATCCTGAGAGCAAGAGGAGATACTGGAAGGGCCTAAGTTGGGCAGTGGCATGGTCTGATGGACATTTTAGCAAGACCACACTGCGTGTAGTGCAGAGAGTTAGAAGGAGTGACCCTGGTGACAGGGAGGCCAGGCAGCATGCTGGAATGACACCCAGATGGAGGTAAGAAGGGCTGAGTAATAAAGAGGTTGAGCACTTTCCAGCACTTTCAAGCCCTAGCTGTCTTTCCAGCTTTCAGGCAGCTTTGAACCTTGACAAAATTTCTCTCGTAATTTCTCTTCCGTAATCAGAAATATTGGGGAAGGGGCCAGGGCACACTTAAAAGCAGAGGTTCAGAATCCCAGCGTGTGACTACAGATATGTTGATGCCTGCTTTTCCGATAAGGAAACTGAGGCACAGACAGACTAAAGTGACTTGCCCAAGGTGACACAGTTGATGAGTTAAAGAACCAGGAGAAAAATTGCCAGGGTACAGGTTACTAATCTCAAGTTGGTGTTGTGTGAGGTATTTCCACCAACTTTAAGTCTTGCAACTCTCTTAGGAGGTCTTAGGAGTATTTCCAGTTCACAGATGGAGGAACTGAGGCCCTGAGCACTGGGAATCTCAGCACACAGAAACAAGTCGTAATATTCAGGATCACAGCCAACGTTCATCACTGAGCACTCAGTGAGTGTCAGGCATCACAGGTAGGTTTTACACGTGTGAACTCATCTACTCCTCACAGAAACCCTCTGATATAGTTTGGCTGTGTCCCCACCCAAATCTCATATTGAATTATAGCTCCCATAATTCCCCTGTGTTGTGGGAGTGACCTGGTGGGAGATAGTTGAATCACGGGGGTGATTTTCCCCATGCTGTTCTCATGGTAGCAAATAAGCCTCACTAGATCTGATGGTTTTATAAACGGTTTCCCCTTTTGCTTGGCTCGCATTCTTTCTTGTCTGCCACCATTTAAGACGTGTCTTTTGCCTTCCAACATGATTGTGAGGCCTCCCTAGCCATGTGGAACTGTGAGTCCATTAAACCTCCTTTTTTTGTTCTGTTTTGTTCTTTTTGAGACAGAGCCTTGCTCTATCCCCGAGGATGGAGTGCAGTGGCATGATCTCAGCTCACTGCAATCTCTGCCTCCCAGGTTCAAGCAATTCTCATGCCTCAGCCTCCCAAGTAGCTGGGATTACAGGTACCCGCCACCACGCCCAACTAATTTTTGTATTTTTAGTAGAAACAGGGTTTCACCTTGTTGGCCAGGCTGGTCTCAAACTCCTGACCTCAGGTGATCCACCCGCTCAGCCCTCCAAAGTGCTGGGATTACAGGCGAAAGCCACCACGCCCGGCCTAAACCTCTTTTTCTTTATAAATTACCCAGTCTCAGGTATGTTTATTGGCAGCATGAAAATGGACTAATACACCCTCTGGGAAGGAGACCAAAGACAGAGCGGATAAGCCACTCACCTGAGGCCACACAGTAAGTGCTGAAGGTGAGACTTTTGCCCAAGCTGCCAGACCCCACAGCCCATACTCCTCAGGACTCTGCTAATCTGGCTTTCATGAACAGAGTCCATGTTGCAGCGGGAACAGTTGGGGCTTGAGGGCTGACCTAAGTTCTCCGCTCACGTTTTTCAGCTGTCACACTCGGGATATCCACTGCCAACTTCACGGGCATGTTTCTGGGCAAGGAGCCCCAAGTGGTAGGTTTGGGCTACTAGGCGCTTCCCTGGAAGACCATGAAGAGCATTCAGAATTCAAATCGCAAAGCTGGAAATGCCAGTTCAGTCAGTAAATGCCTGCCTAGCCTACAGAAAAAATGGGGAAATTTGAAGTTAAAGAGCCAATGTGTCCTATTTTTCAAATATGAAACCCAACACCCAGACAACAACAAGACTTAATCTGGATTTCCCAGACTTTGCATCCTTCTATAGTCCTCATTCTTTTTTTTTTAATTTAATTTTTGTTATTATACTTTACATTCTGGGATACATGTGCAGAATGTGCAGGTTTGTTACATAGGAATACATGTGCCATGGTGGTTTGCTGCACCCATTAACTCATCATCTAGGTTTTAAGCCCCACATGCATTAGGTATTTGTCCTAATGCTCTCCCTCCCCAGCCCCCCAACCCCTGACAGGCCCCAGTGTGTAATGTTCCCCCCGCTGTGTCCATGTGTTCTCACTGTTCAACTCCCACTTATGAGTGAGAACATGTGGTGTTTGGTTTTCTGTTCCCATGTTAGTTTGCTGAGAATGATAGTTTCCAGCTTCATCCATGTTCCTGCAAAGGACATGAACTCATTCTTTATTATAGCTGCATAGTATTCCATGGTGTATATGTGCCACATTTTTACTAGCTCAGGATTCACGGCAAGCCCATTTCATTCATTTGCCTGCATGGTTCCAAGCCCTAGTTAGTTTGTTATGGCAACAGAGCAGTCATTCTTGCTGTTAGCCACTATTTGTGGTTTCCTCCTTCAAAAGACTAAGTTCATTGAACTTCCCAACTCCTCCAACTTAAATGGGGCCAGGTGATTTCCTTCATGTAGTGAAATGTGAGAAGTTACCTGTGACTCCCAGATAGAAGAAGCCTTTAAGATCCAGTGTGAAATCCACCATATTTCCTTCCCTTCCTTGGTGATTGGAAGCAGCCCAGGTGCTGAAAACTTCATCCATCAACTGGAGTACCAGAGTGAGGATGACATGGGGAGTTCAGCTCCAACTGGACCCATGATGGGCACACAGTGTGAGCAAGAAATTAACCCTTGTCACTTATGATGGCAGCATGACCTGGCCAATCCCAAAGGATATGAGGAGGGGCATGATACAGAGAAAACAAGCTGCCCCTGACCTCAAGGTAATGGTAGGCCAGTCCATAGAAAGACCAGTACATAAATAACAGTACATATGGCCCCTGTCCAACCTCTGAGGGTCTATCTCAAGCAGTATGCTTTCTCCTACACACAAGCACTCATTTACCAACCCATGCACCCCTGGGGAACTGTCTGGGAGGAGGTCATGAGTATGTGAGTGCCCTTCTCCAAGGGAGGAACTAGCTCCCCTCCAAACCTTATTTCCTGAAAACCACACTGAAAGGATATGTGGCCCATCTGGAAAACTCATTGTTCTCTAGCCGGGTGCTTTGGCCCTATTTATCCTTGAGTCAGGAATCACCCTGTGGGCAGCTGTACAAACTCCAAGGGAAATGGGATATCGATTTTCACTCCCTCAGATCTCACACACACACACACACACACTCTCACAGCCTCCTCCAGAGCAGTGTGGCTTCCAACCTTTTTGTCACCAACACCTTGGTCTTTTTTCTCCTTTCGGCTTCATGTTTAGAAAGACATTTCCCCCAAAACAGTTGGAATGTAGTAAGTAATATTTCTTTCTTCCAACCAGGTAATACTCCCTTTTCTTTGAACGTCATTACAGATTTTAATATGCCATCCTTTGTCAACAATTGGTCTTTATTTTGCTCTGTGTCTGTGACTAATAAACTCAATGTTCTCTGTTAGTGCTCCTGGATCCCATCCCCAGAGATTCTGAGAGACTGCATCTGAGCTGGTGCCAGGGATTCTGAGTTTAAGCAAAATCACCCTGGTCACTCTCATGCTGGTATTCAATGGGTCATGCTGAAGAAATGACGATTTTAATGCCCATCAGAAAGGTGTTATTCATTCCCAACTTCAGTGATTGTGTGTGGCTTGAAGATATCCTCTGACTTGCCTCAACCTCACTGCCAACGACAGTCCAGATCGCCATCAACTGTGTCACCACCATTGCAGGCTCCTGGCTGGTCTTCCTGTCTTTATCTGTCCACCCCCAGCCCATCCTCCGTACCACACCACCACATCCAGCATCCCACTCTTAGCCACAAAGCCTCCTTGAGAGCCCTGTTGCCTACAGCAGGCCTTTATTGAGCACTTACTGAATGCTACACAGACATTATGCTGAGCTCCTTACATCTGATATCTTATTTAATCTCCACAAAATCCCTATGACATAGGGTCTTTTTTCAGTCTTACTATACAAAAGAGGAAACTAAGAAGCAAGCAGGTTAAGAAGCAGGACTTCCCTCAACATTTATGGGGCTCCAAGCAAGTGGAAGCCTTGAACTCACAAACCATCCCCTTTCCCTCCTATCCAGGCTCCATCCCATACTGAGGGGCCTCACTGTGTGTGGCCACCTGGGCCTACATGTCAAAGCTTCATCCATATCCCCTGAAAACAACCACTGCTCGGACACTGCTCAGAGGTGGTGATGGGCACATCAGTAGCATGGTGCATCCACGGGGGCAGGCACTCAGCAGGGAGGTTCATGCAGACCCTGGAAGTAGATCAGGGGATGTTCGCAGAGCAATCACAGGCTGCATGGTCTAGAAGAAGGGAGAATGGGTTCTAGATGGGTATGTCCCCTTTTTTTTCATTTTTATTTTCAGTTCTGGGTACATGTGCAGGATGTGCAGGTTTGTTACACAGGTAAACTTGTGCCATGGTGGTTTGCTGCACCTATCAACCCATCACCTAGGTATTAAGCCCAGCATGCGCTAGCTATTTTTCCTAATGCTCTCCCTCCCCCGACCCCCTGACAGGCCCCAATATGTGTTGTTCCCCTCCCTGTGTCCATGAGTTCTCATTGTTCGGCTCCCACTTATAAGTGAGAACATGCAGTGTTTGGTTTTCTGTTCCTGCATTAGTTTGCTGAGGATTATGGCTTCCAGCTCCATCCATGTCCCTGCAAAGGACATAATCTCATTCTTTTTTATGGCTGCATAATATTCCACGGTGTATATGTGCCACATTTTCTTTATCCAGTCTATCGTTGACAGGCTGGGAATGTAAATTAGTTCCAATATTGTGGAAGACGGTGTGGCGATTCCTCAAAGATCTAGAACCAGAAATACCATTTGACCCAGCCATCCCATTACTGGGTATATACTCAAAGGAACATAAATCATTCTATTACAAAGAGACATGCACATGTATATTTATTGCAGCACTATTCACAATAGCAAAGACATGGGTGTGTCCTCTAAACCCCGAAGACCCCTCATCCCATTCGAGGGGCACAGCTGGAGGAGGGCCAGAGCGGGCTCTCTGCTGTCCTCTTGGGTGGGATCAAGGCACCACGGGGGAGATCTTGCAGTGGCAGAGCAAGGACTGGAGTCTAGCTTGACTGCAAAACCCATGACCTCAGTTCATCCTTCACTCTTCTCCCTCCCTCCAGGGTCAGGCTTCCAGCATGGAGTTTGCAATCTGGTCCTGGCCGCCTCTAGCAGCCTCCTGCCTGGGTCCTCCCTCCTCCATGCACAGAACATCCATCTCTGTTTCAGACCCAAGCTATGATTTGCCACTTACAACTCATGCCATGCTAGCTTATCTCTCTCTGGCTTTGTAAGCTTGATTTCTATGATTTGAAGTGTCGTTTTCTTTCCTTTTCACGTGGAGAGTTCTATTTACTTAAATTCTACCTACTCAGATCAAATGTCTTCTGTAAACCTTTTCTTAATTCCTTTCCAGCCACCCCAGAGCAAGGATTTTCAACCATCTCTTAGGGCCCTCATCACAGGAAACCCACATTACAAAGCTGTATTGATGAAACTGAACCCCTCTCTATAACCACAGCACTGAGCTTGGACTGGGGAACATTAGATGCTGAATACATGTTTCCTACAAGAATGGCAACAAATTATTCTTAGTTGTTTACAAAATCCAAATGTTTTTCAGGAGATAAAAACTTACCATGCATGGGAGTTGTGAAGCGTGTATATCTTACATAGACAAAGATGTTCATCATTGGCAAAATAATTGCAAATAACTCAAATGACCATCAACAGGGCCATTAGTTAATCAAATTAAGAACATAGGCTATAATGGAATACTACACAGATGTTCAAAAAGAATAAAGCACATTTATTCTGACATGAGAAAATATTACATAAAAAAACATGCTGTAGATCAGAAGAGAATGATTACATTTAAAATTATAGTGGATGGGCATGGTGGCTCACGGCTGTAATCCCAGAGCATTGGGAGGCAAAGGCAGGAGAATTACTTGAGGCCAGGAGTTGGAGACCAGCCTGGACAAAGTAGTGAG
This sequence comes from Homo sapiens, assembly GCF_000001405.40. Lineage (NCBI taxonomy): Eukaryota > Metazoa > Chordata > Mammalia > Primates > Hominidae > Homo > Homo sapiens. The sequence continues at coordinate 26,942,035 of NC_000016.10, forward strand.
ATGCCATCCTACAAAAACAAAAAAAAATTAATTAGCTGGGCATGGTGATATGTGCCTGTAATCCCAGCCACTCGGGAGGCTAAGGTAGGGGGGATTGCTTGAGCCCAGGAGTTTGAGGCTGTAGTGAGCTGTGATCATGCCCCTGCACTCCAGCCTGAAGGACAGAGTGAGAATCTATCTCTAACAATAGAACTAACTAAACAAATAAATAATAAAATTGTATACGTAAATTATAGATTAAATATAAGTGTACTCATAGAAAAATGCTTGGCATTATATGTACCAAAATATTGAGTCATTTCCTCCTCCCATATAGAATCAAAAGATGTCATTAATGTCTTACTTTAATAAATTGTTAGGTTATTCAGTATTAATAATGTATTTATTTTATGTGTTAAAGATGTATTTTGAGGCTGGGCACAGTGGCTCACACCTGTAATCCCAGCACTTTGGGAGGCCGAGGCGGGTGGATCATTACCCGCCTCTGGACATGCTTTGTGTTGCTCTTTCTCTCTTAAAGTGAGAAATGCAATGAAATACAATGAAAGAAGTAAAGTGTAAGCTGGTGTTTTTTCAGTATCTGACCCAGCAATCCCATTACTGGGTATATACCCAAAGGATTATAAATCATTCTACTGTAAAGACACATGCACACGTATGTTTATTGAGGCACTGTTCACAATAGCAAAGACTTGGAACCAACGCAAATGCCCATCAATGATAGACTGGATAAGGAAAATGTGGCACATATACACCATGGAATACTATGCTGCCATAAAAATGGATGAGTTCATGTCCTTTGCAGGGACATGGATGACACTGGAAACCATCATTCTCGGCAAACTAATGCAAGAATAGAAAACCAAACACCACATATTCTCACTCATAAGTGGGAGTTGAACACTGAGAACACAAGGACACAGGGAGGGGAATATCACATACCAGGTCCTGTCAGGGGGTGGGAGGCTAGGGGAGGGATAGCATTAGGAGAAATACCTAATGTAGATGACGGGTTGATAGGTGCAGGAAACCACAATGACACGTGTATACCTATGAAACAAACATGCACGTTCTGCACATGTACCCCAGAAGTTAAAGTATAATAAAAAAAAAACTTATAGTGAGAAATACATTTTACATCACAATCTAATACACGCAAACACATGTGTGCACATACACACCCACAACACTTGCATTACTGGAACAGAAGTTTTACACAGCAACTCTTTACTACTTGCAAGTCACTCTGATATTTTCTGATATCTAGCTATGACTCATGAAGTTGATTCCATGACCCACAGTGTAGCATGGCCCTCGGACTGAATAACATTTTGTCCTTGGTAAGGACTTTAACTTACTCCTTATGGGATGCTGAGCAAGTGACTTATGTAAGCCCCGATTTCCTCCTCAGTACAATTAAAAAGTATTATTTCATGTAGCATAAGATTTTGTGAAACTGAAAGTAGATATTTCATATAAAACACTTAGCTCAATGCCTGTCATAACGTAAGCGGTCAATAAAAATCATCTCCCATCATTATTATTTTCTTTTCCAACAGGAATCTCACCAATCTAGAGGAGACTGAGACCATGCATTCTCTACTTCTCTTAAGGCAAGTGACAATTATATTTATGTTTGTACAAGCACCATGGCATCGTCATTATTGACTGATATTGACTTTGCTGTCAATCAAAGACCCTTAAATCCTTTTAAAGCATGGATTGTTCTTTCACCAACCCTTTCACATCCAGTAGGTGTGTCATGAATATTTTGAACATAAAGGTTTGCCCCTACATTTACACTAGTCAGATCTCATTTTGTCAGTTTCAGGGCAGCAATTTATTTAGAAAAACAAGGGATTTACCAGGTGACCGAAGCCCTCAGCTTGTATGCTGGGAGTTATACAAATGAGCCTGCACACTATTCTCACCCAGAGAACCCAACAATGATAAGTCCTTTCAGAGAGCAACTTGTAGTTTTTCAAGCACTTATGATGATTTTAGAGAGGCCAAGGGAGATTTCATTTTCCCCATTTTACAGATGAGAAAACTGTGCTATTTAGTATGGCCTGAAAATGTGTAAAGGAAACCTTGCTAATGAGTGGCGGGACCTAGACAAATATTTATGTCTTCTGGAACCCGGACAGTTGTTCTCTTGACACACTGCATACCTCTGCGCGGATGGCATCCGAGGCCAAGTCTAGAACGGGTGGTAGTGAGTATAGGAGTGACTTACAAGTCGTTGGGGGAATCTTTGCCTACATCCAAAACCTAGTGGGAGGCCAGGCACAGTGGCTCACACCTCTAATCCCAGCACTTTGGGAGGCCGAGGCAGGGGGATCACGAGTTCAGGAGATCGAGACTTTCCTGGCCAACATGGTGAAACCCTGTCTCTACTCAAATACAAAAAATTAGCTGAGCATGGTGATGGGTGCCTGTCGTCTCAGCTACTCAGGAGGCTGACGCAGAGGAATTACTTGAACCCGGGAAGCAGAGGTTGTAGTGAGCCAAGATCGCACCACGGCACTCCAGCCTGATGACAGAGCGAGACTCCATCAAAAAAATAAATAAATAAATAAAAATAAAAATAAAAAATAAAACCTAATGGGAGTGGTTTTTGGATTTTCCAAGAATATCTACTTATACTGGTTAGTACACCATAGCTGCATTTATTGAGTAATCACATTTTTTTGCTTTCCCAAGGACCCAGGTAATCCCTTTTCCATGGTCGCCACAGGTAGCTGGTCCCTAGCCCTCCAGTCAACACTGCTTTAATAAGTCCACATTTGAACCCCCAAGAAGAGAAAGGAAGAAAACATCTGTGATTCAAAATACCTGAGATCAACCCTGTGGAAAGGCAAAGTACCATACTGTTAGGAACATGTGCTTTGGAGCAAATGCTGGATCCCATCCTAGCTCTTGCACCTATCCAGACATGGGACCCTAGGCTAGTCACTAACCTTTCTGAGTCTTTGTATCCATGTCTGCAGAGGAGAAATAATCATACTATGTCAAAGGGTTGCTGAGAGTGTTACATGTTATGAAATGTACCAGACACTTATCTTAAGCCCAATTCCCTAGAAACAGAGCCTCAGATGGGATTCTGAGATGGAGAGAGCTCTCAGGAGGAGGGGAGTGAGGGAAGCAGAATGGGACAAAAGGAGGATGAAAAGCAAGAAAGTAGTCTCAACCCAAGACTGCCTTCAGTCTGATCCTAGAGAAAGCTCTGGAGCCCAAATTGAGCCAGAGAGAATACCCAGTGGAGGAAAGGGGCCAGCCCACGTCAGTCAGTCTCTGGCTGCTGGCTACCCTCTGTGGAAGGAGTAGAGGAGGTGGTTCCTATTCATCCAAGTGATGTGTTTCCTATTCAGCCAGGTGAGGTGTTTCCTATTCAGCCAGGTGAGGTGTTTCCTATTCAGCCAGGTGAGGTGTTTCCTATTCAGCCAGATGAGGTGTTTTCTATTCACCCAGGTGAGGTGTTTCCCTTCCAGCCAGGTGAGGTGTTTTCTATTCAGACAAGTGAGGTATTTACTATCCAGCCAGGTGAGGTGTTTCCTACTCAGCCAGGTGGGGTATTTCATATTCTTCCAGGTGAAGTGTTACCTATTCAGCCAGCGAAGGTGACTCCTATATGACCAGATGAGGTGGATCCTATTCAGCCAAGAAAGCAGGGGTGAGCTGGTAGCAGCCAACACCCACAGCTGCTGGAGGACGATGTACAGCCAATGAAGGGGTTCTTGGTGGGGCACCAGTGGCATCCACTACTAAACAGAGTCTAGCAAATACAAGGGTCCATTTGATGGTAGTTATCCTTATTATTTGAAATTGTCTTTACTATTCTCAGGCTGAGCCAGTTTCATGTCTTGTAGCAAAACCATTACATGTCTTAGGCATCTGTTTTTGGCCCAAGACCCGAAGCAATAGAGACCCAGTCTGCAGCGCTAACATAATAACAGGAAGAAATTTCCCTCCTCTGATGTGAAAACCAAATGCCCTGAATTGTCCAATATCAGAAAGCCCTAACAGGATGTTTTGACATATACAGTTCAGGCTTCAGACAACTGCTTCCCAGTGGAAATCGAACTGAGCAAAGAAAAAGGCAAAATTTAGGAAGTTGAAATGACAGGGCAGATCAATTTGAAAAGCTTAATGTGTAAAGCTTGCTATGCAGGGTGATTTTGCTGAAATGAAATTTTTTCAAAGCAAATCTTCTTTGCCCTTCTGGATCCATACAAAACCGGGGCGTTTTCCCAGAGTCACTAGGAAAATAGCTTTGTGCCATCTGCACCTGTCATGTCGAGGACCAAGACTCTAAAAACTGGCCAAGCAACTACAAATGCTGCAGACAGGCAAGAGGAGGAGACCCAAGCTCCGTGCTCTCTGCTATCCCAGGTTCACTCAGCCAGCACCATCTATATGCTGATGATTCCTGTATTTAAGTCCTCAATTAGGACCCCCACCCCGAATTTCAATCTCAGATATCCAAGGGCATACTTCACATCTTCACTCAGATGCCTAAACCAGTGTCTTCAAAGTCAGCACAACCAAATGGAAATGGAATTCCTCACTTGTTCCTCCCACAATTTCCCTCATCTTTGCATAGGGCAACTCAACATTCTTCATTGCTCAAGTCGAAAACAACATCATAAAAAACATAAACAAATTAACAAGCAAAAAAAACAAGCAACTCCGTTAAAAAGTAGTTAAAGGTCATGAACAGACACTTTTTAGAAGAAGACATACATGCTGCCAACAAGCTTATGAAAAAAATGCTCGACATCACTAATCATTAGAGAAACATGAATCAAAACCACAGTGAGATACGTCTCACACCAGTCTGAATGGCTATTATTAAAAAGTCAAGGCCAGGTGCAGCGGCTCACGCCCGTAATCCTAACGCTTTGGGAGGCCAAGGCGGGTGGATCACCTAAGGTCAGGAGTTCGAGACCAACTTGACTAACATGGTGAAACCCTGTTTCTACTAAAATTACAAAAAATTAGCCAGGTGTGGTGGCACACGCCTATAATCCCAGCTACTTGGGAGGCTGAGGCAGGAGAATCACTTGAACCTGGGAGGCAGAGGTTGCAGTGAGTCGAGATCGTGCCATTGCACTCCAGCTTGAGCAACAAGAGCGAAACTCCATCTCAAAAAAAAAAAAAAAAAGAAAGAAAGAAAAAAACAGATGCTGGCAAGGTTGCAGAGAAAAGGGAATGCTTATACACTCCTGGTGACAGCATAAATTAGTTTAGCTATCGTGAGAAGCAGCGTTATGTTTTTCCAAAGAACTTAAAACAGGGCTACCGTTCGCCCTAGTAATCCCGTTACTGGGTATATACCCAAAGGAATATATACCGTTCTACCATACAGAGACATGCACACATGTGTTCATCACTGCACTATTCACAATAGCAAAGGCATGGAATAAACCTAAATGCCCATCAACCATACACTGGATAAAGAAAATGTGGTACATATACACCATGGAATACTATGCCGCCATAAAAAAGAACAAGATCATGTCCTTTGCAGCAACATGAATGGAGCTGGAGGCCATTATTCTAAGCAAACTAACTCAGGAACAGAAAACAAAACACTGCGTGTTCTTACTTACAGTGGGAGCTAAACAATGAGAACACAAGGACACAAAGAAGGGAACAGGCCAGGTGCAGTGGCTCACACCTGTAATCCTAGCATTTTGGGAGGCTGAGATAGGTGGATCACCTGAGGTCAAGGGTTCAAGACCAGCCTGGCCAACATGGTGAAGCCCTTTGTCTTCTAAAAATACAAAAATTTGCCAGGTGTGGTGGTGCATGCCTATAATCCTCAGGAGGCTGAGGCAGGAGAATTGCTTGAACCTAGGAGCTGGAGGTTGCAGTGAGCCAAGATCATGCCACTGCATTCCAGCCTGGGCAACACAGCAAGACTCTGTCAAAAAAAAAAAAAATACTGGGGCCTACTTGAGGGTGGACAGTGGGAAAAGGATTGAAAAACTACCTATAGGGTACTATGCTTATTACTTGGGTAACATAGTCATCTGTACCCCAGACCCCCACGACACGCAATTTACCCATGTAACAAACTTGCGCATGTACCCCTGAACCTAAAACAGAAGTTTTAAAATGAGTAGATAAACTTTCTGGCTCAGGATTTTTTGGATATAGGTAAAATCTGAGTCCTGTTGGTTCTGAAGTCCAGGGCTTATTTCTCACCCTAGATCCTTGCCTTTGGTAGGGAACTGAAAACAGAATGGCTAATTTTTTTTTTTTTTTTTTTTTTTTTTTTTTAGACAGAGTCTCTCTCTGTTGGCCAGGTCGGAGTGCGGTGGCGCAATCTCAGCTCACCGCAAGCTCCACCTCCCAGGTTCACGCCATTCTCCTGCCTCAGCCTCCTGAGTAGCTGGGACTACAGGGGCCTGCCACCACATCCAGCTAACTTTTTTTTTTTTTTTTGTATTTTTAGTAGAGACGGGGTTTAACCATGTTAGCCAGGATGGTCTTGATCTCTTGACCTTGTGATCCGCCCGCCTCGGCCTCCCAAAGTGCTGGGATTACAGGCATGAGTCATCGCGCCCAGCCCAGAATGGCTAATTTCTGAATGTTATTTGGCATTGTACTTGATCATAAATAAATGTGAATTGGAAAAAAAAAAAAAAACCAGCAGCATCATCTCCCTCCCTCTCTTGCATAGCACAGACCCAATCTATCAGCCAATTCTGCTTGCTCTACCTTTAAGATATATCCAGAACTGGACCACATCTTGCTGTCCCCTAGGCCCAAACCATCAGCATCTCTCACCTGGATTTCTGCAACTGCCTCCACTTCAGGAATTCCTGATACTGCCCCTGCTCCCTCGAGTCTGTTCTCGACACAACCACAGTGATGCTTTTAGACTGTAACACAGATTATGCCATTAACTCCCCTGCTTAAGATCCCCCAGTGACTTCCTACCTCACCTGGGTAGCAGCTACATTCGTAACAGTGTCCCACGAAGCTCTACCTGATCCTGCCACCTTCTTACCTCTTGGATACCATCTTCTACTACTCTCTCCCTTGCTCCCTCTATTCCATATGCACTGGGCTCCTTGCCCTTCTTTGTCTGTGTCAGGCATGTTCTAGCCACAGAGCTTTAATCCTTGCTGTTCCCTCTGCCAAAGAACGCTCTTTCTCATAGACCAGTGTGGCTAGCTCCCTGGGGTCTTTTCCCAAATGTTGTCTCTTCCACCAGGCATTCCCTGGCCACCCTACTTAAATTGCAACTCCTGTCCCCCCCTGCCAATTCCCCTTTTCTGTTTTATTTATTCTGTAGGACTTTTCATCATCTAAAATATTTGCGGGCCAGGTGCAATGGCTCACACCTGTCATCTCAGCACTTTGGGAGGCTGAGGCAGGAGGATTACTTGAGTTCAAGAGTTTGAGGTCAGCTTGGGAAACATAGGGAGACCTTGTCTCTGCAAACAAATTGAGCCAGACATGGTGAGGTGTGCCTCTAATCCCAGCTGCTTGGGAGGCTTGGGTGGGAGAATAGCCTTCACCAGGAGGTTGAGGCTTCAGTGAGCTGTGATCATGTCAGCCTGGGCTACACTGCAAGACCCTGTCTCAAAAAAAGAAAAAATTACTTGCTACTCTACCCGTTCATTTCAACTGTGGTACTGTTGTCCACCTTCCCCACCAGCCTGCAAGCTTCATGAAAGCCTGAGCTTCACTCTATTTTTGTTCACTGCTGTATTCCCAGCACCTAAAACAATATCCTGTACATAGTTGACACTCAATAAATATTTCCTAAATAAATGGACGGATAAATTTACTTAAACAGTTCTTTGTAAATTGATTCCCTTTTTAACATAAGTAAATCCACTTTTAAAGGAAATGTATATCTTGGCTGTAAATGAACCAGCATCAACCGTCATAAAGAGAAGTTATCCAGAAAAAGAAATACAATGAAATGAAAATGCTGTTATTAAATCTAGCTAGATACTGCTGCCAGCCCAGTTCTCTAAGCCTGCAGTGTAATCTCTCTTTTCTAAACAAGGAAATCAGCCAGTGTTTAAAGATGTCCTAGCACCAGACTGAGACTGCTCTTAACTAATCAAAAGAGTCGATAAAGAATTGAAAGATAAATAGCTTTCTAACTCTCGGATTCAATGTTAACTGTTCTTGGATCTGTGTATCACCCAAACATTTCCTCTGCCACCCATAAATATAAAGCATCCCACACTTCTGAAAGCAATGAAATAGATATTAATGACTTTCCATTTTCTGAGCATCAGTTCCTCCCACAATATCCCCCATACCTATATAGGGCAACTCAATTTTCTCAATTGCCCAGGTCAAAAACATCATAATCTCCCTCATTCTCTTACACAGTACATCTCCAATGTGTCAGCAATTTCTGCTTGCCCTACCTTCAAAATACACCCCCGAATCTGACCACGTATTACTATGTGCAATATCCCTTTTCTAAGTTAATTGGTGGGGAGGTACTGAGAATGGTTGTACATGGATTCTGCCCTGAAGAAATTCAGTGTGGTTGGGAGATAAAGCATGCATGTAATTGACATGCACGTAAAAGGAGGGTAGAAAGTTGTAAATTCCACAAGGAAAGCATAGCTCATGTGCTATGGGCCCCGATATGACATTAATGTTTAGCAAGTATTCATTTACACACAGACCTGCACATTTCTCACGAGGAGAGTATGCTTCCTTGCACCCTGATATCAGGGGCTTGGACACAGGTCTTGTTTTATCCAATGAGATGTGAGTGGAAGTGACAGTTTGTGAATTCAGAGCCAAGGCTTTAAGACACATTGCACATTTCTGCTCACCCCTGGGGACCGCCGTCTAACCTCTTTCTCAAGAAGAATGTGGCTCACTTAGCCATTGCCCTTTCAGCCAGAGCCCAAAGCATGTGAACTAGAGGTGCTCTCACCAATCTGCAGATGCATGAGCAAAAAATAAAGGCTTATTTGCAGATGCCAGAATTTCAGGGCTGTTTGCTATGCAGCATTATTGTACAGAAAGCTGATTAAGACAGAAACTGACAATAGCTAGAAGAGAGGACTTGAATGTTTCCAACAGAAAGAAATGATACATGTTTTTTAAGTGACTGATATCCCAAATACCCTGACTTGATCACCGCATATCATATACATGTATCAAAATGTAGCATATATCTGATGGATATGTGCAATTATTATGTATCAATTAAAAATAAGTTAAAATTCTATACTTTAAAAAGATTGAAAGTGACAGGGAGAAGACCTGACTTTGACTAGGTATCAATCAGATATACTTTCTGATCAGGGAGGTATTGCAGGTGGATTTCATGCCACATATACCATGCTTCAAGCAATCTTAGCAGATTGCAAATCATATCTCAGATAGGGCTATGCCAGGGATGTGAAAGCTCCGCTGAAAACTGCTTTTGACCTCACAGCTCATAGAGGACAGGAGAACAGAAAGAAGAAGACGAGAAGGCTGAGGAGGACTTTGTCTACATATCTGGTTGTTCGTGTTTGCTGTTCCTCTGCCTGCCCTTTAAGCATTAGTGTTCACTCTTCCTCCTCTGCCTGCCCTTTAAGCATTAGTGTGCCCCGAGGTCCTGATCTCAGTCATCCTCTGCTCTTGTGCCTCCAATTCTTCCCGGGCAATCTGCCACTGCCCTGATCAGCACCATGATGAACATTCTCATGCGTGTTCCCTGATGGAGCTGGTGTCTGTCTTACTTAATTCCGGTATCCCCCAAAACAGCTCCTGAGACAGAGATGCAAGTGCAGGGAGTTTGAGAGGTTTATTTGAGAAAGCAGAAGGGTGGGCCTGGGGAGAACAAGGAAGAAACCAAGTCACATGCACACTGATGAGCAGATCAATGGGCAACTGAGGCTCAGTAGACTCTTGGAGGAACCAAACAGAATGCTCCTTGGAAATGTCCCACTCGAGAGTGGGGAGGCTGGGGCATTTATCCACCACCTCACATCTGATGGTGGTTGAGGGTTTCCCCGGGGCTGTTAACTTCACTTCCTGGTTGCACCTGCACTGTGCTGAGGGCCCTCCAACTGAGGCAGGAGAGAGACGCAGCAGCACGTGCTTGATGCAGAACGCTGGCCACAGGCACGGAACTGTCCATCTCCGTGTGCTGAAATCAGATGTCCTAAGGGATGTGAACGGCTCAGTGCACCACAAGGCTCTGCTACAGATGTGGAAAAAATACATTTTCAGCACAGGCCTTTCTTCTGAGCAACTAGAGGTACAGCACACACCTCTGACTCAACACTTTCCAAACTATGTCATCCCCGCCTCCCTGCTTTCCCCACTTTTTCCAGAATCCCTGAAGGCAGGGAATGGCCCACTATCCACTCCATTTTTGAAACTTCAAAGATACTGTTTATTTCTCTCAGTCCATCATCTATCAGATCAAAATATAAATTCTGAGTCAAAAGCAGGATTTTCCTTGCTCCCAACTCTGACAGTCACCCCTGCCTCATCACCCTGTTCCCTGTTCCCAGCACTCACTCTGAAATGTGCTTGCTTAACTAATTAATGACTGCTGCCATGTACTGACTGCCTCCCACCTCTAGATGGTGAGTTCCACAGGGCAGCACCTGCTCTTCCTGGCTCTCTCACCTCTCCAGTACCTGGAACAGTCCCTGGTACAGAGTAGGTACTCTATAGGTGACTGTGGAACAAACAAGTAGCTCACAGGGAGAGGGTCCCACAAGCTCATACAGTGATCACCAAGGCAGGGGATGGTCAGACATGTCTCCGCTCATCATCTCTGGGTCTGCCTCTTTCTAACTGGCTTCCCCTGAGATAAAGGCATAGATGAAATGTGAAGTCTGAAGAAGCCCCCAGCACAGGGAGGAAGGCTGCAGGGAAGCGAGGTAATCAATTCTGCGCAGAGCATCCACATTGGACGAGTCTTTTGTGACTTATCCAATGTGGACGGATGAAAATATTATTGTATTTTATTCAGCTGCAAAATTGTGCATTTAGGTAAACTGGCAAGGAAGCGACCAACCTGTCACCAACCCTAACTCCCAGCCCTTCCCTGGGGTCCCCACCCACTCCTGAGCCCTCTTTGAAGCTGCCGCCTCCCTGCCTCACCCACCAGCTCCTCAAAGACACTTGCCATCAATACTGTTCCTGGGGGAATATTTCTCTTGCTGGTGCAGCCGGAATTTCCTCCCCGAGAGGAGAACATAAAGATTAACTAGGTGAGAAAATTTTTCTCTTGGCTCTGAAGCTTGGGACATTTGTCTGATCCAACACATATTCTCCAGGAGACAGGCTAAATTAAAATACTAATGGACTGCTGTATTTAAAATATATTTACCAATGATTAACAGCTCGGCAGGTGATATATGTTTCAATAATTTCTTATTACAATGTGGGGGAACCTCAATAAATATTCTCAGGGCAATTAGCGGGTGTTTATTTAACATTCAGCTGTGTTTTCCCGCACACTCAGAAGGGCGTCATTGGTGGCAAGCATAATGCTCCTCTGTGCAGAGAAGGGGCCAGTCCTGAAGCAGGCACTGGATCTGGCTTCACACTAAGAATGAGGCCCAGTCCTTGGGAAATAGCCCTTCCACAGACGTGTTTGGTTTGGGCCACAGTATTGAGTGTGATTTAGATGATTGGCATTAAAAATAGAAGAGTATACATAAAGTTCGTACATGTAGCTTCTCTTGACATTTCTGAAAGCCTAGAAATACTAGTTTTTCTGAACAGCCACCCTCAGCAGGACCTAAGTAGACTGGCATCTCAAGTCTGTCACAGCCATCCACTGTACCACTTCGTCCATTTAAAGAGCAGCCTGGGCCCTGTAGATACTTATGTTTGCAGGGCAGCACACTCTGACCAATCTTGCATTGAGTCCTCCCAAGGGTTTTGCCCAAATGCTACACAAATACCACAGGTGGAGATATTGGCAATGGGTGGGGGTAAAGGACTGCCTCAGAGCAAAGGGAACCACTGCTCGGACTTCTGAAATGCAAGCTGGACAAGGCCACCCAGGCCACCCACTCACCACCCAACCACACCCTGGAGCCTCACGTCCATTGATCCCCCAAATCAAGAATGTATAGGGAACTGGTTGGTGCACAGGCAAGACTGAAAGCCAAGAGTGTCTGGCTCAAAACCCAGTGTCCTTAACTACCAAGCTGCTGTTGCCTGGGACAGCTGTAGCAAGCATAGTAGTGTCATACCTCATGTCATCACACACACACACGCACGCACACACACACACACACACTAATATCCCAAACCCAGATTTTCATCCAGGGCAGCAATGTGCTCAAATAAAACAATAATCTATCTGCCTCCTTTACTGATATGACCCAATTCCGACCAGCAGGCTTCAAGTGGAAGTCCCAGGAGAGCATCTTTCTTCCCCATTAAATAGGCAAATCCTCCCCCTTAAATAGGCAAAACCCTTGACCTGAATAATGCAAGCACACTCCACTGTGCCCCTTCCCAGCCTGATCCCAAGCCTCCAACATGGCACTCCCACTTCCTTTGCCCATCGAAGCTGAGGACTTAGAGGAGTATAGAGATATTAAGTAGGATGGGCCTGGGTCCCTGAAACACTGCATGGAACAGAGCCCTTGTGCCAGCCCCCATTGGACGCTGATATGAGCAAGGTATCTTTTTGTTGTGTTAAAGCCACTGACTTTGGAAAGTGTTTGTTACTGCAATTAGTCTCTGCTGTAAAACATTTACCTCTCTTACCAAAGTGAGAAGAGTAGACAACTTTTGTAGACCTTCTCTTTCTCTATGGCCCTAGTGAGCTGGTCCCCCCAATGCAGGACTCCCACATGGGCCAGCTGTCTTCTGTCTGTCCCTTGAAGGGGGCTCATCCAAGCACCCACTGAAACGAGAGATAAAGAGCTTCCAAGTTAGAAGCACTCATGTCAGAGCAGCCTTCAGGGTGGCCCCAACCATGGCTGACTCCAGAAGGAAGCCCCAGAAGGGAGACAGAAACACTGGGCCTGGTACTCCTAACCTCAAATTGCAGAGTCTTGATCTCCTTTTTAACCTGAAGGCCTGCTAGGTCTTCCTTCCTTTGGGGTCTAATCCCCGACCCCATTCTGCTTTCAGCCAAGGCAGGGAGATTACCACCACATTTTCACAAAAGAAGAGCAAAGCCAATGGCTGCTGTGAGTCCCATGAGCAGCGGGAGCCCTTCTGCAATCTGGGCTTCTCCCTGTGGGAATGGCTGAGTTTTCTCAACCTCTCCACTCCCAGAGAAATAAATATCCTCTGGTGCATAAATATGCTTTGATGCAGGCTATTCACCTTACTCAGGCCAATGATTTTATCCTAGGAAGATTTTGTCTATTGAGTGGAGAAGGAAGGCACTCTCCAGGGACTTCCACTTGGAGCCTGTGGGTCAGAATTGGGCCATGTTGGTGCCCTTACATGCAAAGCAGGCAGAGAGATTATTGTTTTAGCTGAGCACAATGCTGCCCTGGATAAAGTCTGAGTTTGGGATGTGTGATGCATTTTCGTGAACATCACCATTGGTTCAAGGACGGATCCTTCTAACTTGGGGGCATAACTTAATTTCTTCTTATGCTTATCCCTTGGGGTGAGCCCCTTTCAGGACAGATGTCAGGTGATTCCCCTAACCCAGGAGCCTGCACCCTCAAGGCTCAGCACTGTGGCCAAGGGAAGGTTTCTAAAGAGCTGGAAACGCCCAACCAGGACAGCCCAGCCTCTGAACTATTCCCAGGTCACCATTCTAACCCAAATGTGACCACCCCTCTCTTACATCCAGGTTGGCTCCCTGGACAGTCTTGGCAGTGCCTCAGAGGGGGTGGGGTGAACTCTGCTTATTAATGCTTATTAACGCTGCCCCAGAGGCAAAAGATTGAATATCCAGTCCAAGCTGTCATCCCAAGGATGAAGGAAGCCCTGCCCAGGAATTGTCTCAGAACATAAATTGAGTCGATGGGAGCAGGACACCACACCCTGAGCTCAGCAGGCTTGTCCCACACCGCAGAGATGCCCCTGTGCACAGCTGCCATCCAAAACTACTTGCCAGGGCTCAGCTCATAATCCACGCCACTCCACCTACCCTGGCTCTTGGTGAGTGACTCTGTAACCATTTTTTGTTGGTACCCACCCAGATTCCATCCTCAGGAAACAGTGTTCAGTTTGTGGCACCACCTTACCCCTCAGATTTGATTTTTGGTCTAATTCCCCAATACCTTGCTGTCCTGTTTATCAGCAGTTAGCTGCTCTGAAAAAATATTCCACCAGCCTGTACCAATCCTGGGACCTCACAGTATTGCCAGAAGAGAGCACAGGAACCTGCAGATGAAAAGTGTTTTAGGAAAAACTCTCTCAAACTGTGTTTCTCCTCTGCTGTCACATCACCACAACAGTCAACAACACAGAAGAAGAATACTGTGAGCAAAGATGTGAGGGTTTATCCCCATACACCAAGCAGGTGACACCAGCAGGGTGACCTCCAATTCAGTTCCAAAGTTATCTACCCAGAGACAGCATCATCAGATCCCATGGGTTGAAGGCCCACTCCCAAAGCCTGCTCCCTCCTATGCTCCAGTCTCAAGTCCAGGCCTCCAGAGCTTCTGACCAACTGGCTTCAAGCTGGGATTCCCATGAACCCCTCGTTGGGTTCAATTAATTTGCTAGAGAGGCTCACAGAACTCAGAGAAACACTTATATTTGCTGGTTTACTAAAAAGGATCTTTTAAAAAGATACAAATAAAGCAACCAGATGAAGAGCACATAGGGTGAGGCCTGGAAGGGTGGAGCTTCTGGCTCCGTAGAGCTGGGGTGCCCCACTGTCCAGGCCCGCAGATGAGTTCTTCTTCACCTTCCTGTTGGCCTCCACGTGTTCAGCTCTCCAGAAGCTCCCCGAACCCTGCCTTTGGGCCTGGTATGGAGACTTCATTGGTTGTCCATGATTGAAGCATGGACAACTGTGTTGAAATGTGATGGACAGAAGGGGCATGATTTAACCCAGCAAGGGCTGTCTGTTCAGATTCTCCTTGGCCTCTCTGTGCAGCATTCCTTCCAAAGTATGGAATAGAACTATCGTTGGAATGAGGGTTTTATGACCCACAATCAGATTAGAGTCCAGCCTTGGGCAGGTGAAAGGAGGGCAGGGGAAAGTCAGAGAGATTCTGTTTCCTGAGGCCTAAATCTCCCCCACATTATAGCAAAAGACTGTAACAAGGGTTATGGGAGTTAGGAGCTACGAACTACGGAGGAAAACCAATACGTAGATAGATAGATTGATAGATTGATAGATGATAGATAGGATAAGATAGATGATACAGATGATACATAGATAATAGATGAATAGACAGATGATAGGTAGATAGATATAGATAGATGATTGATAGACAGATAATAAAAAGATGATAGATGATAGATAGATAGATAGATAGATAGATAGATAGATAGATAGATGATAGATAATAGGTAGATAGACGATTGGTTGGTAGGTAGATCGATAGATAATAGATAGGATAGGATAGATGATAGATAGACAGTAGATTGATAGGATAAGATAGATTATTGATTGATAGATGATAGGTAGATAGATAATAGATAGATGAGTCATTGGTAGATAGATAGATAATAGAGAGATAATAAAGAGATGATAGATAGAAAGATAGATAGATAGATAGATAGATGATAGATAATAGGTAGATACATGATTGGTTGGTAGATAGATATTATGTAGATAGTTAGATAATAGGTATAAATGATTGGTAGATAGATGATATAGATAGATAATAGCAAGAAGATAGATAGATGATAGATAATAGCAAGAAAGAAAGATAGATAACAGATAGATAGATAGATAGATAGATAGATAGATAGATAGATAGATGATAGCAAGACAATAGATGGATGATAGACAGATAGATCAATCCATCTTACTATCACAGAAGGCCACCTCCCTGACTTCTGTGGCATGATGTGGAATGAATCAATTACCCCAGGTTATCCTGAGGATCCTTGTCTCCAGGGCACCCTGACAAATCAGGCCTCAGAAGAAACAGGCATTTCCTTTTTGTGTGTTTGATACAGCACTGCAAAGATTTCTCATCAAAGAACACCCTTGTGGAGACCCTGGACTTCTGAGGTCACTCAAACTACAACACACCAGAGGGACTCACTTCCCCTGTGAGACCTCAGCGGAGGCCCCTTTCTGCCACCCCCTCAGGTGGCCTCTTGTGGTGAGGAACCTCCAGGGAACCATGTGTGTCTGGGGGATGGGGGCACAGGCTGAAGGCACAAGCACTGGAGTCCCCCTCCACATGTCTGTTCAAACTGTGGTTTCTGCCTGACTGTGGTCCCCCTCATGACCCTGTGGCCACGGCCTCTGTAAGGGGCAAAGGGACACTCCAGGAGAGACAGAGCTTTGTGCCATCAGCAAGCACGATGTGACGCCAGGGAAGAAGCTGGAGACCCAAGCAGAGAAAGAAGGATCCTATGTGAACAGCAGCTGGTCTCCTGCTAGGGTAAGAGTCGGGCTTGAGAAGCAGGCAGGACTTAACTTCCAAAATGAGGAGTTTGGAGCAATACAAAAAAACATTAATTTGTTTAGCAGCAATAGAAAAACCAAACCAAACCAAACCAAATGAGAAGTTTGGAGACTTTTTTTTCTGACAGTGCTTCAGGAGTTTTTGAAGGTGTCATCACCATCCTCTTGCCCTAATTTTAAAAAAAAATGTGTGTGTGTGTGTGTGTGTGTGTGTGTATGCATATATATATATATATATTTTTTTTTTTTTTTTAAATTTCCAATCCTTCTCTCCCCCAAGAAATATGATCCCCCAAGCCTTCCCAGAGCCATCCTCAGTCTTCTCTCTTTCAGCCCTGACTCAGAACTGCAGAGTCAGAAGGGTCCGGGAGGGGCTGAAAGTCCCAGGCCCCTCCGGCAGGGCCTGGCTTCATCTGTGTGGTCAGTGTTTCCTGCCCTCTGTCTCTCCAGTGTAGAAGGAGCACAGGCTCTGAGCCAGGTAGGTCCAGGTGAATCCCAGCTCATGGCCACACAACACCTCCATTTCCTCATCTTTAAAGTAAGGATAATGATAAGCCCTTAAGATTTTCACAAGGATCCAACAAGAAAATAAATGTTTGTAACCAGCAAATATGCATGTAAACTGCCTTGGCGTAAGAGGCTCTCAATAAATATAGACTCTCAGCTCTGTCCTATTTCCTGTGGGCATTCTCCCAAAATGCCTGGTGTCACTGTTTCCATCTCTATCCTTCTTATGTTGCCCCTCTCTGCTGTGAACCACATTCTGCTTATCTCTGGATCATTCTTTTAATTTCATGTCGCTTCCTTGTCTGTTGTGTTTGCATCTCTCGCTGCCTTTCTTCACTCCACAGTTACTTTCTCTGTAGTTTTGTCTTAGGCCCTAGAAAATGTGCTCACACTTTCTCTGTCTCTCTCTGTCTCTGTTGTCTCTGTCTCTCTCTCCCCCCGCCCTTCTCCTCTCCTCTCTTCTCCTCTCCTCTCCTCTCTCTCCCCCTTCTCCTCTCCTCTCTTCTCCTCTCCTCTCCTCTCTCCCTTTCCTCTCTCCCTCTTCTCCCTCTCTCAACCTTCTCTTTCTTCCTTTTTCTTTCATTTCCTCTCTCTATCCCTCCTCTCACCCTTCTGTCTCTCTTCCCCCTTCCTCTCTCTTTCTCTATCTTTCCCCCATCACCCTATCTCCCTCCTCTCCTTCTCCCTCTCTATCTCTTCCCTCTCCCTCTCTTCCTCCCTCTCTCCCCTCTCTGTCGTCTCCCCCGCTCCTCCCTCTCTTCCTCCTCTCTCTATTTATCTATCTCGGTCTCTCTCTCTCTCTCTCTCTCTCTTTTCCTCTCTCCCTCTTTCTCTTCCCCCTCCCTCTTTCTCTTCCCCCACCCCGATCATTCTTCTGTCTCTCTGCCACTGGCTCTGTCCCTGTCTCCTCTTCATCTTTGTCTCTGGCTCTGGATTGTCTTCTCCAGCTAGGTGTCTTTCTCCAGCTCTTTGCTCTCTGGATTCTGTCCCTCTCTTTCTTTCTCTCCATGTGACTCCCAACTATGTAGTCTTCATTAATTCCACCTCCATCTCTGCATCTCTTTGGAGGTCACCGTTTCTCTCCATCCCTGCCCCCAACCCATCCTCTACCCCCCTCATCACTCAAAATCTCATCTCTGGGAAATAAGAAGGAGGAGCCCAGCAGGATGAGAAGCCCAAGTAGAGGGCCATATTTTACTTCTCTGCAGAAGGGCTGTAAATTCCTCCTGACACTTTCCACAGAATACAACTGTCCTTATTGGTTCTTAGCGGCTGGGGATGAAGAGCTGCAGGACAAGAGGGCACAGACCTGGGCAGGACAGAGCTCTCACTCTGGGCTGGGGCTTGGGGGAAGGGAGTGCAGGCCGGGGGCCTCTCTAGGTCCCTGCATGTCAGATCCACATCTCTCCTTCTCAGCAAATTGTGCTTAGCTCAGCTTGGCCACCAATCAACAGTGTCCATGGAGACTGTGGGACACTAAAACATATCAAACTTTGAGCTTGTCTGTCTTCAGCTCTTTGCTCTCCAGATTCTGTCTCTCTCTGTCCTTCTCGCCATGTGGCTCCCAACTGTGTAGTCTTCATCAATCCCATCTCCATCTCAGCGCCTCTTTTGCAGAGTACCCCTGTTGTTAATTAGACTCCAAACCACTCTCTGGGTCTCCCTCCACATTTCAGGGCCTCACAGTGGTCCCAAACACTCATCAGTGCTACTTTTTGCATCTCTAAACCCAGTTCCACTGTGCTTTTTCCAACCCTTGTTAGCTTTGGTGAGTTCGTTTCTCTTCTTGGTCATTCACCCAGGTTCTTGATCACCCCAATTGTACTTCTCCTATCATAAAACAACGGGCAACTCCTTCCTACCATTTCTCTAACCTCCTTCCCCCTTTTCCTCAGATAAAAGAGTTCTCTTGGGTGGTTTTGCTGAACCAGGATTTGCCCAGGGGTGATAATTTAATTAAAGCACTTACTCTCTCCCCGCTCTGTGCCAGGCATGGTAGACACCTGGGGAAATAAAATAAACTCCCGGTCTGCCCAGAGAGATACAAACTCAACAGTCATAAGCAGAGAGATTGCTGGCCGCTCATAAGTCAGATTTGACCAATGGACATGCTTTATGCAGACGGCCCTTTTCATTAGTGTCAACTTTTAAAAATTAGAAAATTCCACAATAAAATCTACTTTTCAGGGTTCTACTTTAGTGTACTCAAGCTAAAACAGGAAGGGAAATTTTTATCTCTAAAAAAAAAGAGAGAGAGAAAACCCCAGATAATCTACAAAATCAGAATTTTCTTGAATCTGAGAGCTGAGGTTTCCTGGCATCCAAGTATCTTGAAAACTGAGGAAAGAGAGGCTGCTTCAAGGAGAGTCAGGACAGGAAGTTGGGATGAGAAGTTCAAGCAGGAAGTCAGAGTAGGAAGTCCAGGCAGGAAGCCAGAATAGGAAGTCCAAGCACAGAGTCAGAATAGGAAGTCCAGACAGGGAGTCAAAATAGGAAGTCCAGACAGGGAGTCAAAATAGGAAGTCCAAGCAGGAAGTCAGAATAGGAAGTCTAGACAGGAAGTCAGAATAGGAAGTTTAGACAGGAAGTCAGAATAGGAAGTCCAGAGAGGAAGTCAGAATAGGAATTCCAGGCAAGAAGTCAGAATAGGAAGTCCAGACAGAAAGTCAGAATAGGAAGTCCAAACAGGAAGTCAGAATAGGAAGTCTAGACAGAAAGTCAGAATAGGAAGTCTAGGCAGAAAGTCAGAATAGGAAGTCCAAGCAGGGAGTCAGAATAGGAAGTCCAGGCAGAAAAGTCAGAATAGGAAGTCTAGACAGGGAGTCAGAATAGGAAGTCCAGACAGGAAGTCAGAATAGGAAGTCCAGGCAGAAAGTCAGAATAGGAAGTCCAAGCAGGGAGTCAGAATAGGAAGTCCGGGCAGAAAAGTCAGAATAGGAAGTCTAGACAGGGAGTCAGAATAGGAAGTCTAGACAGGGAGTCAGAATAGGAAGGCCAGACAGGAAGTCAGAATAGGAAGTCCAGGCAGAAAGTCAGAATAGGAAGCCCAGCTTAAGAGGAAGGGGCAGCCACTAAGTCAGTGGGTAAGACTCAACTACAATTTAAAGAGCAGCTTAAGGACAAATGTGGACATGGTGACCCTTGAGATTCCCTAGGGGCCCCAGACTCAAGGGGAGTGACTAACAGACTCTTTCCCGCCAACCTCCACGGAGCTCACAAGAAGGATGAGGCAGAGAACCAGAGAGAGCTGCCCTCACCTTCAGAGATGTGGGCCATAGGGAGAACACCCTAGTGCCTCTGGGAGCCAGGCTTCAAGCCCATCCTCCACACTCCCCACAATCCCACTTGGATCCTATATGGCAGATGCACCTGACAGCCATAACTTAAGCATATCCTGGGAATGACCCTATGGTCTAAGAAGAATGTGTGTTTGGAGTCCCAGGCTAAGGAATCCTGGAGTGGCCAACCTGGATGTTCATTCCTTGTCCATGAAGGACATCTGAACTCCTGGCCCATTCCTTGGAACACAGACCATACGGGGGATCGAGGCCCTTTGTTTTAAATTAAATGGAAGTTGCCAGGTGGAGGGTGCTAGGGGAAGGGTGCTAAGTGGAGATTGCTGTATAAACTGCATGCATTTTACAAACAGTAGCAGTTTTCCCTGTCCAGCCCGTTGTCGCTGGACTCCCCTGTGTGTAAGTTTCCAGTAAACCCCGTATCTCATCTGCTGGCTCTGGGTTTCTTCTTTGGCCTCTCAAACACAGTGCCAGCCCTACTGGAGTCAACAGAGGTCCAGCACAGCAGATGTCCCTTTCAAAAGCTTTAGGAGGAGTGGAGGGACAGCAAACCCTGATGCCACCTAGACTCAGGTAAGGACCCATTGTTGCTAGGGAGGATAGAAAGGAAAAAAACACTCTATCCATGAGGGATAAGCAAGAAAGTTTGCACTGTCAGTCAGAATCGGGCCACAGCAAGAACCCCAGTTAGAAAACACCCCCAAGATCCTTCTCAAGACTCCAGAGTCACAAGCACTTGCCCCACCCTTAACACACCCCCACACAGCATTTCTCAAACCTGCTACACACCACCTTTACCATACGAATCCTAGGAATACCCGCTTACTTCTGCAACAACCCCAGAATATCAGGGTGACAAACCACACATTTGTTTCTCGCTCATGTCACAGTTTGATGGGGATGAAGTACCCTGTTCAAAGTTAAGCCAGTAGGGGGCAGAGCTGGGACCAACCCAAGCAGCCTAGCCCCAGGTCTCCTGCATCATCACATGATGAGCAGTTCCTGGTAAGGTTGCGTTGTGCTTGTTTGGCTGTGTTTGGGCAGCCAGCTCTACCAGCATGTGTGATCACACATGGTGGAGCTGCACAGTGGTCTCCCAAATGGATGTGTAGCAGGAGCCTGGGGTGTCCTTGCCCCACAGTAAGGAAATGTGCTATTTGTCCTCAAACTTTCCAACCCTGGAGTACAAGTCAAGGCTCTTGGAGGCTTGAGAAACACCAAGATTTAGATGTTAGGGCTTTGATCAGAGAGATTATGCCAATGACCATGTACAGCAGTCTCAGCTTTGGACAAATTAATGGCTGTGTGTCTCAGATCAGGAGACCATGGTCCCAGATGGAGCTGTTAGGGGCTCTATTTCCCCTTCCGAGGAGTGCCTACCTCTCCACTGTGTTCTCTCCCTGAGGGATCAAATATGTTTTAGTGGCTAAGTCAATCACATGTGAGCTAAGCCCAAGCACATAGGAAGTATTCAACAAATACTGGAAAAAAATTTTACTACTGGAAAAGTAGTAAATAAATGAATAAAGAAGCAAATGGCCAGCATATGGAATGCATAATCTGTCTTCTCTCCTCTGTAAGCTTGAGCTTCAGCCTGGCTGAATGTGGCTCCAGCGCCCACCAGATAGAACGCTAGCCCCCAAAACCATTTCTAAAACAGCTTTGCTACCTTGGCACATCTAAAGGGTCTCAGTTAGGGGTTCTAACAAAACAAAGAAATCCATACAATTTGGTAGACATGAGTGACAGGTTAGCAGCTATAGCAACCATAAGGACAGAGGATGGCAGGCAGAGGAGCATTTTGGGTAGGACTGCAAATTCAGGAGCCAGATGCTTGAGTGCGCATCCCAGCTGAGGAAAGTGTATTTGTCCATTTTCACATGGCTATAAAGTACTACCTGAGACTGGGTAATTTATAAACAGGAGGTTTAACTGACTCACAGTTTGGCATGGCTGGGGAGGCCTCAGGAAACTTACAATTGTGGCAGAAGGGGAAGCAGGCACCTTCTTCACAAAGGCATCAGGAGAGAGAGAGAGGAAACTGCCACTTACAAAACCATCTGATCTCATGAGAACTCACTCACTATCATGAGAACAGCATGGGGGAACCACCCCCATGATCCAATCATCCCCCACAAAGTCCCTCCCTCAACACATGGGGATTACAATTCGAGATGAGATTTGGGTGGGGATGCAGAGCCAACCCATATCAACAAGTTACTGACACACTCCATTCTTCCATTTACTCATCTGTAAATATGGGGGGAAATAATGGTACCTACCCCATGGACCTGCCATACGTGTTAGGTGAGTTAATGTTCAATGTGAATTACATGTTTAAAACTGTACCTGGCACAAAAGATTCTGCAGAAATGGTTGGTTTCTGCTATCATTACTGAGTAAATATTTTATGTTAGACACACTGCCTACTGTTACTTCAAGCCATATCTCTCAGAAACCCAACCTATTCTCTGAGTCCCAACAATCAGGAAGCCTTATCAAAGATCTGACTTCAGAAATCCTAAATGAGAACAGACTTTTTTTTCTGTTTGTCAGCGAGACACCACTCACTCATCTGATGCCACAAAATGCATCTGCTTTTGCCACATCCCCTGCTTGGGGAAGCCAAGGATATAGTCAGAGAGCACAGGAAAAAACGCTGAGATGCCAGCCAGGAAAGGTCAGCCTTGGGGCAGCCTAGACAACTATCTCAGTCTTGCTGGTCCCAGGAAGATGCTTTCTTGTCTTGATTCCAACAGGTGTGCGGGTCCAACATTGGTCCCCTCTGCTGGAAGCCTTGAATAACAGGTAGACTTCATGTGTCTTCTAGGACCTCAGAGCAAACTGCCTTAAAAACATGAAGTGCTGGCCAAGCATGGTGGCTCATGCTTGTAATCTCAGCACTTTGGAAAGTCAAGGTGGGAGGACCACTTGAAGCCAGGAGTTTGAGACCAGCCTGGGCAATATAGGGAGACCCCATTTCTACAAAAATAAAACAAAATCTATCAGCCAGGCATGATGGCATGCACCTGTAGTCCCAGCTACTTGGGAGTCTGAGGTGAGAGAATCACTTGAGAACAGGAATTCAAGGCTGCAGTGAGCTATGATTGCACCACTGCACTCCAGCCTGGGTGACAGACTGAGACCTTCTCTCTTAAAAAAAAATACATACACACACATATATACATATGTATATATATATATATACACACACACACACATTCACAAATGTATATACATATATATGTATGTATGTACAGTGCTGAGACCAGTGCCGTTTATAATATCCCTGGGAAAGGATTCTGGGGTCTCCAGGAGGTCAGTGCCCCTTCTCTGTGTGCCACGGTGGTCCACTCCCTCACTCTGTGCCCTCTCCATCAACCTAGAGCCCTGAGTTGGTTAAACAGCTGTGGCTAGAGATGCAGAGGCCATTTATCCAGGTGCATGGGGCTGAGAACCTGAGAGAGGCAAATGTCAGGAAAGATCAGTAAAGCTTTGAATGGATTGGAGAAATGAGGTTTGAGCCTTAGAGTCCATGCTGAACCAACACACCAGAAACCATGACAGGTGATGAATGTGGCAGTTAGCAACGTGGCAGCCCCAGACAAGAGAACAGGAAAGCCAGGTCAAGAGAGAAGACATGGAGGCGTGTAAAGAACCCTGGCCTGGGGCGCGGTGGCTCCCGCCTGTAATCCCAGCACTTTGGGAGGCCGACGCGGGCGGATCATGAGGTCAGGAGATCGAGACCATCCTGGCTAACATGGTGAAACCCCGTCTCTACTAAAAATACAAAAACAAAAATCAGCTGGGTGTGGTGGCGGGCGCCTATAGTCCCAACTACTCAGGAGGCTGAGGGGAGAATGGCGTGAACCCGGTTGGCGGAGCTTGCAGTGAGCCAAGATCGCGCCACTGCACTCCAGCCTGGGTGACAGAGAGAGATTCCGTCTCAAAAAAAAAAAAAAAAACAAAACCCTGGCCTGGGAGAAACAAGGCTTGGGCTCCAGGCGGAGGTCACCACTAATTCAGTGGCTCTCTAGACTGCATAAAAAGTTCATGTTTAAGCTAGGCACAGTGGCTTACGTCTATAATCCCAGCACTTTGAGAGGCCGAGGTGGGCGGATCACTTGAGATCAGGAGCTCTAGACCAGCCTGACCAACATGGTGAAACCCTGTCTCTACTAAAAATACAAAAATTAGCAGGACTGGTGATGTATGCCTGTAATCCTGGCTACTTGGGAGGCTGAGACAGCAGAATCACATGAACCCGGGAGGCAGAGGTTGCAGTGAGCCAAGATCGCGCCACTACACACCAGCCTGGGCAAGAGAGAGAGAGACTGTGTCTCAAAAACAAACAAAAAAAAGAGCTCAGATCTAGAACCAAAGGTTCAGGCTGAAATCATGGCTGTACTTCTTACAAGCAATGTGACATTGGAAAAACTACTTAACCTCTCTGATTTTCAGTTTCCCCATCTGAAAAAATGGGATTAATAATAGTAGTCACTCATAGGGTTGTTGTGAGGATTAAATAAATCGATACATGTAAAGCACTTGGAAGCGTGCCAGATGCATCACAAGTATTCAATACACATTAGCCAATGTTATTGAAAACAGCCCGCCGTCCCATTTGGCCGGGTTCAGTGGCTCACATCTGTAATCCCAGCACTTTGGGAGGCCAAGGAGGGTGGATCATTTGAGGTCAGGAGTTAGAGAACAGCCTGGACAACATGATGAGACCCTGCCTCTACTAAAAACACAAAAATTAGTCAGTTGTGGTGGCGTGTGCCTGTAATCCCAGCTACCTGGGAGGCTGAGGCAGGAGAATTGCTTGAACCTGGGAGGTAGAGGTTGCAGTGAGCCGAGATTGCACCACTGCACTCCAGCCTGGGTGATGGAGTGAGACTCTGTCCAAAAAAAAAAAAAGAGAGAGAGAGAAGGACCTGGCATGGTGGCCTTTCCAGCACCTGTAATCCCAGCATTTTGGGAAGCCAAAGTAGGAGGATCATTTGAGCCCAGGAGTTCAAGACCAGCCTGTGCAACACAGCGAGACCCAATCTCTACAAAATAAAAATAAAGAAATGAAAACAAAAGGACAAAGACAGAAGGGTAGTTCCGGAAGGGAGATGGCAACCACAGTGGCGGAGCACTCCTGTGCCTTTGACTTATGTAGATTCAAGGTAAATATCATAGAACAGCTCCTATTATAATTGCAGGTCACTTTCTTCAGACAGAACTCAACAAAGAAACCATCATCTGTACGAAAGTTAGGTGAAAATTCAGCTGTGTTGGACTCATTGAGGAAAAACACAATATATACAGAATAATAGACATTGTACTTCAGGAGCAATTTCATATACTTTTTCCAAAAATTTGGCTTCTAATATTTTCTCCTTTCATGATGGCTTTGGTACCTAACCTCCACACAGAAAGCCATTGTTTAGGTTTCACTCACCTGTCAACTTTGAAATGCCAACTACTTGGAATGTCATGGGGAGGGTGTCTTTAAGGCTCAGTGACAAGGAGTTCTGAGATCAACTGGCAATGTCTGCCATGGGCAGGTGCAGTCAATCTCCAAGGGCTTCCATTTATGGAAGCCTAGGAGCTAATGAAACTCACCAGTGGAATGCAGGCCAAGGAGGCAGAAGCAGGCAGCCAACTAAGGGCCTGTTTTTAATTGGCAGAGTCCATCAGATAGAATTGTCTCTGCACCCAGGATCTGGTACCTTCTCTGACAGCCAAGGGGTCCGATGAAGATCGCTTAAGCACAGGGAAAAGAGGTGAGAGTCGTGCCACTAACATGCCATGACATCATGATCAAGTCCCTTTCTCCCATAGTATCAGTTTTTCCCATTGGAAAAATGAGGTTAGACCTTAACAGTTAAGGAAAGAATCACATATGTATACTGTTATATACACTTGACCTTGCTTTTGGTGACACAGCGGAATGCAATGCCTCCCTTAAATGGGAGCCAAGTATCTGCAGGGGACCCGAGAACATGGAACATCACTCTCAGGCCACATGGTGCCTGTTATAGTCCTGAAAGACACAATCTTCAATGCCATAATGCTGAATAATGAAATCCTGAAAGATCAAAATCCCTAACATCTAAACCCAAGGCAGGATGTGGTGGCTCACACCTATAATTCTAACACTTTGGGAGGCCGAGATGGAAGAATTGCTTGAGGCTGGGAGTTCAAGACCAGCCTTGACACCATAGCAAGACATCATCTCTACAAAAACAAAAAAATATTTTAATTAGCTAGGCTTGGTGGCGTGTTCCTATAGTCTCAGCTAATCAGGAGGCTGAAGTGGGAGGATTGCTCAAGCCCAAAAGTTTGAGGCTGCAGTGAGCTATGATCACACCACTGCACTCCAGCCTAGGTGACAGAGGAAGACCCTATCTCAAAAAAAAAAAAAAAAAAAAAAAAAAAAAAAAAAAAAAAAAAAAAAAACCATGGAAATCCCAAATGTTGAAATCCTGGAAGCTGAATTCTGAGGAAGGAAGGGATTCATGCATTTTCTCTGGGCTCTTTGGGCAATTGTATATGCGGTGACCTGTTGCAGTTTCTGATCAACTCATCAAAAGACTTAGGTTGTCCATCATGGTATTTCAGATGACTGAAGTTACAAAGCTGGATGCACACAATTACCAACCATACCGATATGTGATTATACATTTTGCTTTTCAACCTACTTCTTTGTGAATATTGTTTGTCTGCTCATGACTGTTATACCTGTGCAACTGTCATTAGTATACCTGAGTTTCTGCTTGCAAAAATATGCATGCTCTTCTTGCCTATTCTATTGTGTAAAGTGGCCTATTAAGTGTTCTGTTGTGTTTATATATGTTTCTCAAATAAGTCCACTTTATAAAATGTAAATAATTGCATTTTAAATAATTTTTTAAATAAATGTATTTTAAATGATTTTTAATTATTTATTTCCAGAATTCTGTTTTCAGGATTTTTATCTTTTGGGATTATGGCCCAAACCCCAGACTGCATAGATGTAGTCTTCTATATACAAGTCCAAACTCTAGATTTGAGGATCTAATTACCTATTTGAATTTCTTGGATTTCACAGAGGTATCAACAGTGTGATATGTCCAGAATGAAGTTCTGACTCACAACCTCTGTGGCTGCCAAAACCACTGCAATCACATATTAATAAAGGCAATTTCTTCCATCAAGATGATCAGTCCAAAAGCTTTGGGGACATCTTTGATCCTTCCCTTTTCCTCACTGCCCATCAGAAAGCCCTCCTGAGTCTACCCCCAAGTATATCCTGGAGCCATACATCTTGCCTCATCTCTGCCACCACCATCCTACCTCAAGGCATTATCATCTCTCTCCCACACTCCTGCAGCTGTCTCCTAATTGGTCTCCTTGTCAGAGGTGTTCGAACCAGAGCGACTCCATCTTAAATAGGGGCTGGGTAAATAAAATAATGCTGAAACCTACTGGGCTGCATTCCCAAGAGTTAAGGCATTCTTAGTCACAGGATAAGAGGTGGGCACAAGATACGGGTCATAAAGACCTTGCTGATAAAGCAGGTTGCGGTAAAGAAGCCGATCAAAACCAAGATGGCTGTGAGAGTGACCTCTGGTCGTCCTCACTGCTCATTATATGCTAATGATAATACATTAGCTGCTAAAAGACACTCCCACCAGCACCATGACAGTTGACAAATATCATGGCAAAGTCAGAAAGTTACCCTATATGGTCTAAAAAGGGGAGAGGCCTCAGTTCTGGGAATTGCTCAACCCTTTCCCAGAAAACTCATGAATAATCCACCTCTTGTTTAGCATATAATCAAGAAATAACCATAAAAATGGGCTACTAACCTATGAAGTAGCCATTCTCTTAGTCTTTTGCTTTCTTAATAAACTTGCTTTCACTTTACTCTATGGACTCACCTTGAATTCTTTCTTGCGCGAGATCCAAGAACCCCTCTCTTGGGGTCTGGATCGGGACCCTTTTCTGGTAACATCCTGGCCTTCTCGCTTACTTACCTTTCTACAATCAATTCTACACATAGCATCCAGGATGCTTTTAGTCATATCCAAGAAATTCAAATTCACTCCTCTGTTTAAAATCCTTCAGTGAATTCAGTTCCACTTAGCATAAAATTTAAATCTCTTCCTTTGAACTGCAAAACCACACATGGGCTGGCCCCAGCCTGTCCCT
The DNA here is from genome assembly GCF_000001405.40 of Homo sapiens. Classification (NCBI taxonomy): domain Eukaryota; kingdom Metazoa; phylum Chordata; class Mammalia; order Primates; family Hominidae; genus Homo; species Homo sapiens. The sequence goes on from NC_000016.10 coordinate 26,970,544, forward strand.
CTGTCCTCATCTTGTCCCAGGTTTCCACAAGCCCCCAAAGCTCCAGCAACATTGATTTTTTTTGCATAAATGAGCAATGGTAGACTAGGACCTTGGTGGCTCCCAGAGGGCCACCAAGCCTGGTATCCATGACCTTCGGAAGCCCCCTCCTCACATTGATTCTGGGATCGGCCATATGACCTGCTTTGGCCCATGGAACAATGGGATTTTGGTAATTCTAAAGTTTGATAGCTACTTGCATGCTGTTCTTGACCTCACGGAATGTTCCTTCTTGGAAACTGTTTGCCATGTTACTAAAAAGCTAGCATGGCCAGGCACAGTGGCTCATGCCTGTAAACCCTGCACTTTGAGAGGCCAAGGAGGGAGGATTTCTTGAGCCCAGAAGTTCAAGACCAGTGTGGACAACATAGTGAGAACCCATCTCTACAAAAAAAAAAAAAGTAAAAAATTAGCTGGGTGTGGTGGCACACCCCTGTGATCCCAGCTACTTAGGAGGTTGAGGTGGGAGGGTCACTTGAGCCTAGAGTTCAAGGCTGCAGTGAGCCATGATCACTCCACTCCACTCCAACCTTAGCAACAGAGACCCTGTCTCAAAAAAAAATAATAAAATAAAATAAGAAGAACAAGAAGAAGCTATTATAGACTCATGGAGGAAGAGAACATGTGGGTAAGAGAACTGATGCCAACATCCAGCATCAACAGCCAGACCTGTGACCAAAGCCTTCCTGGATGTCCCAGCCTTGGCCAAGCTCCCAGCTGAATGCAGCTCTATGAATGGCCTCAGACAAAGC